>NC_000005.10:106359807-106984807 GCF_000001405.40 Homo sapiens | reverse complement strand
GCATTTTGCCAGCCTTCAGATAGCCCCCAAAATTCAGCTTAGTGATATCTTCTCTACTGATGGTTTTTATATTGTAAATAGAACAAGTTTCAAAAATAAGAATCTGAAATTTCATTTCATAATATGCTTCTTTCCTCATCAGTCGATTATGTTTCCACTATCTCACTTTGTTCTGGGGACACAAATTGGTTTCTCAGGTCATGCTGTTATTAATATGATTTTTTAAAAATAATTGAATTTAACACCAAGGTCAGTTGAGAAAACAGGCAAAATGAAAATGATAATTCTTGGTGTGAAAACCTCAAAAGTGAAATAGAACACAGTAGTGTTCTTTGCTTACTTCAAAATGTCTACAATATGCTGGACTTATTAATGGTATAATAGAACAGAAGTAGGGCTTGCTGAGGCATTTCTGTTCATGAGGTGTGAACGGTTCATTAGAAAGTGTGCTAGGAAGCCAAGAAATACTTCATTGGTTTTATTTAGTTTTGATTTCTTTTAAATGCAGCATTTTATTCCCATTACAGACTTATTTTCTGTAATTAATGTGATATTTATTTGCTATACAATTAATAGTAAGCTTCTGTCTCTTCTCTCTATTGATTACTAAGTTTCCTTCCTTCTCCCTTCTTGGGTTTCCTGTTAGTTATGTGGAAAGTCTTTTTCTGTGAGCTTAACTAGTCTAAAATAATCTAATTGGAGTAAATAAAAGTGATTATTTTCATGCGCGTCCGTGTGAAGAGACCACCAAACAGGCTTTGTGTGAGCAACATGGCTGTTTATTTCACCTGTGTGCAGGCGGGCTGAGTCGGAAAAGAGAGTCAGCGATGGGAGATAAGGGTGGGGCCGTTTTATAGGATTTGGGTAGGTAAAGGAAAATTACGGTCAAAGGGGGTTTGTTCTCTGGGGGGCAGGAGTGGGGGTCGCAAGGTGCTCAGTGGGGGTGCTTTTTGAGCCAGGATGAGCCAGGAAAAGGACTTTCACAAGGTAATGTCATCACTTAAGGCAAGGACTGGCCATTTACACTTCTTTTGTGGTGGAATGTCATCAGTTAAGGTAGGGCAGGGCATATTCACTTCTTTTGTGATTCTTCAGTTACTTCAGGCCATCTGGGCATATAGGTGCAAGTCACAGGGGATGCGATGGCTTGGCTTGGGCTCAGAGGCCTGACATTCCTGCCTTCTTATATTAATAAGAAAAATAAAACAAAATAGCGTTGAAGTGTTGGGGTGGTGAAAATTTTGGGGGGGTGTTATGGAGAGAGAATGGGTGATGTTTCTCAGGGCTGCTTCAAGCGGGATTAGGGGCGGCGTGGGAACCTAGAGTGGGAGAGAATAAGCTGAAGGGAGGTCGTGTGGTAAGGGGTGATATTGTGGGGATGTTAGAAGAAACATTTGTCGTATAGAATGATTGGTGATGGCCTGGATATGGTTTTGGATGAATTGAGAAACTAAATGGAATAACAGAAGGAGAAAAACAAGTATAAAAGGTCTAAGAATTGGGATGACTCAGGATATCTGATTAGAGTGCCTAAGGAGATTCAGCAGTCCTGCCAGCAAAGATTATTTATTTACTTCAAGAGTTAAGGGTGGCAGTTTGGGGATAGCACCAGGAGATATCAGCTGTGATGGCTTGGAAAAACAGTGTAAACCGGCAGTGTAAACAAGAGCAGGGCATGTATGAGTAGTTGAGAACGAACAGGAGTATGACTAAACAGAAGATAGTAGGGATGACAAGTTTTTTGGGGGCACAGTCTAAGTTGGTCTGGTGTCTGGAATGAGACTGGGGCCTAATAAAAAGGAGCGTCTATACAGGAGCTTAAATGGGCTGTACCCTGTAGCATTCCGAGGACAGGCCTGAATTCTGAGAAGGGAAAGTTGTAAAAGTTTTGTCCAGTCCTTTTTAAGTTGGTGGCTGAGCTTGGTGAGGTGTGTTTTTAAAAGACCTTTAGTCCATTCTACTTTTCTTGAAGACGGAGGACCGTAAGGGATATAAAGGTTTCACTGAATTCTAAGAGCCTGAAAAACTGCTTGGCTGATTTGACTAATAAAGGCTCATCTGTTATCAGACTGTAGGAATTATGTCTGACAGAAGGGAAGAAATGACTGCGGTGGCCTTCTCAGACCCTGTAGGAAAGGCCTCTACCTATCCAGTGAAAGTATCTACCTAGACTAAGAGGTATTTTAGTTATCTGACTCAGGGCATGTTGAGTAAAGCTAATTTGCCAGTCCTGGGTGGGGCAAATCCTCGAGCTTAATGTGTAGGGAAGGGAGGGGGCCTGAATAATCCCTGAGGAGTAGTAGAATAGCACATGGGACAGTGAGAAGTTATTTCCTTGAGGATAGATTTCCACGATGGAAAGGAAATGAGAGGTTCTAAGAGGCAGGCTAGTGGCTTGTACTATAGCATAACCTGCCTTTGCTGGTGTGTGGCGATTAGGCCTGGTGGAATCGCCATCAATAAATCAAGTGTGATCAGGGTGAGGAACAGGAAAGAAGGAAATCTGGGGAAATGGGGTGAATGTCAGGTGGATCAGAGAGATACAGTCATGGGGGTCAGGTGTGGTATAAGGAATAATGTGGGAGGCCAGATTGAAGTCTGTGCCAGGAACAACGGTAATTGTGGGAGACTCAACAAAGAGTGAGTATAGCTGAAGGAGCCAGAAAGCAGAAAGTGTATGTGTCAGGTATGAGGAAGAAAATAGATTTTGGAAGTTATGAGAACTGTAGAGAGTGAGTTGAGCATAGTTTGTGATTTTGAGGGCCTCTAAAAGTATTAAAGCTGCGGCAGCCGCTGCACGCAGACATGAGGGCTAGGCTAAAACAGTAAGGTCAAGTTGTTTGGACAGAAAGGCTACAGGGTGTGGTCCTGGCTCTTGTGTAAGAATTCTGACCATGCTAACCATGCCTAAGAAGGAAAGGAGTTGTTGTTTTGTAGAAGGTGCTGGGGTTTGAGAGATCAGTCGGACACGATTGGCAGGGAGAGCACGTGTGTTTTTATGAGAATTATGCCGAGATAGGTAACAGATGAGGAAGAAATTTGGGCTTGATTGAAGTAATGGGGGCTGTCTGTGAAGGTTTGCAGCAGTACAGCCTAGGTAATTTGCTGAGCTTGATGGGTGTCAGGGTCAGTCCAAGTGAAAGCGAAGAGAGGCTGGGATTAAGGGTGCAAAGGAATAGTAAAGAAAGCATGTTTGAGATCTAGAACAGAATAATGGGTTGTAGAGGCAGGTATTGAGGATAGGAGAGTATATGGGTTTGGCACCACAGGGTGGATAGGCAAAACAATTTGGTTGATAAGGCGCAGATCCTGAACTAACTTGTAAACCTTGTCTGGTTTTAGGACAGGTAAAATGGGGGAATTGTAAGGAGAGTTTATAGGCTTTAAAAGGCCATGCTGTAGCAGGCGAGTGATAACAGGCTTTAATCTTTTTAAAGCATGCTGCGGGATGGGATATTGGCATTGAGTGGGGTAAGGGTGATTAGGTTTTAGGTAAGGGGTGCATGATCGGTCGCCAAGGAGGGAGTAGAGGTATCTTATACTTGTGGGTCAAGGTGGGGGGATACAGGAGGAGGATGCAAAGGAGGCTTTGGATTGGGAAGAAGGGCAGCAATGAGATATAGATGTGGTCCAGGAATAGTCAGGGAAGCAGATAATTTAGTTAAAGTGTCTCAGCCTAATAAGGGAACTGGGCAGGTGGGGATACTAAAAAGGAGTGCTTAAAAGAGTATTGCCTAAGTTGGCACCAGAGTTGGGGAGTTTTAAGAGGTTTAGAAGCCTGGCCGTCAATACCTATAACAGTTATGGAGGCAAGGGAAACAGGCCCTTGAAAAGAAGGTAATATGGAGTGGGTAGCCTCCGTATTGATTAAGAAGGGGATGCACTTACCCTCCACTGTGAGAGTTACTCGAAGCTCGGCATCTGTGATTGTCTACAGGGCTTCCGAGGTGACTGGGCAGCGTCAGTCTTCAGCCGCTAAGCCGAGAAGGAGTCAGTCAGAGAGCCTTGGGCCAGAGTTCCAGGGGCTCTGGGAGTGTCTGCCAGGTGAGTTGCACCGTCTGATTTCCAGTGGGGTCCCGCACAGATGGGACACGGCCTAGGAGGAATCCTGGGCTGCAGGCATTCCTTGGCCTGGTGGTCAGATTTCTGGCACTTGTAGCAAGCTCATGGGGGAGGAGGTTCTGGAGGAACCCCTGGCTGCTGCGGTTCAGGCGTTTGGAAGTTGTTGTGTGCTGGAGATGTGGCTGGGGTTTGTCTCACAGTGGAGGCAAGGAATTGCAACTTTTTTTTATTATTGTACCCCTTGAAGGTGAGGTTAATTAAGTCCTGTTGTGGGGCTTGGGGGCCAGATTCCAATTTTTGGAGTTTTATTTAATGTCGGGAGCAGATTGGGTAATAAAGTGTATTTTGAGAATAAGACGGCCTTTTGACCTTTTAGGGTCTAGGGCTGTGAAGTGTCTCAGGATTGCCGCCAAACAAGTCATGAACTGGGCTGGATTTTTATATTTGATGAAAAAGAGCCTAAACACTATCTGATTTGGGATGAAGAAAAAGGAGCATTAACCTTGACTATGCTTTTAGCTCCAGCCACCTTTTTAAGAGTAAGTTGCTGGGCAGGAGGGGGAGGGCTAGTCACGGAACGAAACTGTAAGCCAGACCAGGTGTGAGGAGGGGAGGTGATAAAAAAGATTATAGGGTGGAGGAGCAGAGGCTGAGGAAGAATTGGGACCTAGCTTGGCCTGGCGAGGAGCAGCCTGGGGAGGAAGGGAGAGGTTGCATGGGTCTGTAGAAAAGGAAGATTAGAAAGACTCAGAGACGCTTGGGGTTGATACTGAGGGGACAGGCGGGAGGGAAAGAAGGAAGATTTGGGATGAGTTGCACTGGGCACAGAGACTAGGAAGGGACTTATGTGTAAAAGAATGCCTGGACGTCAGGCACCTCAGACCGTTTGCCTATTTTACAACAAGAACTCTTTAGTTCTTGCAGGATGGAAAAATTCAAAGTGCCATTTTCTGGGTATTTGGAAGTACAGTCGAGTTTGTATTGGGGTCAAGCGGCATTGCAGAAGAAAATAAGGCATTTAGGTTTTAGGTCAGGTGTGAGTTGAAGAGGTTTTAAGTTTTGGAGAACACAGGCCAAGGGAGTAGGAGGAATGGAGGGTGGAAGGTTGCCCATAGTGAAGGAAGCAAGCCTAGAGAAAAGAGTGAGTAGAGAAACGGAGGGAAAGGGTTCAGGGGTTCTTACCTTCCAGAAAAGTGGGAAAAGGGGTTGGGGTGCGGAAATAAGGGATGGGGTGCAGAAATAAGGGGTCGGGGGTGGAAATAAGGGATTGGGGCTCAGAGATATAAGAGGTTGGGGCGCGGAAATAAGGGATTGGGGCGCAGAGATATGAGGTTGGGGTATTTGCCCCTCCTCTAGAAAAGCGGGACTTGCTGCTAAGAGTGAAGAAGGGGACCGGCGCCGGAGTTTTGGGTCCACGGATAAAACGTGTCTCCTTTATCTCTCCCAGAAAATGAAAGGAATTGAAATTAAGAGAAGGGAGAGATTGAAGAATGGAAAGGAGAAAGTGGTTGAGGGACAGTGAGAGAGGTTGGAGAAGAGAGTAAGAAGAGGCTGCTTACCTGATTTAAAATTGGTGAGATGTTCCTTGGGCTGGTTGGTCTGAGGACCTGAGGTCGTAGGTGGATCTTTCTCACAGAGCAAAGAACAGGAGGACAGGGGATTGATCTCCCAAGGGAGGTCCCCTGATCCGAGTCACAGCACCAAATTTCATGCGCGTCCGTGTGAAGAGACCACCAAACGGGCTTTGTATGAGCAACATGACTTTATTTCACCTGGGTGCAGGCGGGCTGAGTCGGAAAAGAGAGTCAGCGATGGGAGATAAGGATGGGGCCGTTTTGTAGGATTTGGGTAGGTAAAGGAAAATTACAGTCAAAGGGGGTTTGTTCTCTGGTGGGCAGGAGTGGGGGTTGCAAGGTGCTCAGTGGGGTTGCTTTTTGAGCCAAGATGAGCCAGGAAAAGGACTTTCACAAGGTAATGTCATCACTTAAGGCAAGGACCGGCCATTTACACTTCTTTTGTGGTGGAATGTCATCAGTTAAGGTGGGGCAGGGCATTTTCACTTCTTTTGTGATTCTTCAGTTACTTCAGGCCATCTGGGCGTATATACGTGCAAGTCACAGGGGATGAGATGGCTTGGCTTGGGCTCAGAGGCCTGACAATTATGATCTCCACTTTGTAAAACAGATGTAACTTGTGTAATCCTATAAAGATGAAGATTGATCTTTTAATTAGCCATTAATTATCAGCCCTAATCGTTATGCTGGAAACATAATAGGTGGTTACTAGATACTAGTGACTAGCAGCTGGTAAAAATGCTAAATAGAGAGTTTTGCTTGAAAACTGACCTGTGTTAATATAATTGCATAGGAAACCAAATAAATAAAATTTTCTAGGCATTTTTGCATAAATAATTGTACATAGATAATTATACATTTTATATTTTTCTTCTGAATGTTTTCTGTAGATAAGTATAAAGAAATGCAAACAGTGATACAATAATATTTTTGGTAGAAAATAAAAATAATTATTTACTTACACATCCAAAAACTCACCATCTTGGTTGATTCATATCCTGGTTGTGATTGTCAGACTGATTCAAAGAACTAAAAAAGCAGAGGTGTTGCACATTAAGATCCAGATGTACTAACATAAAAGAAACTGAATCACACCCACCTGTATAACTCAAATCAGTGCAATAGAATTCTTCCTGTCTGGGCACTAAATGCTATAATGCAACACAATGAAAGCACAGAGGCATGGTCTGCTCAAAAATAGAAAAAAAATCTTTTATCAGAGTTTTCCCTATAGCAGACTGGCATTCACATGACAGAAGAAGATATAAAGAAGCTTATATTTCTTTATATTTTAGGAAAAGTAAACTGCAGAGCAGTGATTTTACTGCCTGTCTGCATTATAATTTCTGTGAACATGTAGTGCATGCTTACTTTAAAAGAATATATTTAGTAATATAGTCAGTAGTGTAATTCAGTTTTACATGGGAAAACTGAAATAAACTTTCTACAGTTTAAACTTGTGAAGATAAACACAGACAAAATATTAGTAGCTGCTGGATAACAAGTTTTAAAAGCATAGTTCAAGATAATTTGGGTTATATCAAATTAATGACTTCCTGGATTATCAGACAATAAAATTGTGAAACACAGCTAAAGAACAAATGATTTAATCTGATTTTCTCACAGCACTAGTACATTTACAACTCAACGGGGCTTGCATTGATAAAAGACAACCTGCGACATTAACTAGCAGGAATATTTTTTGTAGGTATCTCAGGCAATTATTTTGAAGCCAAGGAAATGAAGAAACACTTGTGGCTTGTTTTCTGTATTAGAGAAGTAGAAAAGGTTATTTTATATAAAGCAAATGAAACAGAAATATGGCATGTAGAATCTTACATTAAATGCCTGTATTAATAACCAAAAAACCCCCACAAATAATGAGCAAAATGTAGGTGTTCCCAAAAGACATTTGAAAATAAAGATTTTAAATGATCTTCATAGGAATGGAAAATTTAGGAGGTATTGTAAACCAAATGAGCTAGCACTTAAACTGCAAACAATTTAAAATATTTTAAAGATAGGCAGGGCATTTTGGGAAATTGTGGTTTTACATTGCAATCTTACTTGAGTATATTTTTGCAATAGTTCAGTATTTGCATTCTTTCTAAGGTGCAAAGGCTAAAAATTTAAGGGCAATCTTTGTCCTGAATGTCCATGGATATTTTATGAGAGGGAAAGGTAACCGTGATTCATAGAAAGGTCATCAAAATTTTTTAGAACAGTTAATTCTACTGCTATAAAAATTATCATGTTTGACTGAAAGTACATAAATATCACAGTTAATTAATAGAATAATTATCAACTTCATGTAAAAATTCTCAGTGTAAGTTTCTTTAATATTTTTTATTTTGATTGAGCTTTTAGTTTTAGTTAGAGTTTTATCTTTAAGAAATAGTTAACTGAAAAGTTTAGATAAACAATGACATAAATCCAACTGGATGGATATCAGTGTAATGGAACATAGATCTGTAATTTTTCATCTCAGGAAACTGAGGCCAAGATATATTGAAGATCAATTCCAAGTTATTTACTGGCAAAGCCTGGGTGAATTCTTAAGTCTTCCAACACCCAGTGGCCAGTTCCCTTGGCCACACTGCCTAGATCATATTGCTCTTGTGAGAGTTGAATATGCACGTATTAAACTGACTTTTAAATGTAATGTAAAATTTTGTTGCTTAAAGCAATCTTACAAAGAACGCTTTTAAGGCAAATAACATATGTGCAATATAACTAATAATTTTTTCAGTGGTGGAGAATACTCTGAAGCAGGCTCCAGAAGACACGGTTTCCAGCCCTACTGTGGCAATAACTAAGAGTAGACTTAGGGCATTGCCTGTAACTTCACTCTCTAATCATTTCCTTCATACAAACAAAGTCAGATCACATGATTTTTGAAACACTTTCTAGTTCTTTGAGTTCAGTAAAGGAATTTCAGTGATCTACAAGTAGCCCTTCTCTTCAACATGAAGGAAAGAAAAGAGTGTGTATAGAATTGGAATTGTTAATAGAAATCATTATAATGGCCCTGTGAGCCATTATTTTTTGCAAGGCCCACATTTCAGAGTTTCTGATATGTACCTTCTCAAGCTCCTGCTATAGAATCAATCTTATCCTTGCAGTATAATATAATATGCTTTATTGTAATAGTTAAATGTGATAAATATTGACATATAGAAGAGTAAATCTAACACACGCACAGACATACACATATACACACAACTTTTTTAGTTATAGGAGTAAGTGAAATGGCTAATCCTTTTACCATACATATGAATCTTTTAGCGTACTTTATATTTTATCTGAACAACATATGCTGAGTTTTTAATGCAGTTAGAAAAGGATGAGCTCAGCTCATATTTTCCCTTCTTATCAGTCTTAGTAAAGAAAAGAGATCCTTTGTGGGAAGGAAAATGAATGAGCTGTCTTGGATTTGTTACACTTAATGAAGTACAATCATCTGTTTATTTTCTCTTAGTATATCCAGTGTTTTTTGGGATACTTAAAGTTTGGTGACTATCATACTGTCACTTTCTCTTTGATACATTCCTATCACTTTCCTTCCATTTTTGTATTTACTTTTGAGAGTGGAGTAAAAGTTATTCATCTTGTGCTCTCTTGACAAGCCTCAAACTTGGGAGGCTAGAAGAGTTCATTAAAATTAGCATGGAAATGTTGGGAAAATAATAAGTTAAATAAGTAAATGGAAGCTTGATGTATGAGATTAATAATCACCATTTATTTGAATCCTTAAACACAACCATATCAGTTGAACCATTGCTTTTGGCTTTACTTTTTTTAATCCTAGGTGGTATGGTTTGGCTGTGTCCCCAACCAAATATCATCTTGTAGCTCCCATGATTCCCACGTGTTGTGGAAGGGACACAGTAGGAGGTAATTGAATCTTATGTATATAGTATATTCCAGTTTAGTTAAAGAATTATGATAATGTACAAGTAGCCCTCCCCTTCAACATGAAGAAAGGAAACAGCTGTGTGTGTGTGTGTGTATACATATGTATGTGTGTGTGTGTATATATATATATTTTCAATTCTCTCTCAATATATATAAAACACATATATATGTTTCCAATTCTATTGTGTGTACATGTGTATGTGTGTGTGAGTACACACACATACACACACACATATATATATAATGTATTTATATGAATGGAAGTTTTCTGTCTGGGAATAACTTTAGAGTCAAGAGTCAAAGTAACTCAATATAAAAAGTGGAAAACATATTTTGAAACATGACAGAAAAATAACTACATTGTGATAGTTGTAATTTAGCTAGGCTTTTTATCTATTTCTTGATCCAGTAAGGAAATGGTGTCCATTTGAGTCTACTAGATAGAGAAAATTATTGGTGAATGCATTTGGAATTATTGATTATGCTGAGGCATAGTGAGAGTTGTTAAAAGGAGACTGAATCAGGGAAATTTAGCTGAATTCTCTTCCCTCATGGTTCTGCCCTTTTCTCCCCTAACCATCCCCCCTCTCCTTGCAGAACCTTCAAGATAACAGGTATAAACCCAATTCAAAAATGTTGCTGAAAAGACATTTATAATAATGTGTGATAATGAAGCAAGAAAAGCATAACATAAGGCATATTTATCAATCCAATAACATGCACTTGCCTTGATGTGAGAAAAAGGACTGAAACATGAGCTTAGTGCCAAACGACAGAAGGCTGTATGAGTGCATGGTAAAGAGTTTGGTTGAATTCTTTAGCTATCAGTGGGAGTAACAGTAACAGAACACTCTCAAGTTTCCTTTTCTACATATCTCCTTCCATTTTAGGATCGTTTTCATGCCTGTCTTCAATAGATTGTGCAATTATTTTTAGGCTTTAATTCTCTTTCTCTTTGTTCCTTCCCTTTCTGTGTTTTTCAAGTGTTTCAACCTCAGTTCACATCTGTCAGGGTACACGTTGTTAGACATAGCTCTGGGGTGCCTTATTTGGCAAATTTAGCAAATTTGTTCCAATTCTCTTCATTAGTATTTATTAACTTGATAAAATTTTCAATCCTGACAGCATATATAAATGCACACCTGTGGGTCAGAGTAGGAATTTTCCCCCTCAGTGATCAGATGATGTGAGATAGCTAGCTCATGCACCTGCGGAAAATGTTTAGGAAGTCTTAAGAGTGAAAAGACATTCGAATCACTACTGGGAACAAGGAAGGCTATTTTGTTTATAAAGGAGTATACGTAGAAATATTTGTGGAGCTAAAACACCAAATATTAAAAGACAAGGTAATAAACCATGCTTTAAACATGCCAAATATTATGTAAACTTTAAACATGGTTTCCAATAGTAAGAAATGCAGATGCCATTAAAGGTTTGTCAAATAGCCATTGCAAGATTTAGAGAAGCCCAACTGGGATCCAGACTCTCATCTTACATAAGCCTGTAGGGATTTTTTAAATACTTTTAAAGGAACAAGTATTTTATCATGAACCTGAATTTGCCTGCTAGCTAATTCAGACTCAATGGACATTTTTTGTTTGATTTTGGTGTGTGTGAAACTCTACAAAGTAGTTGGATAAAATTCCACATTGTCTGGTAGGTAATGAGTCTGGGCTGAATCAAATCTTGTCAGGTTCAGATTAGAGTTGACCCTATCTTCAGGGTCACATTTTCCAATCCTCACACCACTTTACAAGCTTCAGTGTGCATGAAATTATAAAACAAGGAGCATGAGAAAATATCTCCCAGGTTGTTTTTGTGGCAAGAAAGCCCAGAGAAATAAAGTGATTTCCAGCACTTTGAGTTTTATTACTTTCTGAAGAAAGAAAATTTGGTTAGGGTCAGTTTTCAAGTTTAACAGTTCATCAGCCCATAATTGCACTCATTATTACTGTAGCCAGCTTTATATTGGAGTTTGATTAATAACGATATGCACTTCAGTAACGCTTTCCATTAAGTGGCACTAATTATACTGTAACTGCTGTTCAACAACCAAGCAAGTGTAACTACAATGTCATTTTTATGAAGCCAGATTTGTTCATAAGGATACTTTGATAATGCTAATGTGGGAGTGAAGTAGCAAAAAATGTAGTAACAAAGTTGCTATTGCTTTAAATCCTATCCTCAGAATCCATGGTATTCTGAGGTTTCTATTGGTAGAAGAAACTTTTGATAGGGACTCAGCGAAAGTCTTTGGAATATAATTAACATGCATTATCTGCTTAGGATTACTGTGAGTACTAGGAAACCACATTGTTGATATAAAAGCATAAGACTTAATTGGAAGACTAGGCTAAAATCTTCATGCTAGTCAGCGATTACTCTGATCTTAGGGAAAGTACTATTCTCTCTGAAATTACCACATGTGCATAATGATGCCTGCTCCTATATTTGTGATGTTAAGTCTAAATGACATACTGTGTATGTGAAGATGCCTAATTTAGTGCCTAGTCCATAGTAAGGGCTCTTTCAATCTTTCATGAAGGGATGTTGTCTTCATTCTTTATCATCATTCAGTAGTAGGGAATAGACTCTTGTTCTCTCAATAAGATTTCCACTTGAATTAAGATTAAATAAATACAAATGCTTAAAAATACTTACATATGTAGGGAGGAAAATGTTAAACTCAAACAGAAAAGCATAAAACAATCACCATTATGAAGCTGAAGAAACCATAGGAAAGAGGGAGAGGGTCTAAGTTTGATTTGCAAGGTGGGATATTACATAGAGAGAATGCCATCCATATATAGGAGGGCTGGGGGCAAAGAGTTTAGCCAGATCTCAAGGAAGAATAAATAACTAGAAATAATGAAGCAATCTGGAGTGAAAAAGTTGCACAAGATAGTGAACACCCAGTACTTAAGAATGGTTGGGATGGTTGGGTTTTTCCGTACTATTGGTTCTTCTGCTAATCATTGGATTTCCCACCCCCCCCCCCGAAAAAATGTTGCCCAATGAAAAGAATTAGAACTTACATAAAATAAATTATTATACTACCCAGAGTAGGAGGGAGGATTTTTTTTTTTTTTTAAAAGAGGAACCACAGGGAATGGGCGGTGTTCCAACATCTATAACAGTATGCTTTGCAGATAATGTATTTAATAGTGAGTAATGATAGATTAATTTAATTAGAATTCTTGCAGGAAATCAGAGATATTTGCTGGAGAGAAGGTAAGATGATCAAAGTATGATCACAATTTCTTCATATTGTAATCGTGTCTTGCTGTTATATCCTTCATATAAACACCCCCATTAAAAAAGCTTTTTTCATCCGCTCAAAAATCACCGTATAAAAATTAGCTCAAACATATTGTGGGACTCTGTGTGAATGGTGGTATGTTAGGAAATGTGGGGAGAAATCACTTACATATAATTGTTCATCTGCAGTTCTGGGTTATGAATATTAAATATTAGAAATATTATATATTAGAATAATAAAAGAAAAGAAAAAATGAAAGGAATTCTCAAATGTTTCAATTTTAAATGATGTGCCATTTAATCCCAGTGTCTAATAACATGAATTCTTGCTGGTGCCCAACTGCATCATGTAATGATTTAGTAATGGGCTTTGTAGCACACCCAGTTGAAAGAGCAAGATCTCTGGAGTTAATATTAAGGGGTAAGAAATTTGGGTGTAATGAAAAATCATACAGTTGGCGAACTTACTGAAAGGGATGGGTTCTTTCTTAATACCAGCATCACTGATTAATAGCTGGTGAGCACCAGTAATTAAACATTTGGCTCTGATTATCTTGGTTGTAGTAAACTCTCAATTTTTGTTTAAATTTGTTGCAGAGGTTTTTACATTTTCCTTCAGAGGATTTTGTGGAATCCAATTTATCTAAAAAAAAATATAATGATGAGGAAATTATATGGTCCCATAACAGGGATCTAGGATGGGAAAGAATCACACTAACAATGTGCTGAGCCACCACATGAACCCAGAGGCAACACCCCAGGAAAAGAGAACTCAATACCACCTTGAGCCTAAGGTGGTCTTGAATCTCTAACCTACACGTGGAATATTTAATCAGCAGTCTATTTGTAGTTTCCTATAAATCTATAAGAATATGATTTTGTACAGAATTGTAACTGTTCAAGAGTAGATAGTTTGGTGTTCCCACTTATGTAGGTATATATATTCACAAAGAGTTATGTAGGCTAAAGATGTTATAAATGTAACCCTTTTAGCTTTTAATACTTTTTTCCAAATAATTTATTAACATTCATTAGTCTACTTTTTCAACTGTTTTCCCACATACACATCATGTATTCTTTTCCTGATATATTTATCTGTAAAAAATAGAAACTTATTATTTTATGTTCCAATACAACACAAATCTAATACACACACACACACACACACATACAATTTTTAAAATGTACTATACTTTGGACAGTATTATTCTACATTCATGCACAGTATTTATGCCATCAAGCTTTACTTATACAAAAATCAGTAATGATCTTTACTTATAATACCATTTACAATTATCTATAAATTATCAGAACTGGGCTGGACCTCTATTTGAATTGTTAGAGCTGTTTGAAACATAGGAGTGGTGGGAGAATAAGGCCTATCAAAGAAGTATACAAACATATGCATGTGTATATGCACACCCCCTCACATTTGAGTGTATTTTGCTGAATACCTCTGTATCTAGATATTTTTGGGTGTTTCTCCAATTAAACATGTCTTAAATAAAGAAGTGCTTTTTTTTTTACTTTATAGTCTATGCACCCAAGATATATAGGATGATATCTATAGAAAAATATAAATGGTTCACATCCTATTTATTTTTAAAATACTTGCACATTTTAATGTTTTAGTGAAGATTGTAGATCTCTGCCTCTGTGTGTGTGTGTCTGTGTGTGTGTTGTGGGTGTGCATATGTATAATAATAGATAGCAAAACACAAGTTTTACTTTTCTTCTCGAAAGGCAGATTTAATGTTATTTTAAAATAAAAAGGTTGGTACCTCTATAAAAATATATACATATGTATAGAAATTATCATTTTTAATTATCATCCTAATACACACATTGAAAATCCAAATAAAAATACATGAATAGATTGATCTATCTATCCATCTATCTATCATCTATCAATCATCCATATCTATATAACTAAGAATGATCAAACTGTACTGGATAGTCTTACCTTTAGCCCCCAATATGATCTTTAGTTCATAATTTTGATCTATATTCCAGACCCTTATAATATATCCTTTCTTTTCTGCTTTAGACTCTTACCAGTTGTTTTAATTGCTAAGACAACCCAGTTCTGCATGAGCTACAGCCAACTTCACAAAGGTACAACCTGAGACTGTCCCATTGCATGTCTGTGCTGCATACATTTTGCCTTATACCTGTAGCTTCTTGGTTCACACTAAAGCATGAGATATCTTAGGGCTCTTTCTGAGTCCTCACATGCACAAGCTAGATGTGTGTGAGTTAAACCCTGTGAGTTGAACCAATGAAAGGCAGCTGTGGGGTGACCTATGGGATACAGGAGCTGATAGATACATGTTCTCCCTTCTTCTAAGAATAGACCATACTGAGAAGCAGTTGTTTATGTGGCCTCCTGGAAAAAGGATACCAATGAAATCAACCACTCTGTTGCATTTGATCCAAAGCAGTGGCCAGCTAAATGATACATTATTTTATTGGTGTGCCCTTATTTCTATCTTTCTTCTCATTTCCCTCCCTCCCTCTCCCTGGGATTAAACATTTCAATAAAAGTTCCAGGCTTCAGGCTTTGCCCTCTGGGGAACTCAGGTTACAACCTGAGTCCACTGGCAATAAAGATTCATTTGCTGATGGTATTTGGTGATGATAGCTCATGCATATATTGGAATCACAATTACTAAGGATTTAGTCTACAGCAAAATAAGAAAAACTTGAGATAGAAGGTGAGATGCTGGGTTTTACAATGGCAGTTGCTCTTTAATGGTATAGTGTAAAGAGAATACAAGAGTCGGGAAGTGACCTGGCTATTGTTAACAGCATTAAAATCTTTGATATAAAAGAATGATAGGCTAAAGAAAACCAAATGCCAGTTGAAGCCCAAAGACCTTTATTGCAGCTTGTAAAGAAACTGTTGTTCTGTGATAATAGAGCAGACTGCACTGAATATACAGCCTGAACAGGTCTCCTATGTCAAAATCAGGTCTCTAATAGAAAAAGACAGGCATTCTAAGACCTTTTGTGAGGCTGTTGGATGGGGCAAGATGGAGATTCTTGAATCACTAGATTCCTATGAACCTTCTGGGCTGGCAGAAGCAACCCCTTCCTTAATGCTGTCTTGCAGAAGCAAACTGCTTTTCTCTGAAACCATGCAATAAATGCACTGAGGCAGATGCCTTGCAAGATGATGTTTGTTCTCAGCAAAATTTGCCCCCACCACCCCTCATTGTCTTCAAGCTAATCACCACAGTCAGTCAGATCTCTCAGCAAAGCTATTTCTCAGGAAGGAGTTAGCCTATTTACTTAAGGAAGTTCAGTATCTGGTAATATGTACCAACAGGGGCAATGGAAGATGCATGGGGGAGTGGAAATGAGTGTGTTCACCAGGAGAATATGGAATATAAAGCAAATAGTGGAGAATTTACTGATTCTCTGGCTTTCAACAAGCAGAAGTGATGAGCAACCCATCACTTGGGATTCAATATTCTGACAAGAACCCTAGAATCTAGTAGTAATAATCCGCTGGTTTAGCTCCTTAAATTGAAGGCATCAGCATGCCCTCCAATATAGTATATTTTATTTTCAAAATTCAAAGCAGACCACCAAGCCTTGTATCTCTTTCTTAGTAGTAGGGAGTAGTAGGAGTAATAGTAGATAAGGAGGTGAAGTGAAATAGCCTCTCTTTTGCTTTAGAGGGGATTTCCAAACATGCCTCCAGACAACTGGATCCTAAAATCTTCTTTGATGCAGTGGGCTCCTAGACCCTTTTGGGGTTTATCTCTGTCTCCCTGACACAGAATGTTTTAGTAGGGTATCCAGAGTGTTTTCCACTTCCTTCTTGTCAGAATGAATTGGTTTGATGTCATCAATATAATAGGACAGCTAACATGCTGTAGAATGTCAAGATGATCTTGTCCCTATGACTATATTTCTATAAAAAAGCACAAGACATAAAACAGCTTTGGGGCAATACATTGAATGTGAACTTCTATATCTGCCATGTGAATGCAAATTGTTTTTTTCTTGTCTCTTTTTCGGGGTAGAGAAGAAAGCATTTGCCACAAGATCAATTGCCATATACCAGAAGATAGAGGCTGTGGATCTTCTCTAGTGATGACACATTTAGCATGGCAGGTGTGATTGAGACTACTCTCTGGTGAAGTTTTCATTAGTTTACTGTCACTTGCCATATTCCATCTGTTTTCTGAGGTCCGGAGAGGTGACTTGAATGGAGTGATGGGAAATATTATCACGGAATCCAATAAGTTTGATAGTTGCACTAATCTCTGCGATGCTATTCTGCCTGAGCTGTTCTATTGCTTCTGATCTACTATTTTGGCCAAGGCAAAGTGGGTGCAGTGAGCAGTTTCAGAAACTCCTGCTTGACCCTTCCTACATAATAATCATTACTCCGCTGATCAGAGGGGCAATGTGAGAGTTCTGTCAACTACAAAATATATTTACTCTGATTATATACTCAAGGGAGCAGGTAAATAACCATAGGATGAAACCATTACAAATAATCACAGAGTGAAACCACTATAAATAGCCACCAAGTGGAGCCATTCTAGATAGACTTGGTTCTAAACTACATTTATGATGTGACCTTCATAAGCCTTACATTTAGTCAGAAGAACTTAAAAGTATTTTAAGTCCCCTAATCTTGGTGTCATCAAATCATGTTTTTCAGTGTCCTTAAAATTCTGGCTATTCTCACCAACCCTGTACATGTAGTTACTGGGCAAATAGCCAGGGGTATGTGTTTGGCGGGACGATTGATAAAATATTTACTATTTATTTGCAGAAGAGCTAACCTTGGTACATCTGTGGAATGTGTGGTTTTAGAAAGAAGTACTTGCAGTAAATTCATGATAACAGGAAGAAAGGCATGAGAAACAGACACAGAAAATTTATTATGATTAAGTTTATGTGTCAGCGTGACTAGGCCACAGGGTGCCTAGACATTTGGTTGCTCATTATTCCGGGTATGTCTATGAGGGTGTTTCTGGATTAAATTAACATTGGAACTGGTAGACTGAAAGCAGATTGCTGTCCCTGATGTGTGTGTACTCCATTTAATCTAGTCTTGAATTCCTGACCTCAGGTGATCCATTAATGCAACAAAAGGCATTAATATAACAAAAAGGCTGACCCTACTATGAGTAAGAGGAAATTTCTCTCTGCCTGACTGTCTTCAGATGGACATTTTTTTCCTGCCTTTGGACTTAAACAGGAACTGGCTATTCCTGCATCTCTAGCCTGTAGGCCTTCACAAAGGAACTATGACATAACTTCTCCTGGTTTTCAGGCCTTTGGACTCAGACTTGAGCTACACCATCAGCTCTCCTGGGTGTCCAGATTGCTGACTGAAGATCTTGGACTTGTCAGCCTTCATCATCATGTGAGCCAATTTACAGTAAATCACACACACTTGTCCACTGGTTCTGTTTCTCTGGAGAACCCCAACCAACGGAGCAGAGACACTGGTAGATTTGGTAGAAAGAAAGTAGGGAAATTCTCTTCTAATTGTTTATATCTTCAGTGAAGAATGAAGGGAGTTTATCAGCAGAGAATGAGGATGAGGGGATATTACTATAGTAAGCGCAAGCTTGTTGTTTGTGTTGTTTGCATTTAAAAGAATGGCTGAGGAGACATGGCTGCTTGTTGAAAGCCACAGTTCCTATATTTGGGCTGCTAGGGTTATTCTGAAGCCCCAGGAAAGGAGATGGATTATGTTTAATCAACTCTCAGGGTTTTACAGTTTAAAACATAATTTGATATTTGTAATCTCATTCAATCTTTCCAATAATACTGTCATACCAATTTGATAATATCTCCATTTTTTTTCAAATAAGAAAAATAATTTTCAGAGACCTTTAATTCAATTAGATGATATTGGTAGGCCTGCTTTAATTTATGTTCTCTACCAATTATTGGCTATGTTCCAACTCATATAAGATGGCACATTGTGACCTAGGCACTGAACCAAGCTCCAACTCTGAACTCTATACTGCTATACCTGTTTCTCTTGTGTTGGAAAAGTGCATTATCATTTTCTCAGTTGCTCAAGGTAAATATTGCATATTGTCATTCTTGGTTCCTCTCTTTCTCTTGCTCCAGTACCAAGTTTGGCTGACTCTATCTCCTATAAATATCCTAAGTGCATCTACTTCTCTCTCTTTTCATACCTTTTTGGTCCAAGCAAACTTAGCGTATGACCTGAATTTCTACAGTAATCTGCTCCCTAATCATTCTCACTTCTATTCTTGCTCAATCAATCCTTTCTCCACTCAGCAGTCAAAATAGTCGCTTAAAAATACAAATTATAGGCTGGGTACAGTGGCTTACACCTGTAATCCCAACACTTTGGGAGGCTGTGGCGGGTGGATCACCTGAGGTCAGGAGTTCAAGAGCAGCCTGGCCAATATGGCGAAACCCCATCTTTACTAAAAATGCAAAAATTAGTTGGGCAAGGTGGCGGGTGCCCGTAATCCCAGCTACTCTGGAGGTCAAGGCAGGAGAATCGCTGGAACCCAGAAGGCGGAGGTTGTAGTGAGCCAAGATTGTGCCATGGCACTCTAGCCTGGACAACAAGAGCAAAACTCTCTCTCCCAAAAAAAAAAAAAAAATCCAAATTATATTATGTCATTCCTCTGCATAAGATTCACAATACTTTCCCACCACATGTAAAGTGCACTTGGAATGCCTTACCCTGACTTTCATAACTGGCTAGCTCATGCCCTCTTCCAGTTTTCCTCCATGACACTTACCCAGGGCCCATCAGCCACACTGATTTTCTATCTACTCCTTGGCCATGCCAAACATACTCTTGCTTTAGCTTCCTCTACTTCTTCCCCCTTACTCTTGCATGACTTTGTCTAAACATGCAAATATCAGCTTAAATGTCTTCACATTAATGTGGGTTTTCCTGACTACTCAATATAAAATAGCCATCCAGGCACCAGCTATCAATCTTTACTGAATCTTTATGGAGAAAGTATCAAAATGTTAATTAAGGCTTGACTGGGGAAGGATGTGTTCAGAGGTGTGACAGATAAATGCTAGGGCAGGACTGTTCAGTGGAGCAAAGATAAAAAAAGTCTACAGCAGGTAGTTTATTGAAAAAATACTTCTTGTCCCCAGAGACCTTTGGAGAACAACTAGGTTAAAAAAGAGAAGACAGTGAATAAATGTGAGCCTTAGGGAGAGAAGAAGAGAAACATTACATGTGGATTTTATGAGTATTGCTGACAGGATAAACATTTTCTACATGAATTACAGTGTTTAAGACAATCTTTGGGATTAAAATATGTCTTGTAATTTTGCACTTAGTTAATAACTTTACTACTTGATAAGCTTTGCTATCTGAATAGTACATTGGCCAGAAAGATAAATTGGTATAAAAAGGATGTTATAAACACTACTAATAAGAGCTAATGTTATGATTTACTTAAATATTGATTGAACTGTTTTATACTACTCAAACTAATACTAGCCACATGGATTAACTTTATTACAATACAGTGTAACTGTAACAGTAGTCAATTATTTATGAATCGGTGGAAACATCTGGAAGCTTGACCTCTTTTTTACATTAAAAGTACTTGGAGCATTTGCTGTGTTTCACTATTAGTGCCACTTCAATTATTACATGCTCTGCCAATGTTTTGTGTAACTGGACTGATTTCCTTCTGACTCATAAGGTCAGTTGGCTGTGAAGGGATTGAGTTTTCTAGGTACTGCTTCCTGCATCTATCTCTTTATTGATACAGTGCCCTGCTACCTCTGCTTACACACAGCAGAAAATGTGTTACTCTGGCACTACATAGCCAGAAATGAGAAGCTACTTTATTTTCCTGTGTCAATGTTATATTCATGTTCTTTAGTCCTTCTTTCCTTTTCTGATATATGCATATATATGTATATACATACACAAACATATGACTAAATTTTCCTCATTTGTATATAAAAAATAAAATTACCTTACCCACAGGTAGAATTTATTTCAGCTGGTTAAGAAAGAATGCTTCTGTTTTATATCAAAGATATTTCCAGTGTACTTTGCATAGAAAGTAGAGATGGAAAAAGTGTACGTTCAAGGACTGATGACATATGGGCTCAAATATATGCAAACATAGATATATCTGCATAGCTGAATATGCAAGTCTATCTCTGATAAAACAAAAAAACACATAACTAAGTGGACATATCCTACTTAGGTGGATGATTCCAAATTGCAGACAAGTTATTTTTGTTTGGCTTTGTTGCCAGGTTTCCATCCTAATGCATTTTGCTTAGGCTTCTTATTTTCATTCATGGAATATTTATTGTGCATTTTCCATGTATCTGACATGATACTAGACACTGGAGATCAAAGTGATGAATAAGAGATAGTCTCTGGTTCTAATGGGTTTGTATCATTTCATGTGGTTTGAACACGGAGCAGCATAGCACCAGAGTGAAATGTTTAAAGATTTTAAATAAATAAAAACTTAAATGAGAGATAAGAGTAACTGTTCTGAAATGAAAAACAAACACAAACAATCAAAACAAAATACCAGTTTAATAATTAATCTAATTATTTCCCAAAGCTCCTATAGTGTCTTAAATCAGGATGGGACAATATCAATATTGAAATAACTGAGGTGAAATAACGGAGCCAGTGATGTGAGTCCCTAGAAGGACCCATGTAAGAAACTCATTTGGAAAATGAACCTTTCTCATTTTAATAGAAAACCAATGCTTGGGAAGACATAAACCCCTTAAATGTGTGTATGGAAATCTGCCAGCGTTGGAGAGGACGTAGCACACTTTGTCTCCTGAAATAGCAGGGAAGTATACGTATCTAGAGCTTGTCTCACTCCTTCGCCATCCCAGAAGTATACATATCTAGAGCTTGTCTCACTCCTTCACCATCCCTGCTGCTTTCTGTGCTCTGGTGCTCTGCTTTGTGTCACTTCACCCCATTGCTCTCATCACTGATGATTGGATCAGCAATTTGACTCCAAAGCCATCTTAGAAGATTATGTATGGAGTATCCTGGCCCTAGAGTTCTAACAAGCAAACGTTCCCTAAACTAAGTGTGATTGACTGACCCAACACACCAACTCCCTTGAGAATGTCTGAATGTGAGATATAAAGTTAGAGGCCACAGCTGGCAGGAGTAAAGTTTTAAGGATGGAACAAGCCAGTGGAGTGCTTGTGATTAGAAGACAGACTCAGTAAAATCTGGTAGGTGGTAGAGCTCCCACCTCAAGTAAGAGGCATAACACTGAAAAAAAGGTAGTTGGATTGAGGTTGCTGGGTAGAGGCCAGAGCAGTAGAAGCAAATATAGAAAATAGCTGAGTCACCTTAACTGTGGATCTCTGGAGTAGTGAGCAAGGAATGCCTGCTTCTCAAGGGACTAAACTTCAGGCGTCCATCCCCTAAGCAGGTGGCGACCCCTTTAATTAAGAAGCACCATACTTGGTGTTTCCATAGAAGGAAAGGAAACACTCATATCACTTTCCCCATAGCAGGCCCACTTAAGAAAAACAGATTTTTTTTTTTTTTTTTTTTTCCTGTAAGTTCTGGGTTACATGTGCAGATCGTGCAGTTTTGTTACATAGGTATACATGTGCCATGGTGGTTTGCTGCACCCATCAACCTGTCACCTACATTAGGTATTTCTCCTAATGTTATCCCTCCCGTAGCTCCCCACCCCTGACAGGACCCAGTGTGTGATGTTCCCCTCCCCGTGTACATGTGTTCTCATTGTTCAACTCCCACTTATGAGTGAGAACATGCTGTGTTTGCTTTTCTGATCTTGTGATAGTTTGCTGAGAATGATGGTTTCCAGCTGCATCCATGTCCCTGCAAAAGACATGAATGCATCATTTTTTATGGCTGCATAGTATTCCATAGTGTATATGTGTCACATTCTCTTAATCCAGTCTATCATTGATGGACATTTGAGTTGGTTCCAAGTATTTGCTATTGTGAATAGTGCTGCAATAAACATACGTGTGCATGTGTCTTTATCATAAAATGATTTATAATCCTTTGGGTATATGCTCAGTAATGGGATTGCTGGGTCAAATGGCATTTCTAGTGAAAAACGAATCTTTTAATAGCAGTTAAATCACATGGGAAAATGGGCTCAACTTTTTTTATGATTGATAACCCTCAGCAAAATTTTTATTTATAGAAGTAATCTTTGGCAAGAATTTTGAGAAATTATCAGAATTTCTTAAGTGCCCCTGTCTTTAGAACCAGAAAACTGAAGTAACAAAGGACCCAAGTGGTCATGTGGTAATCATAATTCTGAACATGGGATAATCTCATTCTATTCTTTTTCCATGTAAAGTTCCCTAGGCTTTTTTACTTGGGGAGTACATATATCTCAGCAAAAATGGGTATAAAACAAAACCATTCTCTGTGATGATGAAATCAATATTCTTGGGGGAAAAAAGAGAGAGAAAAATAAACTTCTTGGTGATGAGAACACCATTCCCCATAGACAACATCAGGCAGGAAGAAATACTCCTGGAATATTCTGTGCCATATGGTGGTATAACCTCAGAGAAGCAGGATGTTGGGAGGTTGAAGCTGATCTACTTCATGGGATCCTACTGTATACCACCCAAATGTGTTTCTGCTTTTTATCCTGCGTGGTGTCCAACAAGGTTGGATTATGCCGCATTTCTCATCTTCTGTCTTTAGATAAATGAATTGTCACAGTTCCATATCCAGGCACCATGCTCATTACCTTCCGTGAGAGAATGTGAGATCCCTGCATACTCAGGACCAGGATTTCAAGCAAGAACTCCTATTTCATCCTTAATAGCATCTTTCTTTTTTTGGGGAGGCCTAGCTACGGGGCTGCTGTAATGTTTCTTCTTTTCTTTATGTGTCTTGGTTTTTCTCATTAAGTGCCAAATAACTGGCAGGCATAAGTTTCTGGCAATCTGTAAGACTAAGAAAAATGGTGAAATGAAGAATATTCAAAACCTTTTTAGGGTGTAAATGAAGGAAACGAATGACAGGTTGCTTTCATTCTTTAAGTAATGTAGGAGGCAAAGTTAGCCATACAGAGAAAAAACTAGGATAGAAATGGGTAATAAAGTTTGGAATTGCTCCTGTGAAAATATGGCAGGAAGTCAACTAGAGATGAATAAGAAAATTGCAATAAGGTCCAAAAACTGATGGATAGCATGCCTTATTACAGTGATTTGCAGGGTTTTTTTTTCCCCCCTCAAGTCATGACCAAATGTCCTTTGGCAGAAGTCCATGTATAAGGATGGGAAAATTTACATCTTTATTTTCAATAACCTTGAACTGAAATTTACATTTCCTTCAATTGTGAATATAGGCCACAAACCACATTAGTATTAGTAGTTCTTGTGACATTTTACCCGATTGAAATATTAGATATTTTCATATCATATTAGCGTTATAGAATCTCAAAATATCAGCTAAAATGCTCCAGTGATATTGCTTTTCCTTTAATGTGTTACTGCAGAAGCATATATATTAATATATTACAATTTCACACTTTTTAAATAATTTCATTTCAGTATAATTGGTTTTCTTTGTATTTTATGAAATTTATTTTCTTTTGAATTTAAAATATTATTAGAAGGGTCCTATGGTGTACATAGGCATCATCGAATCACCAGAGGGATTCCTGGCACGTAAAGGGTTAACAATGCCAGTTCTTTTGTGTCTCAATATTTGTCATGCATTATGTAAAATTTTAGACTGAAAAGTAGGATACAAAGGAATGAAATATTGTTATTGAAATGGGCAGAAAATATAAGCAATTCCCTAAGTTCATCAGCTAAAATGAGATGCTGCTTTTTTATGTCAAATTTTTAATATTATGACTTAAGTGATATTTTTCTTTTACAAATGCCCAGGATTTTTAGTTACAGTCAATTAAACCTGTCTCATTAATCCTCTCTAACCTTCCGTCAGAACGCACACATGATGTGGCATTCATATTTTAACACTGTACGTCCAACAGCATGATTTAAGGCTGACGAAGGCTTTTCATAACTTGGTACATTATTTGCTGAATGTCTGCCACCACCATTTACAAGTCCTGTGGCTGCTTGCATCAGGGATTTTTGCAGGTGAATATTGATTGTGTACCTTTGATTTTTTTCACTGATTGATAAATCAGTGCCCAAATGAGGTGATTGAAGAAGGCTGACAGTTTAGCATCAAAGCAAAGATTACAACGCCATAATGGATAGCTGTTTCTTTTTTGCATTGGCCATGTCAATATCCTTCCTCCACCCTTTATCTAGGAAAACAATAAACTTTCTATCTTATCAAAATGTTTCACCCATACTCTTAATTCCTGTGATTTATATGGGGCTGGCCCTTTTCCCAGCTTGAGGTGAGCATGTGACTCATACCAATCAGAGTATTCTGTTCTTTTTTCCGTAGTGATTGCTGTAGGCAGAGACATGATTGATCTAGGCAAATACAACTCATTTTACGAGAGTTCATTGAAATGATTGGGGAAGAATTGGGCTTGTGGAGAGACTGTATTTAGCCAGAAACAGCTGGGAAGCTATTTTTCCACCATGACAACAGGGCCTGCCAAAGAATAGAAGCTATAGAAGAAAATGGTCCTAGACGTGGTAAGAGCCACAGTCATTCTGGTGATCCAATTAGAGCTTTGGGTCCAGCTGTGCCTGAAGTCAGCCTGTCTGTTTTCATTTCTGTGCACGTATGTATGTGAATCTATGTGTATCAAGTCACTTTGAGGTTCAGTTACTTGTAACAAAAAGAGTCTGGATAAGGCACTTTTGCTAAACTCTAAATTCTAATTGGTCTGGAAAGTTATTATTAAATTTGAAATACTTATTAGTGATGCAGAAAAAGTCAAAATAGGAATAGCAACAAAGGAAACTTATTACATACTTTATCTTGTTTTAAATTAAAGCATGACTAAGTATGGAAGGAGGACAAAAATTTGGGTACTTCAGGTGATCAGTAAACTGTATAAATATGAGTTAATTATTTGAGAGGTTTCTTCATCCAAGGTGTCATCATTTCTAAACTGGCAAGCTTTGATCATTTACACACTTTGAAGTCTGAGAATCTAATCAATCTTCCTCTTGGATTTGTATTCATGTAGAAAGGATGGCCTGTTCTGGGACAGCCAGTGTTGCCTGGCCTATTGTACTAAAGAATAAATGAGTAAGAGTCTTGATTACCTTACAAATAAATCTGGTTAACAGTTATATTAATTAAAATGCCTGGTTCTGCGGCTATTCTCAACTATTTATACGTGATTTAATTCATATCAGCAGCTAATTTGTATTTAATGCAAACTAATGGGTTTTATGTAAATGGAGCATGTGGCAGTCTATTTAAAAAACAAATTATCTCTAGTTTCATTTCAGTTATTTTAATTAAATTTAGAGTATGTGTGTGGTGGAGGGATGAAGGGGAAAGGGATGTGTTATATATGAAGTGATGATTAAATCCAATTTAAGTCCACTGTATGAGAAACAAGTAATTCTCTCAACAGACACATTGGCCCTTTCATAAAGTTTGGAGAAGTCAAGAGCATAGTATAAAGAAAAGCCTGTGAGATTTTAGACGATGTAATTTTTCTTAAGATCATGCTTTTACATTATAAACTACAAGCACTTATAAGTGCATATGTAAATAAGATTCTTTAAGGATTTTTTAATTTGGCTAGAAAATATTTTATAATGTAACTATCCACTATATATGTATTTTTTTTTCCTCTTTTTGATTTGGAAATTTTGAAACCATTGTATAAATCAGTTAACTCATGTTTCTTTACTTCACTTTCTGTCAACGGCTTAAACCTATGGAATCATATTTTAACTACAATAAAGCTTTCCCTAATCTATAGTTTATATTTCTCTAGATCATCTTTGTTTTTCCAAATTGTGTAGGTTTCTTTTATCAGTGAGCATTTTTTCTCGTATTTCCCTAATGTTAATATTTGTTCTGGAGGTAAAGATAATTTTGGTACATTCTTTATAGTTTCTTCTACTTAGTACTAGTCTAGAAGTATTTCTCAGCTTACATAATTTAGGTAATTTCAGAGGTGACGTACTTCTCATTTTTTAAATATATGTTTCTATTCCCACCTAGATCGTTAAGGATAAGAATTAATTAATTAATTTCTACAAAATCAATGTCATTTTGTTGCATGTAGTAGATATTCAAAGAATGTTTCTTGAATGACATCTCTTAAAAAATCATTCACATCACAAAATGATGTCTTTCAAAATCTTCAGTCTGAACAAAAACTAAAATATAGCCTTCTCCCTCTCATGCTATTTGAGGATGAAAACTAAGCTCAACAGTTTGTTCACTCTAGTTTTCTAGACCTAATTTCCAATATTATCTTAAAAATTCACAAACCATTACCTCATAGAAGTTGTATTAGCTGATGTCAAGGCGGCATCATAAGGCAGGGCCACCTGTTGGCTTCCTTTGGAGTTTCCATGACATGGAACGGCTCATGAATTCCTCCCAGAATATGTATAGCTTTAATCGCAAAGAAGACTCTATGTACTGGCATTAAACTATGTCATTGAGAAAACAGATTAATTCATAACCTACCTTAAAACCTTTCCCAATTGTACATTTATAAGATTGCAGCCATTCTTAAGATACCCTGGATTTTTCTGTACTTGAATATTTCAGAGTTCCCCAAAGCTATAATGCCAAACATAAAATAAGTTTTAGAAATGGTGACATTGGCATTTATCCACAGTTATAGAATATTGTCACCAGTTCATACAGGAAAAGACAATGAATTTTTAAACTTCATGTTTCCGTGTAATCAAGGGACAGAAAAAGCAAATCCAAACAATTGTGGTTGTTAATCCTTGTCAGATTGATCAGATGACAGCCTCTCCAGTTTCACCAGCTGTCCAGGGAGCCTTGACTTTTCTGCATAGCAGATACAATGACTTCTGTTTTAATTCAACTGCTGCCAATTTGGAGCTGCACATAGCAACTCAACTCCTCCAGAGAAACTTTAACAAATAAAATTAGCCATATTTGAAATGAAAAAGCATTCATTCACTCAGTCAAAATGGCTGGAAATCTATTTTTTTTTACAATGGAGTTATATTCTAACAAGTTATTTAATTTATTTTAATTTTGTCAGGAATATTATAACTACTCAGATGGCATAATCCATGTTTTGTTTAGTACTGTAAAGTAAGAGATGCACCAAAGCAGAGTAGTTTGATTCATTCTCAAAAACAGACCGTAGAAAGCTGGTGTGGTGGATAGGAGCTACTTCATCTTAAGGAAGCCCACTAGATATGCAAATTGGAATTTATAGAAAAAAATATCTCCAGGGATGTAGTTCAAGGAAGAGGTGAGAGGAAGAATAAATGCAGTTAAAAGAGCTCACTTCTGTATCTTATTTTTTTTCATGAAAGCAAAGAATGCCTTAGTAAAGGAGTGTTACTTGTGTAGTTGCCAAATCCCTCTTCTCTCAACGTCTTCCCTTTCAGATCCTCCCCTCTCAACTTAGCTACATTAACCATCTACATCGATTCAATTGGCAGGTGATTTATCAGGCCAGCATTTCATCTTCCCTACAAAGCCAAAGGGTGCCCCGTTTCTCGGTGCCACAAGGGGGAACAGGCGGGATATTCCTTTGATGCTACAAGGACACCAGACTGATAAAATTTGCTCCTGCATTGAACTTGACATGGAGGTGGAGTATTTTAACTTTAAAAGTCTGCTCTGAAACTCTTAGAACAACTGATGACCCTCATTGATATTCACACTTCAAATGCAGATAAATCTTCTCAGTTTTTTTCTTTGATTCTAGGTTCAAAATCTTCACCTTCTATAAATGCACACTCTGTTATCTCAAACTGACAAAACCTTACTACCTGCTGAGTCACTCACTCCATCCATCTATTTATTCATCTATCTATCTATATGCAGTGGGATGGAAAAATGTTGCGATTTAAACCAAAGTCATCTGCATTTCTGCCACATACTAGAGAGTGGGATGATTTATAACTAAGAGAAGATTCTTTGTTTAGAAAAGGAGCATGGTCTTCATTTTCTTTACTGGTGTGAGAAAAATTTAAAAAATGCATAAGGAAATGATAAGAATCTGGAATTTTTGAAGGCACTAGGGAAGTTAAGAAGGTGTAACAGCAAGACCAATTCATAGGTGACTGAATTGTGCAGCACACAGTACCCTGATTTAAGAAGAGCCCCATGCTTAGTTCACCACTGTTGCCATCTTGAAATTCTTGATAATTTTTGAACAAGGGAT
Source organism: Homo sapiens (assembly GCF_000001405.40). Classification (NCBI taxonomy): domain Eukaryota; kingdom Metazoa; phylum Chordata; class Mammalia; order Primates; family Hominidae; genus Homo; species Homo sapiens. Next base: position 106,955,721 of record NC_000005.10, on the reverse strand, counting down.
CTGCGCTTTTATATTGCACTGGACCTTGCAAAGTATGTAGCCGGTTCTGAATAGCAGCTCTGTATTCTCTTAAATTTAGCCAACTTCTTGAGTTAAATATGGCGAAGTGTTGCCAGTCAAATTTCTTATGTCTATTTCAAGGTATGAGCCAACGTACCAAATGTTGTGGAAAGTCACTTAATAGCAATTATGAGTCTTTTATCTCATAGCCCTTGTGTTTTCAGACATTAGAGCTACTTTATTTCATAAGGTTTGAGGTGAATTTACAAAATTTGCATTTATTTAATTAGACTGATACTCTTTTCCACCACTTTATGAGTGTGTTTTATGGTTTTTCTAGGAAACTTATTTTCATACTGAAGGTTGTTAGCCAACTTGGCATGGAAAAACTTAAACTTCAGTCTTATTTTATTTTTATTTTATTTCCCTTAAGGCTAGGCAATTACATTGATCAAATCCTGGTTTATGGGAGGTAAGGGGAAAGGACTGTTTGAGGCTATGAAGAAAAGTTTTATTTGATGATAAATGAGAGGAGAAACTCGTCCACATTGCCTGCCTTTGAGTAATGGATAGATGAACACATGAGGTATGGAGCTACAGCAGCCATTCCGTGGCAACAGGGCAAAGCCATGAAAATAGAAGACAGGAATGATGGCAAGCACATTGGACATTGATAAAACCATTTTGCTGCTGAATAAGCCAACACTAAAACCACTTACCTCCAGAATACTTGTTTATTTAAGTTCCTAGACAGCAACATCAGACATTTGTTAGAAAACAGAATGCTTGGGCCCCAGCTTAGATTATTGAATCAGAAAACCTGGGGGTTGACAAAGCATTCTGTGATTTCACAAACCCTCTCGAAGTTCCGATGTATGCTAAAGTTTAAGAACTACCGCTTTAAGCTACATTTTGTCAGCTATACTCTTCATTATAACTGAAAGGATCTCCATTTGATTATAAGAGAAAAACACACATTCAAATTATGGCTTAAAAGATTGTACTTTCATTTAATGCTATGTGTGACAACACACAGATTGCTTTAGCAATTAGAAATAACTGCTATTAGTTAACAAAATAGTTTAAGAATCACTACTTTATCTATAATCCCTGCCTGTAAGAATCATCACTATCAGATACCAAGTTGATTTGACATTATATTATTTGTCTCATTTTTACACATGATAGTTACATTTTTAATGCTACTTGGAGAATTATTATCTGGATGAGAAAAAATGGATAAATATAAATAGTAGTTATAACAATGTTATAAAATGTGAGGTAAATATGATGAAGTATTGCCAGTTTTTTTGTAAATATATCAAACCATCACTGGATTTGGACACAAAATTCCTGAGTTAAATTCTAACAGTAGTCTATCACTTTCCATATCACTCCTGTTCTTAACTAAGGATCTGTGGGTACTCTGCTGTTCGCTCACTACTTCAACCATAGCTTGACCTCTGTCTTCTGCACAAGATTCTTCACGTGGTTCTTGTGTGCCTATAGAAATTTTCTTCGAAGTATGAATATTTGTACTCTAGGTATTTTCAAGATGATTCATTGAGGCCCAAGAAGAAATACTAAAACATCTTATTATTATACTTTTCAATCTAAAACATAGGAAACAAAACTTTACTAATAATGTTATATACTGATTAACACAAATATACAGATGTGGTCCATTTATTGGTAGGTTGGTAGGTTATAGATCATGCACAATACAAAAAATATCTTGAAGAAATAATGAAAGTGGCACATTGGACAGAGGGGGACAGTAGAGCCTTCCTTTCTTTTTTCTTTTTCCCTTGCTGTCAGCATATTGCTACATATAGTTTATTTGTGCCAGGCTAAGTAACCAATTACATTATCTAGTTTTAGCTATCTGAACTTTCACAAATTATATGAGGAAATTAAAATATTCCTAGAAATACCTTGCAGGCTACAAGAATCATAAATAATGTAAATTCAGGTGAAAATGGTGGCGTTGGTGCTTTCCATTTTGTTCACAGGTATTCTGCCAGACTTGCTAAAAGACAAAAACAAGTATGTTCCCACATAACACAATGAGAAGTTGCCAAATATTTTTTAAAATGATTTAGGAGATTATTTGGAATGTAGGTTTATATCTACTGTTTTTAGTGATGACCTTCATCGTAAGTAGATATTTGCCTATAAGTATTAGCTAATAATAGTTATAGTTATATCTGTAATGATTAATACATACTGCACACACACTGTAATTTTTTAAAAGACTTCTAAAATTTTATTTTGCTACTGATTTTACTCTAATTTTAAATGTTTTTGTTTACTTTTTTACTAATTGGGTGTATTAGGTCAAAAAAGTTTGCAGGATCTTGACTCATAGACTGAGATAAAAATTTCTTGCTTTTCATACTAGGGTTTCCAGTATCTGAGTCCAGTCGGCTTCCCAGTCATAATTTTTCATTGGTCTTCCTTCACTATGTGCTTCTGCTATACTGAAAGTTCTGTTTGCTCTTCTCCAGGCCCAGCTCTACATACTTCCTCAAAGGACTTTCAGCCAGGAGTCATGTCACCTTCTCTGAACCCTCATCATGACAGTTGATACTTCATAGTCTTTTAAGTTATTTGAGAGCAGGATTCATTATCCAATCCATTTTACATCCCCCATAATACATAGGAAATGCATTCCAAGAAAATATGTTAGAAAGAAGGAAGAAACGAAAGAAGTAATACCAATTGTATGAGCAAAAAAAAAAAGTAGTTCTTCACCTTTCCCATTGGAAGGTTCAGGCTGATGGGGAGGCACCATGCTATTCAAATTAATTCTTCAAATCATCTCATTTTGAAAGTGTACTTCCTTTTACACTATATTTGATGACTAGAGCAAGCTTAAAATATCACCCGACTGCTGTCTTTTTGTCATGTAATGACAATGAAATATTACTTTATTCATAAGGTCATTCCCAGATGACAGAAACTACTGAACTACAACAAACACGAAAGCCGATAGGCAGGGGTGTGTGGGGCTGGGTCTTTTATTCCATCACATCCAGGTGATAGTCTCTGTTCCATTGCTTACTCATGCACATGCAACTGGTCCAAATTCTTCTGTCTTTGATATTCTCATCTTTAAAATGACTATATAGATTCAAATAAATGATACATATAAAGAAATGTATTATATATTACCTATTATTAATAATTCTTCTCATTCTATGTATCCTTAATGCCTGATTATAATAACATGCATCATAATATATTTATTTTTATTTATGTTATTTGAGCTTTAAATCCTAAGGTTAACTAACTAGCCTCGATATTCATACAATTACATTAAGTTTTACCCATAGCTTAATAATTTTATGCTTTGACTGTTTCCTGATATTCTAACATGTATCATTTCCCATAATAAAAGTTATTGATTCCCCAGCTTAAGTGCCCTCTAACATTCACCAAATTGACCATTTAGCATCATGGGAGATGGGAATGAAAGTTTTTGCAAGAGGATATCACAGCAGAAACAAGGGACAGTCCACTTCTGCTAAGAGCTTGGTGGCTAGACCAGTGTCAGGGTCTCACTGAACTGCAAAAGGGTGAGAAGTGTAGATTCTACCATATGCCTAGAGGGAAGAAAAAAGATCGCACAGGTGGACAAATGGAAGTTGCCCTCCACATCTGAAGTCAGAGGGAAGATTCCAATTAAAAGGCATGAACAGAAACCTCAGGTGAACTACAGGTATGAATGCAGATATCAGTACAGATATAGAAGTATAATGATTAAGGATAAACCGCCTGAAAATATATATTGCAAGTGCTAAATAAGATCATGTAAAACAGAAGAGACATTCTGTGAGAGAAATTCTAACTACAAACTACCCTTGCAAAACCTGTCAGTTGGAGTTTAGGGAAGAAGGAGATTAAAATGTTCCAAAGGTCTCATGTATCATGAGAAGGATAATAAAGAGAGGTATAAATCTATTTTAAAGGTTTTATTCTATAGGAGAAAGGAGTAAAGCAAAAGAAGATGGGAATTAGAATACCATGGTGAGAGAGGCAGTGAATTCTGGTGAGGGACTAGTTGGTAACCAGTTTACAAATAATAGAATCATTACGTGTGTATTTAAGAAAATAGTGAGAGGAATAACAATAGAAAGGAAGAATTACAAAATCTTCAATCTAATCAGGAGAAACCTAGAATGACAAACAATAGAATAATCATTCAAGAAATAGACTAAGGAGAAAATAAAATCTAAAATAATTAATAGAATAAGTTTGAATAAAATGGAAAATATGATAAATTATACTGTGAATAGTCTGAAACTATCCAAAAGAGAAAGAGACACAAATTGGAATAGAAAACAAACCTCAAATACATCCTGTTTTCAAGGAATATGCTTAAAATAATAATAACATTAATAAAAATAAAATGAAAAACAAAGGGGTGGACAAAAAAGTTAACAGGCATTTGAAACCCAAAGAAAATAAAAATGGTACAGTTATTGTCCAACAAGTTGGAATGTACAATTAAAAGCATTGAGGGGATTAAGAAAGGGCAATATATACATTAAAAGTACAAATGAAGAAGATATTATAGATGTAAATACATAGGAAACAAACAGTGTAGCAGCTAAAGATAAAACAGAAAATATTAGAATGTAAAGATTAGAAATATATAAAATTCAAAAAGTACAAATATAACAAGATTTTATTAGCTTCATCTCAGCATTACAGAGAAGAAATAAGTAAGATTTGAAAGTGGCTGCCTCTCCTAAGGTTTGGAATTTGTGAGATAAGAGCAATGAATGCCAAATATGTACATATAAGCCTTTAAATATTCTTTTTTTTCAAATTAAAATCATGTATGTAATAAATATTATATATAACCTAAATATTGATTTGAAATCATATCTGTGAAATGATAATATCTCAGAATAAAAGGAGAAAGGCGGGGCCCACCGATTATGATTATACTATGTCTTTTCTGAAGAGTATTAAAATCCATGCTATTGTGTTACTGTCAGAGTAAATTAAGTCCTTTAACATTTTCCTAATTCATGCTAATTGCAAATAAATAGACTTTACATATGAAAATAATTAAAATTATAGACATTTCATAAAGTTTGTGTTAAGTTTATTTCAAATGAGAGGTAAAGATTAAAATCACATTAAACTGGAAGCAAACCATTAAGCAATAGTCTCTAAAAATATTCTCATTTACAGAGAAAAAAACATATATTTTTTTCTTGGTAAAAGAATGTAAATTTTTTAAATTAAAAAACTGTTATATTTGGTTTAAAATTTCATTTCTGTGGGCAGGTTCTTAAAGTCTCTGTATATATTAATGAAATTCTAAACCTGTTTCTCTTCATTGCATGCTATTTTGTTAATGCTTCTCTTTAAGCAACTAACATTTCCCAGAAGTAAACCAAGTTGATACAAAATGGATGAATTAGAAGATCTTAGAACATTTTTTGGTTGGCTTGCCAGGCCCATTTTAATTATAAGCTTTAACTACATTCTTTTTATGAGATATGTGGATGAATTCATGGGAATCTAATTTGATCCCTATTTCCTTTTATGACTTGTTTTTTCAAAATTCTTCTGTTTTACATAATCATTTTGTAAAATGTGATTTTTATCAAATTCAAACTGATTTAATGTGGATTTTAATTGGAATTATGTTAAATTTGAGGAAATTACCATATTCATAACACTCATTATTCGCATCTAGCAATTTCTATATCTCTTTATATAGTCAAACCTGGTTTTATATTTCTTAGAAAAATTTGATATTTTTCTCTATATGTTATTCACATATTTTTGTTCATTTTCTATTTTTTAGTTTTCTTCTTAATTATATTTTTTGAATTGTTACTCCTAGTTTATTAGATGTATTTTGGATTTGTAAATTAGTTTTTGTATTCATTACCTTAATAAGTTTGTTTTTAAAGTCTAATTGTATTTTAGTATTTTTTCTTTGGTTTTCTAGATAGACTGTCAATCTTAAACATAATGATAATTTTGACTTTACAGTCTTTACATCTTTTGTTTCTTGTCTTATTGCATTGGCTAGAATGAGGTTAAAAAGTAATTAGCACAGTAGGCACACTTATTATGATACTTTAAAAAACATACTATTGAAAATGCCTCTAATACTTGTCCATAAGTGTATAATGGTTTGTTCATTCTATAGCGTTTTTCAGGGAGTGCTCATCTATTGTTCTTTTAAGTCTTTCCCGGAATGATGGTTAAGTTTCATCAGATAAGTTTTGGGCATCTTACGAGATGATCATATACTTTTTCATTTAGGGCTAATTAGTGTTATGATATGTACAAAAATATTTTAGCATTTCTGGGAGAAACTATTTGTCTGTGGTGGATTAATTTTTAATAAGTCAATAAATTCAATTCCACTTGGGATTTTAAAATATGATTTATGTTCTGTAACATTTTCTTGGTGCTAACTTTGTCTATTTTTTATGTCATGAGGAATACATAAAATTTAATCCAACTATATCTATCTTCTAAAAGAGATTGTAAGGGGTGAGAAATATCCAATGTTCAATGTTTGTGTGAATTTACCAGTAAGTTGTAGAGACAAGATATTATTTTAGAGATATTTATCTCTTAGTTTTTCTACTTCATTTATTGTCATTGGTCTGATTTGATTTGATTTTCTAATTCTTGAGATAATTATGGGAATTCTATTTTTTTTCAGAAAATCCATTAGATTAGTATATAAAATATTAATATATAATCTCATGGACACCAAACATTTATAAATTTAAAAATCTTCCCCAATTATTCCCCCATTTATTTTAATCTCTTCTGTTAAAATGTTAGAAACTATTGTATTTATGAATAGTATATGAATATATTACTTTCATTATATTGCTAATTGGTTGGGTAGATGAATTAAATATGATTTTGTGGTTTCATTTTCTTATTCTTCATCTATATTTGTGTTATTAACCTCTAGACCTACTGCATTGTAGTATAAACATTGTGTTCACATGCTTTGTATTGTTTGGATTCACTGAGGTTTTTCTTTGTGACAAATAAATAATACATCTTAAAAATTGTTTCATGTAACTAAAAAGTTGTGTATTCTCTACAGGATTATATGTACACTTATTATCAACTAAACTTTATTGTCTATTATTATTTTTATTTGTGTTTTGTATGCTTTTTCGTATAGTTTGTCTTCTCTATTTGAATGGTTCAAAAACCACTGCAAGTGCTTTTTCTCAAATTTTTATTGTCTGATCAATAGATTTGTTAAAGTAATATTATTCAAACCACCTCATTCCAAGAGAGCACAGTTTATTCTCACATGTCTACTGGGAATGTAGTAGAAAGCAAAACTCAGACAATAATTGTTGGAAAAGGTCAGAGAGCCATAATTTGTCATTTTTTAAATTTTATTTCATTTTTTAGAATACAGAAGAGTGTCTTGCTGTGTTACCCAGGCTGGTCTCAAACTCCTGGTATCAAGTGATCTTCCCACCTCAGTGTCCCACAGTGCTGGGATTATCGGCATGAGCTACCATGCCTGGCCAGTAAATTGTAATTAATATCATCAACATGAAAACATGCATCAGATAAATTCATTGAGCAGGTTTAAATGTGCAGAAATATAATATTTTGAAAAGTATTATAAAAATAAAAGTGTATTTTAAATGGAGAATTGTAAAATTAGCAACATTTACTCTACTCTAAAAATGGTTAGTTTTTAAGTGAAAAGAATAAACATGGTATCTGTATTTTGGAATTCATTAATATCACAAGCTCAAATTAAATGTTCAGATTAAAATATAAAAGTCAAATAAATACTTGAGTCACTTTCTGGATATATTTCTGCAATTTGAATTTTCTGCTCTACAGTTATGTTTAATGTTTGCTAAGGATTCCTTTTTTCTGATGAAAAATTGAAGAATTATTATCAATTTTTAAAACTTTCTGAGGATATTTGAGGAGAAAATGCATTTTAAAGACAGAAAATAATGTTGAAAATAGAGATATGTCTAATCCCTAGAATCTATTTTGGATTTGTCAAATTAATTTTCCTTTTCATTGCTTTAATAAACTTGTTTTATAAAATCTAACTTCATTTAGTATATTTAATAATATGATAGCTTGAGTTCTACCCCTGAGATCTTTTTCTTGATTGTCTTTCTACATCTCACTGGAAATTTCCTCTTGGACTCAATGAGTGATGTTAAAAATTTGTGCTGAAGATTGATTTAGTTGTGCCACAGAGTAAAAGTCTGCTTATATGGTTACAATTTGATGCTGACCAAATGTTCTTTTGGAAAGTAATTCCCACATCTGCCAACTAAATTCTATCATACATCAAATTAGATGTTAGGGCTGTTTCTTACCATCTGTATTCTGTAAACTCTTGAATGATAATTTTCCCTGATTATACAGAATATATATTTTAAATGGGAAATCTATTTGGCTTAATCTGTGATGGGTTTGTATATGTTATTATTCTAATTATGAAGAGTTTTAGAGTTTAAAAAAATCAAGCGTGGTTCTCACTTTTTTCCCTAAGCACACAAAAAGTTACATTTTCCAACACCTTGCAGTTAAGCAGGATCATGCAAAATTAGTTCTGGCCAATCAAATGTGTGTTTAGTGATGTATACCACTGCCAGGCTAATGAAATTAAAAGCCTTTTAGTGATCAGCTAGTATTTTTCTTTCCTCGCATGTGGGAATTATTGACACTATTTTCTGAGATGTCAGAATTATAGGATTAAACATTGTGGATCCCTGAGTTACTACATGGAGGACAGGTGCCCTAGGAAGCGGTCTGGACCCATATGGACTTAACATGTATGAGGAATAAACTTTTGTTGTATCAAACCACTGAGATTTTGGGGTTATATATTACTGCATATATATTCCTTCTGACAACACATCAAGAAATCTGTAAATTTGGGGCTTTTATTGACCAGTAGGGAATTTCTGAATGTGTGGTTATACTTAGCAATTATTCAGATACTTTGAGCCTACTCTTTAAAAAAATTACTTCTCAATATGCATGATATGATAAATTTAATAATTTTATCTTTACATACAGTGTTGTATTTTATTAAAATATGTTTTAGACCTTCTGTTTCTATTTACCCTACTGTTAGCAAATATGTAAGTGCACAGTAACAATTATATTTGACCCAGAAATGTTGAACTCATCCATTTTATTTGTAATACTTCTCTTAGGACATGATTGATTATGTTAAATGTGCTCCGCCTGTTAAATTTTGTTGTTATATTTTGTACTTGTCACATAGAATGCTTAACATGAAATATTTATGTCTCCCGAGGAGCCTTAAATGTGCTCCTCAGCTTTTGAAGTAGACAATGGTGGTAGTAAATATTTATTAATTGTAAAGCATGACACCAAAATTTATGAAATGGACTACATGCATATGGAATTTCCATACTGAATGCCAATGTACACATTGATGTGTAATGGATAATAAGGCTGTTATCTCTGAAAAGGTGAGCTCTTTTGAGGAAAGAATCTATAAATATATTGAAAGGCATTACTCAGCCTTTTTCTCTACCTTTGTTTTTGTTTAGTTTTTCTCAAAATTTAGGGGCATCGATAAGTGAAATCTTTCTGTTATTCTCTCTTCTCTTGCACCTATGAAATTATTCACTCATACATTTTACAGGTATTTATTGAGCACTTACTCTGCTCTAGGTACTGAGGTGGAGCATTTAAAAACACATGATGATCCTGCCCTCCCAGAACTTGTATTCTACTAGGGGGTCGAGATTATTACATGTGTTGATTTCATAGAGCAAATATGAAGTTGGTGTCATACGAGGAGTAGTCAAAGAAATCTCTTAGAGGAGGTGATATTTGATTTGAGACTTCAGTGATAAGATCCAATACCTCTAACATCAGACATTTCTTTATTTTGGAGTCCATAGAGATCTAAATAAAACAGTATAATAATTATCAGCTGATACTTTCTGGTTCAGATCTTCTAGGCAGAAGGCATTACCTTATACTATATCTTTCCTTTTGAGATTAAGGGACTGATAATATGCTCCAATGACTATTTTTGGTAATGATTTCCCACTTTAGATTCAAGAATACTCAAATCTGTTGATCAGACTCATTTACTTTTTGTGTAATTCTCTTCATCTTCCAGTAAGTATATTAGGGTGTCAAGCTTGACATCTATATCTTATTCAGGTTTTTATTCTAATTTTATATGTCCTACTCATTATTTTTCTTAATCATCTGGAGTACTGCAATGCCTTTCAAACGATCAGTGACTCCCCCTGGCTCCATTCTAATTCATTTCTCACGCTGCAATGATACTAAATCTTTTTAAAATGTAAATCTTATTACTATCCCTAACCTCCATAGACTCATATCTGAGGTTCTCTACTGGTTTCACTTTGCTCTTAGAATGACGCCATCAGATCCTAATAGGCCCTAGAACCCTTTCACATCCCTGCCCTCAATGGTCTCTCCCCTCAGTAGCAGAGGAATTGGTTAAGTTTCTTGCATGTGCCATGTTCTGTCCTGCCACAAGTCTTTGCGTATGCTATTCCATCTGCAATATTCTTAACTCACCTCATATCCGAATGATTTCATTACAGTTTTTTTGCAAATTCTAAATTATTTTAAACATAAAGAAATTATATATATATATAATAACACAAATGTCATTTACACATTGTTTATCAAATTAAATATTTTGGTAAATTGTTCCGGAATTTTTAAAAACATTGAGTGTATTACAGAAGCATTGAGAGTTACAAAGTTATTATTTCATTATCTTCCCTCCTAACCAGAAATCAACCACTGTTTTGAATCTAGCAGGTTCCCATCAATTATTTTGTATGAAAAGTTCCCCTCTCTATGCAATTATAATCTCTATCTGAATTTGGATATAGGGTTATGGAGCAAAGAATAGCATATTATCTAAATCTATTTGGTTTCTGAATTTCAAATAGCAAGTAATGACAGTTTAGACAGAGAGAGATTTATAAAGAAATGTACCAGATCTCATCAATTCCTAAATTTGAATAGCAAAAATTTGGATAGTGAAAGATCACTGAATGTGTGTAAGAATATAATATTTCACAATATTTGCAATTTGTATGCATGGATTCATAAAGTTTACATAAAGTCAGCTACTTTAACATTATGTCTTTTGTAGACTTATGCATGTTGACTCAGTTTATTTTCTTTAATTGCCATGTATTACATGATTATGGCATAATTTAATTATCATTATCTTCTCTATATTATAAATAATGCTTCAGTGAACATTGTTCTATAATTTGCTTATGCTCAAGTTTTCCTAGGACACATACCTATGAGTACTAGAGCTGGGTTGAGGGCTTAAACATTGTCAATTTTAAAAGATATTGTCAAATTCCTCTCTAATATAGATTTACCAATTCACCCTCCACCTACAGTGGGAGCTTCCATTTTTCTACTTGCTTCCCAAAACTTGGTCATGTCAATATATGGTATATGTTTTTATTTGCATTTCCTTGATCACAAATGATGTTTGGTATTTTGCATATTTTATTTATTAATTTTGAAATTGTTTTGATAAAAAGAAAAAAATATTCTTTTTTTGTGAACTGCCTATTCAACTATTCTACCCAATATTATATGGAGTTATTTAATCTTTATTTTACTAATTTATAGAAATATCTTACATCTAGATATTAAACTATTGATCACCACTCAGTATGTTACTTTAGATACCATCTGACTTCCTCTATATGTTTCCTAGCACTGAGGACCTCTCTCTTTTACTTTCCACAGATGAGATTTGCTTTCATTTTTATCATTACTTTACTAAGTGCTATATCTTCCACTAGATTTGTACTCTAGATTAGGAATCATGTCTGTTTTTAACTGTCTTCATATCTCCTATATTTAAGGTCAATGCTTTGCACATAGCAACAACTAAACTAGTACTTTTCGAGTCAGTGACTATGTGAATGAATGAATATGTTAGTTGTGTCATGTTTTGAATTAAGTTCTTAATCATACTTAGATCCTCAGAGTATAAGAAAGATTAAAGAAAGCTTCTCTTCAGACATAACAGTTCACTTCATACTGGAGACATTAATTAAGGCTAGCAGTCTTTACAAGACTGAAAAGGATTACCATTTGAGATTTAAAAATTATGTTTTCACTAGCTCCTGTCTGCTGATCATAACAACCTTCTTCAAATAATACATGAAATAAAGAGTTGCTTAGAAAAGGAGAGAAGCAAATATTGCTGTTCATTTTAAGAGTCCTTTAATGGTAAAACACTGTGGAACATTTACGTGAATCTGAATGAATAACAAATGGAATTGTTCTGATCCAGGCTACTAAAAGGAAGGCTCAATGAATTATTTTAAAAAAGGTACAACTTTTTACAATGCAACAATTCTTAACTGGGTTGCAGTTTGCTGAACAATAAATAAAATAGTTTAAATTTAATTTTATGTTGGTATAATAACTAAAATTTTAACAACACTTGCAGTTATGATTACAAAGGAAGAGGAGCACATTAACCGCTGTCGAGATGATTGTGTAATTTTTCATCTGTAGGTTTTCTAAGCAGGAGGAATCTTTGAGTTTAGAAATTGTCTTTTTTTCCTAATTAAATGTTTTAATAGCACATAAGGCTTCATATTTATCATAGATTATATTGATGAGCACAGCTATGTTTCCTGGGTCATTTTTTTTTCTTTTTATCTAGCTCTTACATAATTCCTAGCAGTTTTGGAAAGGTCAAGGAAAATAGGTAAGGAAGAATTAACTCTCTCACTTTTCACATATACCCCTAGATTCATATGCTATAAGATACTTGTGAATGGTTGATGACACTTTAATGGGAGGTGTCAGGAGAAACTCATAATCACTGCTTCAGCCAAGATGAACTAATTTGTATGACTCAATGCACAGTGAAAATGTGGGTCCCTTGTACAAAATTTTTAAGATTTTCAAGAGGTTGACAACAGAGCATTAAATAAAGTTAGGGCCCTTTTGAGCCTCAGAGGTTTACTGTTCATGAAATTGGGGCTTTTGCATTTGTTTTTGCAGTCCTGATACTGGCCAGTGTCTCTTTCTTTCATGAATGGTTGCTGATGAAGTGCAGATGAGGAATATATTAGTTTCAGGAAAGGGCTCCAGGTGAACCCTAAAACACGGACTCTAACTTCAACCATAGAGAACACACTCAATGATCCTTGAGAACATCACAGACATTTCTCAGTAGCAGCAATGGTGACTGGATGTCTTTGGCTTTCTTTCTGGAAAATGAACGATAATTACAAAATTAATTATAAATTTATTTCAATTATAAAATTATAATAATTATAAAATTTCCATTTCCTCTTTATAAAATTTTTAGTGTGAAATAGCTGAAAATAATGACATTGTCCAGATTAAAGAAGACATTAATTTGAAAAAGTATGATGCAGATACTATTGCAGTTGGTCTCAATTTCTCTACACACTGGTGTTTCGCTGCTTTGAAAACTTTCTTTTTAATCTGGACCACATCGTCATATCACCTACAACCAAACTGACATTTTTTTCTTAAAATTTTCACATATATATGAATTTTGTTTCCTGCTCCTTCCCTCAAAAATCATGGAAAAATATTTGAGAACTGGGCCTCCAACCTGCTAAGTACTTTGTAAAAAGTATTTTGTAGGGTGCTGAAGCTCAAGTAGAAGCTGCAAAACGGTTGTCCCTGTTGCAGGAGAGTGATTCACTTTGAAAAACAGATGCTAGAACTATGGTCTTTTAGGCCTGATTTGGACTAGAGCTAGATATGAAAAGTTCAATCCAGGAGGTGGAGTAGGGAAGGAAGGTCTAAGAAAAGGGCAGTACTTATCAGAAGGAGGGCTGCATCGTGAATCACAAGTGATCCGTTTGTTCATGATAGGGTTCCTCCTCTTAGCATGGTAGGGTTCCTCCTCTTACTGGGAGAGAGTTTAGCCAAACGAAAGGGAATTCACAAGAACAAGGCAAGGTTAGCCCATGTTGAGGGGCATGGCTATGGCAGGGCTTCCTTCTCAGCAGGGGAACTGGACTGGAAGCACAATCAGAAGGAGTGCTATTGAGAAGGCAACGTGATGTCAAAAGTAGGGGCAAATAAAGGCTGAAGCAGGGGGCAGAATGAAAGTTTAGGGTACTAGGAGTAGTGACCCTCAGACAAGGAATGTTCACCCAACATTTACAGAGCACTAGTAGGCATTGTGTTATCAGGTGGGAAATATGCCATAGATATAGGATGCACATAGCCTTGCCTCTAGATGTTCTGGGTCTAATACGTAAAAGAGACAATTTCTTTATGCCAGAATAACAGCAGGCTTAGCAGTATACACAGAGTAAGTGTAGCAACATACAGGGGCACAACACAGCCTGGCACCTCAAGGGTGAAGTTTAAGACCTGCATCTTGAAGAATAAGCAGCAATGAAGCAGATGGAGATTGAATGGGAGGTCATTCTAGCTAGATGAGATAGTCTGAGCAATGCCAGAGGCATGAATCAGCGTGGCACGGCATGGAACTAAAGTTAACTCAATATTTGCTTTACGTTATCTTTCCAGGCAAAGAATGGTAGGAAATAAAAGTAGAGAGATTAACAGGCCAAGTCATGGAAGGACATAGATGTCATACTGCTAGGCTTTGACTCTTGACATTTGAAAGGTTTTTTTAAAGGAGGCTGGTAAGACAAAGTTGCCCTGTAGATTTAACCACAGGTAAAATGAAGAGAGATCTGAGTGGGGTCATCTGGAGGCAGAGAGACTAGCCAGGAGGCTATAGCAATAATCTGGTGAGAATAGATGATGGCCTGGACTAGGGGAGTAATGGTGGAATTGGAGAGGAAGGGGCTTATGTGGGAGGTATTTAGGAGGTAAACATATTAATTATTAACCAAGTTGGTTTGTGGTTTAATGACGAGCTTGAAGGCGAAGGAATAAATAACTTTATCTGAGTGGTACTGAGAAAGATAGCGCTAAATATACCCCTCAGGAAGTGTGTGAATTAATTTTAATGGCATGCAGCAAGTTACTCAGGATAGGCTGTTCTGTTGCGGTAAAAGCAACTACAAGTTTCAGTGGTTTCACAGAAAGTTTATTTCTCATTCATGGAGTGCACACCGCATGAGGATTGTGAGCGATCTCTGCCCCACAAAAGCACTCAGGGACCCAGACCGCCACAGATGTCACCATTTTTTACCTGCAGCAAGGAAGATGTCCCAGCACAGGGTGAGAAAAGCCTGGAGAGCTGTCCATGGTCATTTCCTACCTCAGTCAAGAAGTAATGTACATTTCTTCTACTCACATTTCTTTGGTCAGAACCAGCCACGTGTTTTCATCCAACTTATGATTTACACAGAAGCCTAAAACATGCAATCTTCAGTATGCCCAGAGGGAAAGGAGAACCAAATATTGATGACAACTAGTGAATTACATTGAAAGCATAATGTAAGCCTAACCTTTTATGGTTTAAAGTTGTGTAGCATAAGACGGGCTAAATTAGCCATAGGAAGATCTGCAGAACACTCACTTTGTGATAACTTACTCTGTGCTAAGCTTGCATAAATTAGAACAATCAGTTATTTGATCCTCAAAACCATCCAATCATACAGAAACTGTTAGAGACTTTTAGAACTCTAAACTTGGAAGAAAACTTTCTTTTTTTCTTTTTTTTTTTAATTAAACTTTAAGTTCTAGGGTACATGTGCACAACGTGCAGGTTTGTTACATATGTATACATGTGCCATGCTGGTGTGCTGCACCCAGTAACTTGTCATTTACATTAGGTGTATCTCCTAATGCTATCCCTCCCCCCTCCCCACACCCCATGACAGGCCCCAGTGTGTGATATTCCCCTTCCTGTGTCCAAGTGTTCTCATTGTTCAATTCCCACCTATGAGTGAGAACATGCGGTGTTTGGTTTTTTGTCCTTGCAATAGTTTGCTGAGAATGATGGTTTCCAGCTTCATTCATGTCCCTACAAAGGACATGAATTCACCCTTTTTTATGGCTGCACAGTATTCCTTGGTGTATATGTGCCACATTTTCTTAATCCAGTCTATCGTTGTTGGATATTTGGGTTGGTTCCAAGTCTTTGCTATTGTGAATAGTGCCTCAGTAAACATACATGTGCATGTGTCTTTATAGCAGCATGATTTATAATCCTTTGGGTATATACCCAGTAATGGGATGGCTGGGTCAAATGGTATTTCTAGTTCTAGATCCCTGAGGAATAGCCACAATGACTTCCACAATGGTTGAACTAGTTTACAGTCCCACCAACAGTGTAAAAGTGTTCCTATTTCTCCACATCCTCTCCAGCACCTGTTGTTTCCTGACTTTTTAATGATTGCCATTCTAACTGGTGGGAGATGGTATCTCATTGTGGTTTTGATTTGCATTTCTCTGATGGCCAGTGATGATGAGCATTTTTTCATGTGTCTGTAGGCTGTATAAATGTCTTCTTTTGAGAAGTGTCTGTTCATATCCTTTGCCCACTTTTCAATGGGGTTGTTTGTTTTTTTCTTGTAAATTTGTTTGAGTTCTTTGTGGATTCTGGATATTAGCCCTTTGTCAGATGAGTAGATTGCAAAAATTTTCTCCCATTTTGTAGGTTGCCTGTTCACTCTGATGGTAGTTTCTTTTGCTGTGCAGAAGCTCTTTAGTTTAATCAGATCCCATTTGTCAATTTTGGCTTTTGTTGCCATTGCTTTTGGTGTTTTAGACATGAAGTCCTTGCCCATGCCTATGTCCTGAATGGTAATGCCTAGGTTTTCTTCTAGGGTTTTTATGGTTTTAGGTCTAACATTTAAGTCTTTAATCCATCTTGAATTAATTTTTGTATAAGATGTAAAGAAGGGATCCAGTTTCAGCTTTCTGCATATGGCTAGCCAGTTTTCCCAGCACCGTTTATTAAATAGGAAATCCTTTCTCTATTGCTTGTTTTTCTCAGGGTTGTCAAAGATCAGATAGTTGTAGATGTGTGGTATTATTTCTGAGGGCTCTCTTTTGTTCCATTGGTCTATATCTCTGTTTTGGTACCAGTACCATGCTGTTTTGGTTACTGTAGCCTTGTAGTATAGTTTGAAGTCAGGTAGTGTGATGCCTCCAGTTTTGTTCTTTTGGCTTAGGATTGTCTTGGCGATGCGGGCTCTTTTTGGTTCCATATGAAATTTAAAGTAGTTTTTTCCAGTTCTGGAAGAAAGTCATTGATAGCTTGATGGGGATGACATTGAATCTGTAAATTACCTTGGGCACAATGGCCATTTTCATGATATTGATTCTTCCTATCCATGAGCATGGAATGTTGGAAGAAAACTTTCAGATGATCATTCAAGAATAAACCCTTTATTTTTTTAGATGAAGTGACATCAAGAGAGTGAAATGATGAGTCTAAGATAACAGAGAAAATGAGTTACAGAGTTTAGAATCAAACACACAATAAACTCTAAGTGTATTTTTCCTCCATCACATTAATTCTCTGTTTTGTGATTTGGATCCCAAAGATTACACAAAGGCTCTGTGACATTTCCATATAGCTGGGCAAAATTACAGTAAAGAAGAGCATAAAGTCATATTTAAATTACCATATTTTGTTCAATATTTGTATTATCTCTTGTGGTTTGCTCAAGACAACTCAGCTGGTTACGAAGCTTTTATGAATACCCCAATAATAATGCATTATTTGCATGCTTTATGGCTTGTGTTCTACCTGTACTAAAAACTTTATGGTTTGGTGGGGTTAGGAAAGGGGGCAGGTTTTCCCTTGTTAACCTTATAAATGCTTATTGACAAAGTCTTTGTCTTTATGATTTACAGTTTTATAATTTGGAGTCACATCAAATTCTGTCTAGCATATATGGTAAAAAGAATATACAGCAAACCTCTGGTCAGCTCTCTTGGTCTAGTGCATTATTCATTTAACCTAAGAATTGCCCTTGTGAGGCCCTTACTATTTTGCTTTAAAATTCACAGCAAAAATTGTAAAATAAAAATAAATTTTAATTATTGAAGGTCTAAAATGGTTAGCTGCATTATTAAACTTGCATTTTTGTTGACACATATAATAACTGATGAAAGTAGAGTTAATGACAAAGTTAGTTTACTTTCTGGTTGCAAAATTTAACAAGCATTATGTTAAAGTCTACAGCCAAGAATGAAATTTAATTTACCTATGATTTTTAAAATATATAAATAAAACCATAAAAGAGAGAGATGTTATGAAATTAGACAACAAAGGGCTTTTACAAATGACAAATAACATTTTTAGAAAAGTATGAGTGAAAATTAGATTATACTTCTCAAACATTGGTGCTTACCTCTAAGGAGTGTGCTGGAAATATTTAAAGCAAAAGGGTAAACTATCAAATAAGCACATTTAATCTTTCTGAAAAATCTATTACAAACAAATGTTTAAAAATTTAAAACATTTTTTATATTATGATAAGCTTGGATATATTATGGGGTAGAATGTAAAAGATGCAAAAGTTGCATTACTGTATATAATAAAGAAGGAATTACGGAAGCAGGCCACTTTAGTCTTCCCTGAGGATATACATTGGTTTCCTCTGCCAATAAAGTTATCATAGCAATAAACTCTGAGAAGCAGATGAACAGAGTTTGCATATTAGAGAAACAAAAATATATTATGCAGGGTTCTCCAGAGAAATAGAGCCAATAGGAGATATCTATATTTATTTACTTATTGAGATTGGCCTATGTGATTACGGAGGCTGAGAAGTCCCAAGATATACAGTTGGCAAGTCGGAGATCCAGGAGAACCAATGATATAGTTCCAGTCCAAGTCTGAGGGCCAGAGAAACAGGGGAGCTGATGGTGTAAGTTCCAGTCTGAGATCAAGTCCAAAAACAGGAGAAGACTGATGTCCCAGCTCAGAGACTGGCAGAGAGAATGAATTCTCCCTTATTCATCCTTTTGTTCTAGTCAGGTCTTCAACTGATTGGAAGAGGCCCATCTACATTTAGAAGGGCAATCTGCTTAACTCAGTTTACCCATTCAATTGTTAATCTCATTCAGAAGCACCCTCACAGTTACACCCAGAATAATGTTTGGCCAAATATCTGGACAACCCATGGTCCAGTGAAGTTGCCACATAAAATTAACCATCACAAAGTTGGTGATTTTATCTTGTCTTTAGACTTCAGAACAAATAACTCAAATGATATGTCAGCAGGTAAAGAGGAGAAAAGGTTAAGTATTATTATCCTTCTTTGAACATGAACTGGACAATAACATGGCTAAATGATGAGACGTTATGTGCAGTTACAAAGTTGGCAGAGCATCTAAGAACCTCCTATTTTTATATTAGAGGACAGAGGGTTGGCTGAGCCTTAGACCACAATGCTCTTAAGACACCTGTCACAATGATGATTTTAGTCCTGTCTACTCCTACAGAATCTATGACCTCCATTCGTCTTGGCATAGATTTAAATTGTATACTGAAACTGTGAAATAGAGAGACAGATTTAATAATCATTCCACTTAGTAAGTACAGCTGGGGCAGGTAATTAAACAGGTTTTCTCTTGCCAGGAGGCCTAAAGCAATGTAGCTAAGAGTCTCGGTCACACCACCGGACTGAGATGGAAAGGTAATATCAAACAGGCCTTCTCTATGCAGGCCCATGTCACATCACCATTCTTAGCAAACAGAAGTTATTAAAGGGGCCTAGTCAAGCCAGTCAAGCCACCAGAGGCCTGCCACATCTTCAGTCTCAGAAATATTGGAATTATAGGCTGAAAAATGAAAAGGGACTAAAATAATTGAAAAAATATTATCGTTATTTTTGAGGTGGTTGTCATCTAATAAAATATGCTCACTGTGAATCTTTGACATTGTAGTGATATGAATAACTATTCAAACATTGGGGAAATCATTTCTTAATTTTAAAAATATCTGATTTCTTTTTGCATTAAGGAAACACTGTATTTAATGGATGTGAGACATAGTAGCCTAATTGTGTGTAGGTAGAGTAGTCATAAAATACTCATAAAGAATATCAAAATTGACATTAGTAAAATAGTGCTTTGTTAGGAAAGGGTTTTCTTTTGCTTTGAGGATGGAAAGTCAAAATTTAATTAAAAATACATTAAATATATCTTCAATTTTGTTAACCATTTTCATCTATTTATTGTTCCAGTTATATATTGCTATATAAAAACTACTTCATAACTTTGTGTGTTAAAATAGCAAACATTTTATTATACCTCAGAATTTTGGTGTTTAGAAATTTGGGCAGTGCTCAGTTGGGTGATCATATGCTCTACAGTGCACTGACCTAGGTCACTTGGTGGTAATCAACTGATAACCGGACTGGTCTAGAGAGTCCAAGACACTTGGTGCTTTGGTGGGACAAGTGGAAGTTTGAGCACAACTGGGCCTTTTTCCTTCTCCATAGGATCTCAGGGCCTCTTTCTTTGATATCTCCAGCTGAGTCATCAGATGGCTCTTTCCTAGGCAGCCCCAGGTTTCAAAAAGAAGACACAGGAAGTGGAGGCTGCCAGTCGCTTAATGCCTGGGCCCATAAACTAGCACAAAATCACTTCTGCCATATTCTCTTGATCAAGCATTCCCAGAGGTTTCTCAGATTCAAGGGAAGGGGACAAAGACCCTATTTCTTAATGGGAGAAATCCCAAAGTATTTGTGACAACTTCTAATCTGGCAAGTATATACAGTCTCCTACTTACAATGGTTCAACTTATGATTTTTAGACTTTATGATGTTGTGAAAGCAATATGCATTCAGTGGAAACCATATTTGAATTTTGATTTTTTTTTCTCTGGCTAGTGATATGTGGTATGACACTTTAAAATGATATAGTCAACACTTTCTTATAAAATAGGCTTTGTATTAAATGATTTTTGCCCAACTATAGGCTAATGTAAGTGTTCTGACTGCATTTAAAGTAAGTTGGCTAAGCTATGATGTTTGGTAGGTTTAGATGTATCAAATGCATTTTTGACTTACAATGTTTTCAATTTACCACGTTTGTGAAAACGTAACCCCATTGTTAAGTTGAGGAGCATCTGTATTTTTCTATGAATATGATAGATATTAGATAGTAAAACTTGGCTTATGCCCCAAGGGAAAAAACACACAATTTTATTCAGAAAATATTAAAAAGAAACCTGTATACCATTAAAAAACTTTTCTGATTTGTTTGGTATATTTCACGACTTGTTGTTTAAAAGAAAGATTCTTTAAACGAGAGTCTGAACTACAAAATTGTCTAAAGATTATCATACATACATCATACATTAATGAAACATTGTATGAATTCCTACTATGTGCTAGGCCATAAACACAGCGACTAACTTATGCTTTAGTGGGGAAGATGAACCTATAATTAAACAGATACAATTCTTATTGGTGTGCTATAACAGAGGTATGGGAAAAAGGTTGAGGAGAGAACTCACAGGTTACCATATAGGATAAGGGTACAGAGAAAACATTTTTTTACATTTATGAAGTATTCCACGTAGTTTCAAAACGGAGTTATTTATTCAATCCTCAGAACACACCTTCTAAGTTTGGTACTTATATAGCCTTCATAGAGTTGAAGAAATTGGGAGCTAATGTGACTCATCCTAGTTCACTTTGCTGCTATATGGTGGAGGCAAATTTGGGCCCAGTGACTCCAGAGATACCCTTTTATATTAGGATGACAGCCACATAGATCTCCTTCTTTCTCACCTATACTAAAAGATAAAATTCGGTCATAGGTTGAGGGACATCTGATAGCTTGTACATTCTTGTTTGTAAGTTTTCAGTACAGAAGAACTTAGCCAAAATATCTAAGAACTGGTCCCTATAGACAGCCTAAAGGTTACCACCATGGCCATTCATTCAGGCTTTTGTTCCTTTAGTATAATAGTAAATATTTAAGGCAGGCAGCTGTGCTACAGCTTGGGGCAGCAGTGGTGTGTGTGGAGCTGCTGGTACTAGCTGGGGAAAGCAGATTGCTAGATATTCTTGAACTTTTCAAGCTAGTTGTCAAATGGTTAGTAGCTTAAAATTGTAGTTGTATTTATATGACAAAAATCCACAACTGCTACAATTCAGGCTTTCTGTTGTTAATGGAAACTCTCTTGAGGAAGGAGAAGTTGTGCAGGGTGCTAGGTACAAGAATAAAGTTATTTCAGATAAAGGAACAGCAGGCATACTTTGGTTGACAGGAACCCAGGGGATGCTTAAGGAGAAGGATGAATAGACCAAGAGACTCCCGCACAGAATGTGAATAGAAAAGTAGAAGGAGGTGGAGCTGCAAAAACAATCTCTTCAGTCCCATTAAGTCTTGAGAGAAATTTTGTTTATATATGACATTTTAATAAATCTTTGCCAGTTTCAAAATACAAACTAATTTATGTATCCCCCTTAACAACAGGTATTGTTGTTAAGTTTTACAGTAAGTAAAATGAATTGAGATTCAAAGAATGTAAATGCCTTCTTGTCCAGGCTTTCCTCTGTTAGGGGTCTAAATCAGGATTAGAACAAGCCCCTTTCACCTCTAATTCCAGCGCTCTCTATTATACGTCTATATTCCTAAATTCCAAGGTAGAGATTTTGGGCTTTGTTTTCATTTGGAGATGAGAAGTCATCGCCAAAAAAGCAGGAAGACAGAGGAAGAAAGAGCAGGAAGACAGAAGGATAGTCTGTAGGTTTAGGAAGGAAACTCTAGTGTGCCTGAAACTTTTTTGTACCTGTGTGCCTTCCTCCACCCTTGAATGATAACATTAATATTTTCAATATAAAATTAAAATCAATTTTAAATGTCATAAAGTTAGCAAACACGGGCCGGGTGTGGTGGCTCACGCCTGTAATCCCAGCTAACATGGTGAAACCCCGTCTCTACTAAAAATACAAAAAATTAGCCAGGCGTGGTGGAGGGCGCCTGTAGTCTCAGCTACTCGGGAGGCTGAGGAGGGAGAATGGTGTGAACCCAGGAGGCGGAGCTTACAGTAAGCCGAGATCACCCCACTGCACTCCAGCCTGGGCGACAGAGCGACTCCGTCTCAAAAACAAACAAAACAAAACCAAACCAAAACAAAACAAACACAAAAACAAAAAAACTAGCAAACACATTTACATGTTTGCAAATACCGATGATGCACAAAGCCATGATATTTGGCTCTCACATGGATTCCCAGGGAGAATCTACTGATGATCCACCTCTGTGAGCTGACGTACGCACCCAATTCTGCAAGTGCTGATCTAGACGATACATCTTGTCCTAATTTCAACAGGGTGTCAAAACTAAAAATATTCTTCATATATCAGACACATAAGTTTCAACAAATGCATATGAATAGCGTGGTGACATTTCAATCATGGTCCACCCATCTGGGAAGGCATCAAATCTAAAGAAAGTTACTTGGCCCACTCTCCTCCACGGCTCCACTTTCAGCAGAGAGGGAATGGCAGGAGGCTGTTTATGGTGAGGGGGCCTGGAGTGGGGGGGTGGGCTTGGGTGGAGCTTTTCAATAAGTTCCCATAATTAAATGTTTTTATTTGCTTGCTTTTTGGCGGGGGAAGGGATGAGAGGACTATCTTTGGTGACTTGAAGAAATAGTATCGTATTTTTGACATTAAAACATAAATATGATGTATTAATGTTTTCTTTCTTTTACTAAGTGTTTGAAAACATTTGGATAAATCCTTTTGATCAATAGAAACTCAAATTGATGGCTTATGATAAATATAAAATATTTGGGCAGCTGCGTGATGAGATAGCTACAATTTAAGCTAGAGTGAGAACAATGCAGAAATAAACACAATTGGAACTGTTGACTGAATACTTAAAAATAGAATGAAAGCACAACTCTGCTACACAGATTTAATAAGAAGCTAAGTTTGAGAGATATTCACAGTATATTAGGCACTTAAATTTGTATTTTATAAAATGTACATATTTTACTAGATTATATTTTTACATGACTAAAACCTTATACACTATATGAAATGTAAGTTATAGAGGAAAATGTCTTTCTCTTCCCCTGTTCCCCATCCACTCATATCTCACCTCAGCCTCACACATTATTATTATTATTAGTTTCTTTTTTTCTTTTCTTTCCTTTTGTTTTTTTGAGATGAGATCTTACTTTGTCACTCAGGATGGAGTGCAGTGGTGTAATCACGGCTCACTGTGGCCTCCACCTCCTGAGTTCAAGTGATCCACCTATCCCGGCCTCCTGAGTAGCTGGGAGTACAGGTATATTTCACTACATCCACTAATTTTTGTGTTATTATTTTTTTGTGTGTAGAGACAGGGTCTCACTACATTGCACAGTCTAGATTCATATGCTTTTAATAATCACTGGTGATGATTTATGCTATTTATATTAATATATTTCCTAACATTGAATCACACATTTTTGTAATAAAACAGTCATCATAGTAAGACTATCTTTTAGTTTAGTTTTGCTGTATTTAAAAAAATATTTATTTAGGAGTTTTCCATCAATTTTTAAAATGAGATTGTTCTATAGTTTGTTTTCTAAGTATAATCTTTACCAGGACTCAGTATCAATGCCATATTCATTTTATAAACTTGTTTTCTTTTTTATGCCTGAGGCAGTTTAATAGCATTTCAATGGTCCATTTGTTAAATATTTTTGGAATTTTCCTGTGAAGCTTTTTTATCCTAGTGCTGTTTGGAAGGAGTAATTTTTGCCTTGTCTGTTTTATAGGAATTAACCTTTTCTAATTGTCTCTTTTTCAGCACCAGTTGTGGCAAATTATTTTTCTTAGAAAAACGATTTGTTATTCAGATTTCAAGTTTATTTTTATAGTATTAATATTAATATAGCACTTATTAATAATTTTCTAGTTCTGTTACCTTTCCTACATTATCACTTCTTATTGTATACTGTCTTCAGATTTTGACTAGCTTAACGGCTGATTTATATGTTTTATTGCTTATTTTTTTATTAAAAGAAGCAATTTTTAATTATTTTTGCTATTTACATATTTTAACCTCATTAAATTCTACTTCTATTTTTATTAATTCTTATGTTTGCTTTCCATTTTTTTTGGTACTACTAATTGTTTGAATCAGTTAATCCATTCTTTCTTTTTTTTATTTTATTATTATTATACTTTAAGTTTTAGGGTACATGTGCTTTCTTTTTGTTTTTTTTTTGTTTTGTTTTTTTGAGACAGAGTTTCGCTCTTGTGGTCCAGGCTGGAGGGCAATGGTGTGATCTTGGCTCACTGCAACATCTGCCACCCGGGTTCAAGTGATTCTCCTGCCTCAGCCTCCTGAGTAGCTGGATTACAGTCACCTGCCACCACACCCAGTTAATTTTTTAGTAGAGACGGTGTTTCACCATGTTGGCCTGGCTGGTCTTGATCTCCTGACCTCGTGATCCGCCCGCCTTGGCCTCCCAAAGTGCTGGGATTACAGGTATGAGCCACAGTGCCCAGCCCTCCTTTTGTTCTTTTTGATGCATACAAGTATTTCAGGCTGTACATTTACTCTGAACACTACTTATCTTAAGCGTACATGTTCAAATACAGAGTATTTTTTAAAATCTTTGTTTCTTTAGAAGTTTTACAATGTTGATTAGTGTTTCACTCGACAACTTTTTCTATATTGAGATAGATATATTGATTTATTTTGTTAATTTCCAATGGTTATTTCTTTGTTATCAGAATATATTGTCTCTACCACCCAACATTTTAGTCTAAATTCCCTCATCATTTTGTCGACTGAATTTTGTAGCTTAAAGAGGAGCTCGTGTGAACACTATATTTTGAATCTGTGCATGTTTAAAAATTTATGTGTTAAATTTCCCTGACATTTGCACTTACCATAAAATTTGTAGATGGCTTTTCTTTTTAAAAATTCTATTATTCATTATATTTTTATTATCTTATAAGTATTGTTCTACCACATTCTGGCATTAAATGTTGCTGGGTAGATATCCAAGACAGCCTTGTTTTTCCCCCTTATAAATATCTTGTTATGTTTCCCTGACTGTTTTATAATTAAACTCTACTGACTTTCCAAACATATGTCTGGCTATTTAGTATGGTGTTCAGTTTATTTTGACATATACTGTATTCTTTTAATATGTAAATACCATTACATGGCATTACCATTTACTACTTGATACTTGGGAAAATCACTTAACTTCTCTGCATTTCAGTCTTCTCATCTGTATAAAACAATTGGATTTGCCTTAGAGAGTTGTTATGAGATGGAGTGAGTATCTTTAAAATGCTTAGAACTGTGCTTGGTATATAGTAAATGGCACTGCTCATTTACTAAATTAATAAATGAACACAAATGAACTACCTCCTTTTAGAAAACGTGTTTTAGATTTATGGCTTTAAATGTTATTTCAGTTTACTTCTTAGATAATTTCTTTTTTTTTCTTTTTCTTTCTTTTTTTTTTTTTTTTTTTTTTTTTGAGACAAGTTGTCCCACTGTCACCCAGGCTGGAGTGCTGTGGCCTGATCATGGCTCACTGCAGTCTTGAGGTGCTCAGGTGATTCTCTAGCCTCAGCCTGCCGCAGGTGCATGCCACCATGCCCAGCTAATTTTTTTGTAGAGACAGAGTCTTGCCATATTGCCTAGGCTGGTCTCGAACTCCTGAGCTCAAGTGATTTGCCTGCCATGGCCTCCCAAAATGCTGGAATTTCAGGAGAATTTCAATTATGGGCATGTTAGATACCCTGTTTGTATTCTAAATGTATCATTTTCTTGCCAATTCTTAAACAAAAAAGCATTATAGGGGTATATTTTCTATGTAAGTGCACAGTTTTGAGTTTCGGTAAATAACACAGTTGTGTCATGACCATTACAGTAAAATTGCAGAACATTTCCATGACCTCTAAAAGCTGCCTCACATTGTTTTGCTGCCCATTCCTGCCCCATCCTTAGACTCAGGCAACCTCTACTCTATTTTGTTCTTACTATTGTTTTACGTTTTCTACAATTTCATATAAATTAAGTAATACAGTATAGAGGCTTCATATCTAGCTTCCTCCACCTGAATTGTGTGTATAGTTTTTCACTTTTGTTGTTGAGTGGTACTTCACTCTATGGATAGATCACATTTTGTTTATTCTAATCCGTTTAAACAGTTTATTTCCATTACTCTTTGCTTGCTTTACTCATTTTTATCTCATATACTTTTGATTGGGTTTTCTGAGGTGTCTCTTTCCCTTTCTGCTTTTCAAATTTCATCTTTCTCTGTGTGATGTTTATTTTCTTCCTACTTATTCCCATCTTCCCCCAGCTCTTTCTGCATTTCCCCTCTTGTCTTCCAATTTCTTCCCTGAGTTTTTACAGTTGTCCTTTGTGAATATCCTTCAGAGACTTGATGGTTTAATTCAATTTTCTTAATTTTTTAGTGATACGCTTGACTATGCTCTTTATCTATTCTGTGGAAACATTTCCTGAAAAGTGTAAACTCATTCATTCATTTAATCATTTATTCACTTAAGAAATAGATTTTGACTGTCTACACTGTAGCAGTCACTAAGGATACAGCAGTGAATAAAACAGAATAAAAAGTTGTGAAAATACATAAAATGTTAGATTGTAAAGAGTGCTATATAAGGAAATTCAATTCAGATAAGAGGAAGAAGAAATGTTGGCATGTTGTTCAAAATTGTAAATAGTGTGACCTGTGATGATCACTCTCAGGAGGTGATATCTCAACTTGAAGAAGCTAAGAGAGTGAGCCATTATTACTATCTGTGAAAGAATATTCCACACAGAGGGAAGAGCAAGGAAAAAGACTGTGAGGGATGATTGTGCTTGGAATGTTCTTAGAAAGAAAGGAGAGGGGACAGACAGGTTTGGGAGAAAGAAGCAATAGGATAATGAGATCACGTAGGGCCCAGTAGACCTTTACAAAGCTTAGATTTGCTTGGGTGAGATGGAGAGAGAGTCCTGTATGGAATACAAAATGAAAAATCTGAGTATTTTTCATCTTTTGGTAAATGTGGTAAACTTTACCCTATTTTTTATAGTGTTTATATATTGATGCTGCACCATATTCTTTTTTATTATGTATCACGGAAAAAGTTGGATTTTTCTAAACTAGCTATTTGCAGATGATTTCTATGAAATGGGGGAGTGAGAATGTCTTAGATAGCATTCCAGACTTCACAACATAAAAGCTCTCCTCCTGCTGCCACAGAGACAGACTACTTCCTACAAATGTGGCTCCTTTGTGAGTCTTTGTGTAGTTGCACAATATACCACATCTTCTATTTCTCTTGGTCAAGCCTGGTCCAGAGGTTGTATTCTCTCCTGTTCAAGGGATGTAGCATGTGCATTTTTGAGAGAGCCTCTCACCTTTGTTGATGCTGTTGAGAACAGCTCCTTCTGGGCCTCCTTGGATTCTCTGCTTTGTTATTTTTATTTCTTCCCCCAATGGCTTCTGTCCAGCTCAGCTCCTTTGGACAGCCCTCACATGCATGATGAAGCCAGCTTATTACATCTGCCTCCCAGTTTCACTAAAAATTGAGGCTACAGGTGTTCCTTTTTCTTGTTGTTTTGGTGTGATTTTCAGGAAGAGAAGGAGAGATACTGATTTAGTGTGATAATTTTATACATTGACTTACGTAGGGGCCAAAGTGGAAAGCTCCCCTTGGCTCCCTGAAGGTTCACTGAAAAATTAACTAACTCGCAAAAGGCAGAGTAATTGGAGAAAAGGCATACAAATGTATTTAATATGTATGTAAAGGAGCCCTCAGAATAAAGACTCAAAGACAGAAGGGAAATTGTCCATTTTTTTGGTTACGTTCCACCAAGTATAGGCATCTGTATAGAAGTGCTTAGATAAAAAGTGTATGGTCTAAGCTAATAGACTGAGTGGGGAAACCCCACACTCCCCAACACAGTGGGGTCATCCCAGCCCCCACTAGACAGGTTTTCCTGTCTAGATTTTTCTTGGCATCTCTGAGCATGTAGTCCTTCCTTCTGAGTATGTTGCAGGGCCCTCTTTAGAATGGGAGTCTTATGATCTTCAGTCAAACAAGGCAAGCCAGATAATTTATTTATGGGCAGTTTTGACACAGAAAGGGAGAGGGAAAGTTAGAGTAATATTTGTAGGTTTCTATGGCTCGCCTTGGAGAAGAAGATTGTAGTTTCTGTGCCTAGGCTTTGGGGAAGACTGGGACTGAGAGACAGGAGGGCAGAAGGTCAGAGAAGTACTTTTACTTGTGAGGTCTTCACTTTGGGATATTTTTTTCTCAGCCCCAGCACTTGGTTAGGCCATGGTGCTCAGTTGTTTGGTCAAACACCAGTCTGCAGACATTGCTGTGAAAGTATTTTTAGATGTGGTTAACAGTTAAATAAGTAGACTTTGAATAAAGTAGATTAGCCTCCATAATGTGAGTGGGCCTTATCCAATCCGTTGAAGGCCTTAAGAGAAAAGACTGAGTCCTCTTGAAGAGGAAGTGATTCTGCCTCCTGATTATCTTTGGACTCAGAATTTGCCACATCAACTCCCAGAATTTCCAGACTGCTGGACTGCCTTGCTGGTTTCAAATTTGCCGGCCCACAAAATCGTTTGAGACAGTTTTTAAAAATAGATCTCTCTCTATGTACAGACATCCTATTTGTTCTGTTTCTCTGGAAAACACTGACTCATGTAGGTAGCCATGTTTGTAATGAAAATTCAATAAGTAATTTGGTGCAAATATTGGGAAAATTTTGTAGAGAGACTTAGTTTAATAACCTTTGGTATTTATTCAGCATTTATATAAGTTTAAGGTTTTCAAAAATATATTTACCGTCACATATGTAATTCCAGAGAACTTCTTTGAGAACAGTAGTTTAACATGTAGGTAAATTCTGTATTACTTCTACTCTTACTGTATACAGTGCTTGGAAATTGTGATATTAAAAGCAGAGAGGTTAAGGTGTTATCATTTGGAAAGACTGTGTTTGTCAGACGTCAATGATTCAGTCCATAGATTACAGCTTGAAGTTGGAATACATTTTATCTTTGATTGGAGATAGGAACAATCTAAATCTCTTTCCTACCCATAAGCATACCTATTATTTTGTAAGACATCCTTCAAGTACAACATACATTTGTAACCAAAAGCGTATTGAAGGAAACTAAAAATGTTTCACCCCAAAATATACTTCCTTGACATATTTTGAGATGGCTGTTCAGAGGGCCTGCAGACAGAAGTAGCCCCACAAAGCTGTCTTTTGGAGACGAGATTTGTAGAGGGAATAAAGTGAAGTAAACAACAGATGCAAACAGACTTTTCTCTGAAGCTTTTCCTTGTCCAGATCAAGAAAGATTAGTTGTGTGCCTGACACTTCGAAAGTTCTGACAAACAGATCCTACAAGGGCTGATACCTGTGAGGCTTCATCTTCATAACAGACCACCTTTTTCTCCAGCCTTTCCTCTTCTGTCCCCATCGTAATATGGTTGGCCACCCTCAGAGCTCCTGTTATTCCTGTAACCTCAAGATGGTATAAAATTATTAACCATCTTGACTTTCTTTGAGTTTTTCATATTTTGTATGACTCCTGTGCCCATATGCATGATAATAAATTTGTATGCTCTTTTTCCTATTAATCTGTCTATTATCAGTGAGCTTTATGGACTCAGCTTATAAAACCTTCACAATTTGGGAAAAATTTAAACTTCCCTAGTATCAAAGTTATATAATTAAAAATAGTAACATTCAATATGAGACCTATATGGTAATCTTATAAATGTCTAGATCAGTATTTCAAAATATTTTTTAGACATTTCTGTCAGGGTCAAGAGAGAAGATTGGATACCTTAAACTTAAGTCTAGACTCAGAAAAGTCTAACAGTCATAGGAAAAAATATCTAACATTTAATGATTAAAAATATACTGAGAGTAAACATTTTTCTTGTGATTGATATAATGAGAGTAAACTTTTTTCTTGTTATTGTTTTATGTGATTTTACTTTCATGTTATGCTTAAAGGCTATAATAGCATATGAAATAAATACAACAACAATAGACAGCAGCTTTTGAACATATAGCTTAAATAACTATAACCCCACTGTCTTACTCTTTGAAGGAAAAAAATTTCTTACATGTTTCCATAGAGCACATTGCTTTGAGAAGTTTCATTTTCATGAATCTGTGCTAAGTTTTTAAACTATTACTTATGCCCAAGTCATTTGCGTAAGTTCTAGATTGCTTCACATCTTCATTATAATTATTCACAAAATTCTTGATAACCATAAAGAGTGCACATGATCCTCTAGCTGGTTAAGACATTTAAACACATATCTTGAAATGACCTGAGGTTTCTTAAAATGAACATTATATGAGTGTGAAAGATGATTTGATGTAGGTTCTTACTCTACAGGAGTTGTGAAACCTGCAGAACCAAATGTGCTTACCACATAGGCAGCATGCTATGGATTATGGTGGCAGTTCCCAACCTTTTTGGCACTAGGGACCAATTTCGTGGAAGACAATTTTTCCATGGACGGAGGGGGTGTAGGGAAGCATTATATTCTCATAAGGAGCATGCAGCCTAGATCCCTCACATGTGCAATTCACAATAGGGTTTGTGTTCGCTCCTGTGAGAATCTAATGCTGCTGCTGGTCTGACAGGAGGTGGAGCTCAGGTGGTAATGCTTGCTCACCTGCCACTCACCTCCTGCTATGCAGCCTGGTTCCTAACAGGCCACAGACCAGTAGCGTGGGGACTGGGGACCCCTGGATTATGGTTCACTCATGCAAAAAGAGCATTTTGTACAGGGATAAAATAGAAAAAAAAAAACAAGGAAATAAGCATAAATTACCCTATCAGTGATTAGATAAAACATTCAGAATATGAGCCAAAGATTTAAAACATGCTGGAACAACTTTAAAAGAGATCCTTGTCATATGGGTGATATTTTGCTAAGATTTTTCTAGTCTTTTATTTTGTTCTCAAACTCATACCACATAAATTCCTTGGACAATATAACTCTATAAAAGTCCTTAAATAAATTATAAGAGACACTCCATTACACAAAAACAGAAACAGAATCCTTAAGAGGTTCCTTCCATTCAGATACATGAGCCTGAAAGTTTGTCAATATTTAAGTATGCTGTAAAGAACATATAGCAGGTTTGAATATCAATTTCTGACTCATTTAAGTACATAGCCAACAAAATATTTCATTATTGTTTGATTTGCTCTGGACCATATTTTATGTGTCCTGGTTTGCTCTTATTCCAAGATGTCTTACTCAAATAACTATTCTTGCTTCAGAGAAGATAGTGCTGGTTATACAAAGATGTTTATGTTGACTTGCGCCAGGGGCTCTCAAACCTGGTAGTATATCAGAATTTACTAGGAAACATTTTAGCCAGAAGAAGACTCCAATCAAGGAGATTCTCATTTATTAGTAGAGTGGGCATGCATTTGAAAGTGTGTATAGTTAGTTGTAAGTATAACCATAGGTTTATACTTATCTTAAAGTTTAGTCTTTAACTATCAATTCTATTAATCACTTCCAATGGCAAGAGAATAATCTATAAAACACTGATTGCTTATTTTATTGCTTAATGCCGGGAATGATTTGACATCATGGTGTCCATTCTGAGTTTCTCTGAGTTGTCTTCTCCTATTTAGTCTTCATTTCTTCTCCTGTTCAGCATCACCATACTCCCTGTCCTTAATAATAAACAGCTACCTACCAAGCCTCCTATCTCTGGCATCTCTCTCCTCCTCAGCAGCAGCTCAGCATGTTTACTGCTTAATCACTTCATGCCCAAGAACACGTGGGCTGTACTGAATGAGGCTTGTAATCAAATGATAGAGCTCTACTTGATTATCATTCACAACAGTAGCCCAATACATGATTTTTCTAATTATCTCCCCTATGGTGGACATTAGCTCCTGTTTGGCTTTCAATTATACCATCTCCACATCTTAGTCCCCCAGCATTCCTAAGGGATATACTATCAGAATAACCGAGGTAGAGAAGTTAGTCAAAGTTCCAGAAAAGCAACCCCCTTTGATGCCTTCCTTTTCTCTTCATGGTAAGTTTGACAATTGTTAGGAGAAGAGTTGGAGCAACAGATGAAGCAAGTATATTACCAGTTCACTTAAAACTAATTTTCAAAAATTTTCCCAGAAAATAACAAAAAGTAAATGTCATATTAATTTCCTTATATATTTCTCAAATATGTGTCATTTCTTTTAATTAGAGGAATGTTCTAAATGAGCTTATTTTCTGCCATCATTAAAATTATGTCTGTTTTAAAAAATTATTTGTTTAAGTGTATTAGGTAGATAATTTCTTAGGATTGAAATCAGACTGGATTATAATAATATTATATTTAAAATGAGATTATTGAAGTTCTTTAAGGAATTTTAAAAATGTTAGTCAATGTGTATTTTGTATTGTTAGTGATAATAGCATAGTTCTATTTTTACTATTATTTCATAATTTTCCTGATAAATTTATAAAGGAGAGATTAATTTCCTGAAAAATGTTGAATTTGGCAAAATATTAATATTCTTCTTATGCTGTCATGTCCCAAAAGGAGATACTATGAAGCCATTTTATTTGAATGTCAAGTTTTATTGATGATCTAAGTCAGAATCATTTATATTTTGCAGTTTCTTTGCACATGTCATTAATAGAAAGCTGCTTTCTTGCTTGCATGAATGTTTGATTCCTTTTTTAGTTAAATAGTGTTCCAAATGCAAAATCTAATGCTTAGGGTAATCATGTGAATTTATGACCATTGCTAGGATGCTGGGCTTTTAGAAATGAAATTAAATACATCATATTTCTTCATAAATGTAGGTTTTACAGCTGAGATAGATCTAATATTGATAATCTCTTTATTTAACAGTTTCAAAATGCCATATGTGACTGAAAGCAACAGAATGAAAATAACTGTGTTTATAGCAAATAGAACAGGAAATGAAAGCAAGATATGCAGAAAGCTTCTCACCGAAGTGAGCATCGTATTAGTGCTGTAGTGCAGCAGCATTAATGGGAGCAATCAGCAGGTTGAAGGAAGGGATTCGAGTTCACTCAGATGTAGGATGAGAAAATTAAAGTGAGGAAAACATGACGGCTATTTTCAGATATGTAGAATCTCCTAGAAAGGATAATTTGAAGACGAAAATAAAACTAACTTAAAATTGCAGAAAATACCTGTTGATGTATTTGAACAATTTTGTTTGGAACAAAGTGCACCTACTAGGTAATATTTTCCCAGAAGCTGCCATTGTCAGATCTATATTACTGCAAAAACAATGGCTCACACGACAGCATAATGCCAACTTAAGAGGCCTTATTCATTCTAAAATGGATTCTGACTTTGTCTTTTTCTTAGTCTGTATTCATTCATTTCCCCACATAATCTTTGCAAGTGAAATTAGTCAAAGAAGAAGTGCTATGGACTGAATTATATTTTCCCAGAATTTACATGTTGAAGACATAACTCCTAATGTGACTATAGTTTGATTAAAGCTTTTAGGAGATAATTAATTTTAAATGAGGTCATCAGAGAAGGGTCCTAATCACATAGGATTGGTGGCCTTGTAAGAAGAGAAAGAGTCAGTGATCTCTCTCTCAGCCATGTGAGGACACAGAAAGAAGGTGGCTCTCTCCAAGCCAGTAAGTAAAGCTTCACCAGAAACTGACCATGTTGGCACTCTAATCTTGGGCTTTCCAGCCTCTAGAGCTGTGTGAGAAAATAAGTTTCTGTTATTTAAGCCACTTGGTCAATGGTATTTTATTATGGCATCTGGAGCAGACTAAGACAGAAAGCATGCTCATTCCAAACATATACCAATGCTCAGATGACAGAACAATTATTTACCATTTTGTTTAGTTTCTTCACAATTTCTACTATACTTGAATGTTTTAGCAGCCATGGTGGTGACAGATCTACACAGAGGTTTTTAAAGACTGTATTTAGTCTACATTTGCTCACCATCCTGCACCAATTTGTCAAAGTTCTTAGGACCTAACGGAGGGATACTGTAGTTGAAAACAAACGAGCAAATACAAAAGCCCTATTTGAAATCTCAACAATCTAAATTAGAGTCAAATCACTTAAGAAAAGATTAGGTACAAAATATACAGATACCAGAACATTTAAGGAAATATTAGGCATAAAACATACAGATGCAAGAAGTCTTTTGAATTTTATTGTAAACAATTTAAATTCTGTGGTTATCCAAACTATAACTCATGTCTTGGGATGTCTGTTTTACTGTGGTTGAGATCTGAATGAGACCCAAATACATACATATATTTCCAGAAATAAAGGCAGGGATTTTTTTCAATTAGAATTTAGGAAATGAAACTATTAGTTACCAAATTTATCTAGATATATCTGAAGGCAAGTAGATGACTCAGGACAGTTAGAATCAAGTCCAGATTTTTAATCTGCAGGGTGATTTCTGGAGTTAACATAAAATTAACAATAAAACCAATTATTACTATTTTAAGCTATTTTAGATACCACTGCAAATGAACAGAGAATATGTATGTAAACTATATGATATCAAAGGAACCACGTTCTTCAATCAAGACATAATAAAAACATGTTAAAATGAAATCAAAACCATTTTAAGTTTCATTACATGTTTATTTCCCATGTTTACACATATATTCATTATACATTTTATGTACCTATTATGATGTGCCAGTCACCTTGTTAGGCTTTGGGTATAAAAAGAATACAAAGATGAAATCCCTACCTTTAAGGCTTTCTATACTTAAAAAATGACCCATAGCTCTGAGATTTAGTAAATCAGAAATTTGGACTTAAGAAAGCCATGAAGGCTAGGCATGGTGGCTCACACATGTAATCTTAGCACTTTGGGAGTCCAAGACAGGATGATTGCCTGAGGCCAGGAGTTTGAGACCAGTCTGGGCAACATACTGAGACCCTGTCTTTACAAATAGTTAAAAAGAAATTAGCCAGGTGTGGTGGCATGCACCTATGGTCATAGCTACTTGGAAGGATCAGGCAGGAGGATCACTTTAAGCCAGGAGTTTGAGGCTGCAGTGAGCTATGATTATACCACTGCACTCCAACCTGGGTGATAGAGCAAGACCCAGCCCCTAAAACAATTCTTTTAAAAAGAGAAAGCCATCAGAATATTGCTATGAAATGAATTCATTTGTAGCTCGCACAATTAAGTTGTTTAAACTTCGTCTGTCACAAAAATCAAAATTAGATACTTCATTTAACTGAAAAAATGTAACACATGATAATCAGTTACAAACTCAAACAAACTTAAACTGTCTCATGAAGAATTTTCCTCTTAAGAATCCCAGTGTGATGGTTAATACTGAGTGTCAATTTGATTGGATTGAAGGATACAAAATATTGATCCTGAGTGTGTCTGTGAGGGTGTTGCCAAAAGAGATTAACATTTGAGTCAGTGGGCTGGGGAAGGCAGATCCACCCTTAACCTGGTGGGCACAATCTATTCAGCTGCCAGCGAATATAAAGCAGGCAGAAAAACGTGAAAAGGAGAGACTGGCCTAGCCTCCCAGCCTACATCTTTCTCCCATGCTGGATGCTTCCTGCCCTCGAACTTCAGACTCCAAGTTCTTAAGTTTTGGAACTTGAACTGGCTCTCCTTGCTCCTCAGCTTGCAGACAGCCTATTGTGGGACCTTATGATCATGTAAGTTAACACTTAATAAATTCCTCTTTATATATATTAGTTCTGTCCCTTTAGAGAACCCTGACTAATACAGATTTTGGTACCAGGAGTGGTTCTAGAGGAACAGAATATTCATTGGTTTTTGGGTTTCTGGGGTTGGCTCCTTAATGTGATTAGACATAAAATGCTAAGGACTCTACTTCTAATAGTATGGAGAACATCCTTGGAGTGAACTGTTTAGAGAGTTATGCACAACAAGTGCATTTGACACTCTTGATTCATTGCTTGTGAGAGGCAAGTAGTTTAGTGACTCTATACATAATACATTTGACCATATGTGGAGAACCAAAGAACATAAGCTGGTTAGTTGCTCCTAAGTTCAGTGGACAAAGTGATACAGTAAAATGATGAACTCAGGGATTCTGTCTCCTGGCTTCAGAAGTAGATACTGAGCCTTACATCTGCCAAGATTGCCCTGAGTGAGAGTCTTATCTCCTGTAGAGAAAGAGGTGAAATTTTGGAAAAACAGACACAAGCTCTTATGGGAGTGGCTGACCTGCAACGAAAGGAGCATGCACAGCCTCGCCAGGTGTCTTCTGTTAAAGTGAGGGCATTGATTGGAAAAGAATGGGACCCTGAAACTTGAAATGGGATGTGTGGAGGACCCTGATTAAGTTGGGGACACTGAGCTTGTAAAGTCTGATTAATCTTTTTTTGCCAGAAGAAACAGCTTCCCCATTCCCACTAGTGGGAACATCCTCTCCCCAGCACATGCTGCCATCAGCCTTTCCACCTTCTCTGAGGAGATAAACCCTGCGCTGCCTGAGGCAACAGTGATGGCCTTCCCTGAGGCAATTGCCAGGCAAGATAATGTTGATTCTCCTGAGGAGCCACCCCCAACACCTCTGTTTGCTTCTAGACCTATAACTAGACTAAAGACCCAGCAGAACCCTAGAGGGGAGGTTGAGAGTGTGATCCATGAGGAGGTGCACTACACTTGAAAAGAACTGTTTGAATTATCTAATTTATATAAACAGAATCAGGAGAACAGGCATGAGAATGGATATTAAGATATGGGATAATGGTGGAAGGAACATAGAGTTGGATCAGGCCGAATTCATTGATTTGGGCCCACTAAGTAGGGACTCTCCTTTTAATGTTGCAGCTCGGTGAGTTAAAAAAGTTCTAATAGTTTATTTGGTTGGTAGCTGAAATACGGATTAAAAGATGGCCCACTGTGAGTGAGGTGGAAATGCCTGATCTCCCTTGGTTTAATGTAGAGGAAAGAATCCAAACACTTAGGGAAACTGGGATGGTAGAGAGGAATAGTCATTTTACACCTACTCATCTCAGCTGTGAGGGTCCGGAAGATATACTGTTGATAAATATCTTGTGAAATAGATTTGTGAGGGCAGCACCTGCATCTTTGAAGAGCCCTATAATTGCTCTTCTCTGTATGTCAGACTTAATGGTGGGAACTGCAGTCACTCAACTACACAATTTGAATACAATGGGAATAGTTGGATCCTGAGATGGCAGGGGCCAAGTGGCAGTAGCACTCAACCATCAAAGGCAAGGTGGGCATAGCTACTGTAATGGACAGCAGAGGCAAAGTGGCAATCAGAATAGTCTGACTCATGTAGAGCTCTGGCATTGACTAATTAATCACGGTGTTCCTAGGAGTGAAATGAATAGGAAGCGTACTTCATTCCTACTTAATTTATACAAGCTGAAACCTTCTAGGTCAAATGGACAAAAGACTAATTTGAATTATAAAAATGGAATCACGGCCCCTCAATCAATTTCCAGACTTGAGCCAGTTTACAGACCTAGAACCCCTGGAATGAAGGGTAGGCCAGGTCCCCTTGAGGAAGGAGCCCACTACATTACTGACAATTTATGCAGCAAATCTTTATCCCATCCTTCCCCAAGGAGACTTCCAGTCTTTTACCAGGGTAACTATGCACTGGGGAAAGGGAAATGATCAGACATTTCAGGAACTGCTGGACATTGGCTCTGAGCTGACATTGATTCCAGGGGACCTAAAATGTCATTGTGGTCCTCCAGTTAAAGTAGGGGGCTATGGAGGTCAGGTAATGAATAGAGTTAGCTCAGATCTGACTTACAGTGTGTCTACTGGGTCCCTGGACTCATCCTGTGGTCATTTCCCTGGTAACAGAATGCATAATTGGCATAGCAGATGGCAGAATCCCCACATTGTCTCCCTGATTGGTAGGGTAAGGGTTGTTAGGTGAAAAAGGCCAAATGGAAGCCATTAGAGCTGCCTCTACCTAGAAAAATGGTAGATAAAAAACAAATATTGCATCCTTGGATGGATTGTGGAGATTAGTGCCACCATTAAGGATTTGAAAGACACGGGTTGTGATTCCCACCACATCCTCGTCCAACTCTCCCATTTGACCTGTGCAGAAGACAGATGGATCTTGGAGAAGGGCACTGGATTATCACAAGCTTAACCAAGTGGTGACTCTAGTTGCAGCTGCTGTACCAGATGTGGTTGCATTGCTTGAGAAAATCAACACATCTGATATCTGGTATGCAGCCATTGACTTGGAAAATGCCTTTTTTTCCATTCCTGTCCATAAGGCCCGTCAGAAGCAATTTGCCTTCAGCTGGCAAGGCAGCAATTTACCTTTACCATTCTACCTCAGGGGTATGTCGACTCTCCAGCTTTGTGTCATAATCTTATTCGGAGAGAACTTGGTTGCTTTTCAC
Source organism: Homo sapiens (assembly GCF_000001405.40). Classification (NCBI taxonomy): domain Eukaryota; kingdom Metazoa; phylum Chordata; class Mammalia; order Primates; family Hominidae; genus Homo; species Homo sapiens. The sequence continues at coordinate 106,916,346 of NC_000005.10, read as the reverse complement.
TTCCACAAGATATCACACTGGTCCATTACATTGATGACATTATGCTGATTGGATCCAGTGAGCAAGAAGTAGCAAACACACTGGACTTATTGGTGAGACATTTGTGTGTCAGAAGATGGGAAATAAACCTGACTAAAATTCAGGGACAGTCTACCTCAGTAAAATTTCTAGGGGTCCAGTGGTATGGGGCCTGTTGAGATATTCCTTCTAAGATAAAAGATAAGTTGCTGTATTTGGCCCCTCCTACAACCAAGAAAGAAGCTCAATGCCTAGTGGGCCTATTTGGATTTTGGAGGCAACACATTCCTCATTTGGGTGTGTTTCTCCTGCTCATTTAATGAGCGACTGGAAAGGCTGTCAGTTTTGAGTGGGGTCTAGAACAGGAGAAGGCTCTGCAAGAGGCCCAGGCTGCTGTGCAAGCTATTCTGCCACTTGGGCAATATGACCCAGCAGATCCAATGGTGCTTGAGGTGTCACTGGCAGATAGGGATGCTGTTTGGAGCCTTTGGCAGGCTCCCACAGGTGAATCATAGAGGAGGCCTATAGGATTTTGGAGCAAGGCCCTGCCATCTTCTGCAGATAACTAACTACTCTCCTTTTGAGAGACAGCTCTTGGCCTGTTACTGGGCTTTGGTGTAAACTGAATGTTTGACTGTGGGTCATCAAGTCACCATGGGACCTGAACTGCCTATTGTGAACTAGGTGCTTTCTGGCCCACCTAGCCATGAAGTGGGTTGTGCACAGCAGCATTCCATCATCAAATGGAAGTGGTATATATGTGATTGGGCTCAAGCAGGTCCTGAAGGCACAAGTAAGTTACATGAGAAAGTGGGTCAAATGCACATGGTCTCCACTCCACCCTGCCTTCTCTTCCCCAGCTTGCACCGATGGGCTTATGGGGAGTTCCGTATGATCAGCTGACAGAGAAAGAGAAGAAAGACTAGAGCCTGGTTCACAGATGGGTTTGTATAATATGCAGGCATCAACTAAAAGTGGACAGATGCAGCACTACACCCCCTTTCTAGGACATCCCTGAAGGACAGTGGTGAAGGGAAATCTTCCCAACAGGCAGAACTTCAAGCAGTGCACCTGGTTGTGCACTTTGCATGGAAGGAGAAATGGCCAGATGTGCGATTATATACTGATTCATGGGCTGTAGCCAATGGTTTGGCTGGATGGTCAGGGACTTGGAAGAAGCAAGTTTGGAAAAGTGGTGGCAAATAAATTTGGGGAAGAGGTACGTGGATGGACCTCTCTGAGTGGTCAAAAACCATGAAGATATTTATATCCCATGTGAGTGCTCACCAATGTGTGACCCCAGCAGAGGAGGATTTTAATAATCAAGTGGATAGGGTGACCCGTTCTGTGGACACCACTCAGTCTCTTTCCCCAGCCACCCCTATCATCGCCCCATGAGACCATGAACAAAGTGGCCGTGGTGGCAGGGATGGAGGTTACACATGGGCTCAGCAACATGGACTTCCACTCACCAAGGGTGACCTGGTTATGGCCACTGCTCAGTGCCCAATTTGCCAGCAGCAGAGACCAACACCAAGCCCTCGATATGGCACCATTCCTTGGGGTGATCAGTCAGCTACCTGGTGGCAGCTTGATTATATTGAACCTCTTCTATCATGGAAAGGGCAGAGGTTTGTCCTCACTGAAATAGATACTTACTCCAGATATGGGTTTGCCTATCCTGCACGCAATGCTTCTGCCAAGACTACCATCCATGGACTCACAGAATGCTTTATCCACCATCATGATATTCCACACAGCATTGCCTCTGACCAAAGCACTCACTTTTCGGCTAAAGAAGTGAAGCAGTAGGCTCATGCTCATGGAATTCAATGGTCTATCATGTTCCCCATTATCCTGAAGCAGCTGGACTGATAGAATAGTGGAATTACAATGTCAACTAGGTGACAATACTTTGTAGTACTGGGGTAAAGATCTCCAGAAGGTTATGTATGCTCTGAATCAGTGTCCAATATATGATACTGTTTCTCTCATAGCCACGATTCTCGGGTCCAGGAATCAAGGGATGGAAGTGGAAGGGGCACCAATCACCATCACCCCTAGTGATCCACTAGCAAAATTTTTCTTCCTGTTCCCATGCCATTAAGTTCTGCTGGCCTAGAGGTCTTATTTCCAGAGGGAGGAACGCTGCCACTGGGAGACACAACAACGATTCCGATTCCATTAAACTGGAAGTTAAGATTGCCACCTGGACACTTTTGGCTCCTCCTACCTTTAAGTCAGCACGCTAAGAAGGGAGTTACAGTGTTGGCTGGGGTGATTGACCCAGACTATCAAGATGAAATCAGTCTACTACTCCACAATGGAGGTGAGGAAGAATATGCATGGAATACATGAAATCCATTAGGGCATATCTTAGTATTACCATGCCCTGTGATTAAGGTCAATGGGAGACTACAACAGCCCAATCCAGGCAGGACTACAAATGGCCCAGACTCCTCAGGAATGAAGGTTTGGGTCACTCCACCAGGAAAAAAACCATGACGTGCTGAGGTGCTTGCTGAAGACAAAGGAAATACAGAATGGGTAGTAGAAGAAGGTAGTCATCAATACCAGCTACAACCAAATGACCAGATGCAGAAATGGGGACTGTAATTGTCATGAGTATTTCCTCCTTCTTTTGCTAAGAACATTTGTGCATGTATACACTTGTACTAAGAAAATATCTTTATTTTCTTTTCCTTAATCATATGACATAAGATTTATTGACTTCATATCAGCATTTAAGTATTGTTAATTTTATGTAATAGTATTTGGTGGGAGGCCGAGGAGGGCAGATCAAGAGGTCAGGAGTTCGAGACCATCCTGGCTAACACGGTGAAACCCCGTATCTATTAAAAATACAAAAAATTAGCTGGGCGTGGTGGTGGGCGCCCGTAGTCCCAGCTATTTGGGAGGCTGAGGCAGGAGAATGCCATGAACCTGGGAGGCGGAGCTTGCAGTGAGCCGAGATCACGCCACCGCACTCCAGCCTGGGCAACAGAGTGAGAGTCTATCTCAAAAAAAAAAAAAAAAATTGTATTTCGTTTGGGGATTGTTGCATTTCAATTTGTATGAAGGATACTTGTATTATGTTAGGCGTAATTATGACCTCACTATTATTGTCTTTATTTGAAGATTATGTATAATCTCAGGAGATGTGCATGGGCTCCATTTGACAAAGGGTGGACTTATGATGGTTAATACTGAATGTCAACTTGACTGGATTGAAGGATACAAAATATTGATCCTGTGTGTGTCTGTGAGGGTGTTGCCAAAAGAGATTAACATTTGAGTCAGTGGGCTGGGGAAGGCAGACCCACCCTTAATCTAGTGGGCACAATCTAATCAATCAGCTGCTAGCGAATATAAAGCAGGCAGAAAAATGTGAAAAGGAGAGACTGGCCTAGCCTCCCAGGCTACATCTTTCTCCCATGCTGGATGCTTCCTGCCCTTGAACATTAGACTCCAAGTTCTTCAGTGTGGAGACTCGGACTGGCTCTCCTTGTCCCTCAGCTTGCAGAGATCCTATTGTGGGACCTTGTGTTCATGTAAGTTAATACTTAATCAACTCTCCTTTATATAAAGGGACATCTTACATGGCAGCATATATATGTATATATGTACGTATATGTATATACATATATGTATATACATATACGTACATATATATGTACATCTATGTGTATGTATATATAAATATATATATATGCTGCTGCATAAGATGTCCCTTTGTTCTTCCTTCATTTTTCACCATGATTGTGAGGCCTCTCCAGCCATGTGGAACTGAAGCTAGCTGCCATGCCATGAGGACATCAATCAGCTCTGTGGAGAGGTCCAGTAATGAGGAGCTAAGGCCTGCCACCAGCATTTAGCAAGGAAGCTGATGGAGGCCTCAGACCAACAGCTACATAAGTAAGCTTGGAAGTGGATCCTCCAGCTTTATCAAGCCTTCAGATTACTGTAGTCCTGGCTGACACATTAGCTGCAATATCTTGAGATACGCCTAGGCAGAACCACCTAATAAAGCCGCTCCTGAATCTCTGACTCTCAAAAACTATATGGTAATAAATGTTTGTTAAGAGTGCTAATACATGTATTATATATATGTTATTATATATGTATATGTATTTTATATATATTACATATATAATATATATTATATATAATATCTATATCTATATCCTGTTCTGTCCCTTTAGAGAACCCTGACTAATACACCCAATAAATAAATTATTCACTAGGGTAGGACTTTTCCAAAGTACTACACGTTTCTGCCCCTGCCTATGATCTTTTCCTGACAGATTCAATAATAGGTGTAAAGTACAGAGGGGTGGTAGAAGGAATGGAGAAGTATAGCTCTTGTTTTCTTTTTTACCACTGCTCCTCCTTCCATTTTTTCTTCCTCTTGTAGAGTGTGGAAGACTTGTTTATGTAAGTAGCACTGGAGACTACTTTGTGGTTTTAGGTGGTTTATATGCACCATCTATTGGTACCATCAGCCTTTGACTTCTCTCCTCTTTATTGCTTCTATTACTTCTACACCCCACACATTTCTCAAATTGACCTTCTGTAGGCACTACATTCGTTTGAATAGTCTATCAATTTCCTAATATAATGTCTATCATTCTTAGTCTATCAATTTCCTAATATAATGAAGTATAATGAAGAATATAATCTTTACAAATGCATATGCTACATTGTGATAAAATCACCAACAATAGCTAATAATCACAGATGAGTATTTGTGACATATGTTGTACTAATTGTTTTTTATGGGACTATCGATCCTGTTATTTTAGCCACGTTTTTCAGATACAACATTTTGATGATTTAATCTACCACTGCCAAAAACAAGACTATATATCTGAGTATATACCAAGAAGACTCACTAAACTTGAGTTTAAAAATACTTCTTAGTCATGTAAACTTATTTTCACATCTTAGTATAGCCCCCCATTTTTTAGCTTTAGCATCAGTTCCATATTTCTGCCAGTAGACCCAGAAAAAATCAGTTTTGATATGTTCACCAAAGAACATTGTTTTCCTCTTCCTTTGACACGTTTTTGGGATCTGGTCTTCCACTCTATGAGGGACAACACATGGAGAAATTGTTAGAAGGGTGATATACAGGTTCAGGGTAGGCACTGAATCACAGCCAGGTTTCTAAGAGCAGGGGTAATCTAAAGAATTGAACTTGTTGACTTCTGGGTACTTTCTAACCCTCTGATTTTTTTGATCACTTGGCTTATATTTTATAGACTTTGATATTAGAAGTCATGTCATCTTTGTAAAGTTGGTACCAAAGAAAAGGCTTTTGACAAAAGAAGTTCTAGGTTCTTGTTTGTTTGGTGCTACCTATATTATCTGAGAAAACTCAGTTGTCTCTGTTTCTTCATCTGTAATCTGTGCTTCTGAGCTAGATTAATGACAAGTTGTGCTTTCTTGACTCCTGTTCTTCCCATTTTTAAAGAGCAGCTAGACTGAGCCAACCCTTATAGTTCAGTTTAAGGTTATGTCAGTTTAGAGGGATTCACTCAGCGTGCTGTGTGGAAGTATCAGCTGGTGTATCATTGTTCATTTTGCTCTCAGTTGATAAGGCATAGCTGTTATACAAATCCTTGAGGAATTTGCTAGAAATAACATCTTAGATATCAGATGTACAGTAAAAGATGTTAGAACTTTAGACATTCCTTATGGTTTGCCTTATGGTTGACTCTAAGTACTGAGTCGTCTTTCGCTATATGAATTATTTAGAGTGCTGATTTCATTTTTACTCTTCAACTGTCTCATTCAAGTTTACTAAATCTCTGTGTGAAGGTCACATAGAGATTCTTTGATGCCATTTGAATCACCTTCTTTTAACCTTCCCCTCACCCCACTTATATTAATTATAGAAATAACTTGATTTAGGGGACATAAAATTTGCTCATAATTTTTATGGGATAGAATTTTATTCACTATTTTTCTCCTCTTATGTCCAGAAAATATAAAAACAGACCATAGTGGACTGTTTTGGTTTCTTTGATATTCAGAATTCAAAATTAAGGTGACAAGAAAATTATTTTGTGTATATATTTTAATATTACTGCATAATCAATGCATCCCATTGAAAAAGGAATATAAAACATGAACATTAGAATATTCAACTAACTCTCCCATTGTGGTAAAAACCAAGCCTTCAGTAATTATTTTATTTGTGAAAGAGAAAGCAGAGAAATCCAAGCATTGCTACTATTGAATTATAAAACAACAAACTATCTCTTTCTCTGTGGCTTTCATCCATATAATTTACAGTGCAAATGCAATTTTTGGTACACAAATGCTTCTATATTGAGAGCTATGTGGAAAATAGAATGCCTAGTTCCAATTTTCTTACCAAACAAAGAAAACAAAATCCTTCCCCATCTTCTGTATTATGTGAGTGCCAATAACGCCTCTTTGATGGTAGCTTTGTGTGGTATTGTGTTTTTGCTTTTAATTAAGATATATTGGGTAAAATAATGCTTCATTGTATTGTACAAAATACTGAAGCATGGGCTAATTACAGCCTTCAATGGGATTCAGTATAGACCTCATGTTACTGTCTCATGCCCATTTTTTAGTTTAGTGAAGTGTTCTGATGTTATGTTTTCTCTCGGGATTTTCTTTTTAGCTTCTCTTCATCCAAACAAAAAACAATGACCCCCTACCTAAAATGTTAATTAAATGGCTACCTCACTTGTTATAAAGTTTTTATTTAAAATATTCTTATATTTTGAATGCCAAAACTCAATTTTGCCCCATATGGCCCTTTTCACAACGCTTGTTTTTTAGAGGGCATAATTTTCACAGAAGGCAGAATTCAAAGTTAGCAGAAAGCAGGTTGGGAGCCAGACAAATATGGAAGAAATGTCACCCTCATCTTTATTTAAACCTAGTTAACCTTTTTAATTTAGTCATTAAGTTTTATTGAAAATGAACCAAATACAGTCATTAGTTGTGGAAAGAGAATGGAATAAATTTAGACATTATATTAAAGGGCAAAATCTCTGGAACTTCTAGGTAAAGATAAAATGGTAATTTGTTCATTGGAAACTGATCATAGGAAAACAAACAAAAAATACTACCCATATTGAAAGTGAAATTTACCAAGATATCTCTGTCAGTAATTGCAATAATGTGATAAAACTCAAATAATTCCTAGAATATATTTTTTCAAGGAACTTACTAAATACTTGTTAATTGACTTGAAAAACTAATATAGCTAGTATTCCATCTGGGTTTCCTTGAGTGCTGAGCATAGGGTATTGGGGCAGAGTTGGGAAGAGATGGGGACAAAAGGAAAATATTGCATACTTTTATATGATCTTAGTAAAATATCTTCATCTATATATGACGCAAAAATTGTGTTGTAGAAAAGCAGTGAATTGAACCAAAGGAAAGTTTTAATGTACATTATAAAAGAAATAATATCAATAACTGTGAAAGGTTCTGTTTTATGTTCTTTCTCTGACCCTATTGTTTCAAGATGCCTGCAGTTTTCTTTCGTCATGAGTTTTCTGCAAATATTATTAGTGTTCATACAAGTATCTAATCTTTTGTTGAACTGCATTGGATTAAAATGGTAATTGTAATTGTTGTAATTGTCATTTTCATTCTGCATGCTAAATACAATGGGGTCTATTAAAGTATTGCCTGAAAATGCATAATGTTTAATAATGTATTCTGAAATTTGGTTTTGCCAACAGCAATAATAGTGTTATGCAAATATATATGTTGTGGAGTGCTTACTATGTGTGCTTACTCGGATAATCTCATTAAATACTGACAACAACTCTATGATATCATATGAATACAAGTGACTTCTTATTATGTCCCAGGATGATAACATGGGCTTTTTATACAATTTCATACTCAGTTTTCAAATGACCCCCTTCCTTTCCCTAGGAAGTTGGTTTCATTATTACTGTCAGTTTAACAATGAGGAAACTGAAACTTTAAACAAATGATGAGCAGGGTTTAAAATCCATGCAGCTTGATTTCAGAACCTGTGATCCTAGCCAGTACATAATGCTGCCTTCTTTTATAGATTATGTTTTACTTAAGAGAGTAAGAGGCTGATATAACAGCCCTCTCTCTGGAGATTTCCACAAAGTCAACAGTGATGCATAAAACTGCCCATAAATCATTTGGCTAATCAAGTATTGTGGGAAGCACAATACTGCACCAGAGCTTTGGGTATACCAAAGGTATTCATATCATGGTCCTTGCATAGGGTTCAGTTTTAAAATCTAAGTTAAATCAAATGCTAGAATGGCTTCTGTTTGTACTCAGGGTGAAGGATTGTGTCTTCAACATGGGCTTCAAGGCGCTGTATAATCTGGCTTCTTGTTTCCTCCCTGACCTCACCTCCTATTTCTCTTTCTTTTGCTCACTCTGCTTTAGCTACTTTACCATGTTGTTTCCCTAGAATAAACACATTGAAGACCAAGAGCTTAGACTGCAGTGATATTAAGTTGGTGCAAAAGTTATTGTGGTTTTTGCAATACTTTGGGAAATACCTTGCACTAGCTGTTTGCATGGCTAGCTTTGGCACATCTTCAATTTCTTTATCAAATCTCACCCCAATGAAGCCTATTTTCACCAGGCTTAACTTGCAGATTGCAAATTTCTGGAACTTCACTATGGAAATTCTGGTACCCTTTACCTTGTTTAATTCTTTTTAATGCTTTGTAACAGACTATATAATTTACTTATTTATTGTCTCTGTCCCTTGTGAAACATGAAGATTTGTTGTTGTTCACTGATACACCCTAAATTTCTTGAAACAGAGCCCAGCAAACAGTAGTCAGTCAATAAATATTTGAGTGGAAGAACAGAGACGATATCAATATTTTTGTGAAAGTCAAAGCTCAATTAAGTCACAATCTGGATTTTCAAGTACGAATCTGTAGGAATTCAGTCTTTCTGGAATAATTGGATATATTTACCCGATGTAGGTGCAAGTTGAAGGAGCGACAGAAGTTTTGGTTAGCAAAGGGAGAGCAGGTTGACAGAAACAAAACAGATGATGACCAGGCTGTCAAAGATCCTGCCGGGCAAGAGGCTGTGGAGATGCAACAGGACCAGACTAGGGGACAAATTTATTTCTATTTCTGGAGCCATTTATTCAATAAATAATAACTGAGCCCCTACTATGTGTCAGGTATCTTTCCAGGTGATGAGGATTCAGTAGTGAACAGTGAACAAACAGACAAAATCTCTGCCTGCATGGAGTTTATAGTAGGAGATCAGGGATGCCATGAAAATGAGTTAGCTAAATTCTAGAGAGACATACTGTAATGTCAGGTATTTCAAACAGAAATAGCTTTTACTTTTTATGTGGCTTCACTTGCTTGGTCTTCCCTGTCTGTATAGTAGGTTGGTGACTCAAAATAATAATTGGCTCTATCTGAGTCCGGTACATTACCCTAATAATACAGGAAAGGGGTCATTGAACTTGGAATTATGTAATGACAAGCAAGTGATCACTTAGGAATAACTTGCACCACAATGTGAAATGCACTATGTAAAATTAATACAGATATAGAAATTAAAAATTAAAAGTGGGCATGACTGCAGGATAGTTTTCGTTTTAATTATCCTATAGGGCATTGTCACCAGCAAGTATCAATCTTGGTTCATGTTCAGAGTTTTTGGTGTTATCTTTCTTCTGTGCCGTTCTCTGAGGCACCTCTGAGCTCTTTTTTATTTACATATCCAGCTCTTATTCGTATTGTTTTTGTTTTGGGGACACTGACTTTTTGTAGATATACATATATAAATGATAAAACTATTAGCAAAAATCAGGAAAATGACAAATATAAAATTCAGGCAAGTGGCTTCCCTAGTGTATGTGTGTGTGTGTCTGAGTACTGAGGAAGCTGTGTTGAGGGGCGGGCAGAGGATGAGAGGATGGAAGTGGGGAGGATCACATGGCAAATGCAAGTCATTAGTGAGCTTTGAGAGGGAATTAATCCTCTTTCTTTGCCTCAAGCTTTTCACTTTAAATGTACATTAACCTCTGTCATATCCTCTAACTGAATCATAGAATTTTTTTCTAATGTACATTTATCTCTATATAATGTATAGTAAACTATGTATATAAGAAATATGTGGTCTTGTTGGAAGTCTACTTGCCCTCTTCATGGCAGATTACTTAGAATTTAGATCCTTGTCTACTGGGAGGGTGTTGGATAGTTCATCATGCTAGTGCTATCCTTGGCTATTGTTTTTATTACAATTGACTTAATTATGATTATCACTTAAACACCAATTTTCTCATTTCTTTAAAAATAAGAATCCCTACATTTTTGACACTATAAACCATAGATGAAGGGTTGTGTTGTTCTAAAAATATAACATTGTTGCCTACAACACCACCTTAACCTGCTTTTGTCTGGGGGCTGATTAACTGGTTTTCTACACAGTGGCTGACCCTTGTTGCCCTGTCATTAGACTCTGGAAGAAAGGAAAAGAATGCCCCAAGGAATGCCCCTCACAACCCAGAGGTCTGCCAGATTATTCTGTAACTCAGGGAGCCCTCCTGAGGCTTTCAAACACAATATTGAAATTGATCATAAAAAAGGAAAAAAGTCTTCTCCTGCCTAAATCATAGAAGGACACATATTATGATTGCTGTATTTTTGCTTTTTTTTTTCTTTTGAGGAGAGGAAGTAATCAAGGCAAAGTATTATAATAAAATAGCGCAATTATGTAATGACCACAATGTTTCATAGTGGAAAGATCACATAAGTCAGACATTTCTGGGCACCACTTCTATCTTGCTACTTATTGTTAGTGCTGTAGGCTGAGACAGGCCAGAAGGAATTCACCAGATCTTCTTTTCCTCAGGTACACTGATATCCATATAAACAGAATGCATTTTAGCTGGATTTGTTTGTTCCCTCATCAATATCTGTAAATCTAATGGCTCGATGTTTTTTATACCAGAGTGAAAATGACACTGAGGCCAAAAACTGAATTACAGATGTATGTCTTTTATTATGTCTTTTGTTAAGATGTTTTTCATTATTCAAATAATTATCTCCATTTTCTAAAACTATATTCTTTGTAAAGCATTTTAAAACAAACATGCTGTGTAATACTTAAAATAATGGAAGGAGGAGCCAAGATGGCCAAATAGGAACTGCTCCGGTCTACAGCTCCCAGTGTGAGCGACGCAGAAGACGGGTGATTTCTGCATTTCCATCTGAGGTACCCGGTTCATCTCACTAGGGAGTGCCAGACAGTGGGCGCAGGACAGTGGGTGCAGCGCACCGTGCGCCAGCCGAAGCAGGGCGAGGCATTCCCTCACTCAAGAAGTGCAAGGGATCAGGGAGTTCCCTTTCCTGGTCAAGGAAAGGGATGACAGATGGCACCTGGAAAATTGGGCCACTCCCACCAGAATACTGTGCTTTTCCGACGGGCTTAGGAAACAGCACACCAGGAGATGATATCCCTCACCTGGCTCGGAGGGTCCTATGCCCACGGAGTCTGGCTGATTGCTAGCACAGCAGTCTGAGATCAAACTGCAAGGCAGCAGCGAGGCTGGGGGAGGGGCGCCCGCCATTGCCCAGGCTCCCTTAGGTAAACAAAGCAGCCTGGAAGCTCTAACTGGGTGGAGCCCACCACAGCTCAAGGAGGCCTGCCTGCCTCTGTAGCCTCCACCTCTGGGGGCAGGGCACAGACAAACAAAAAGACAGTAGTAACCTCTGCAGACGTAAATGTCCCTGTCTGACAGCTTTGAGGAAGCAGTGGATCTCCCAGCATGCAGCTGGAGATCTGAGAATGGGCAGACTACCTCATCAAGTGGGTCCCTGACCCCCGAGCAGCCTAACTGGGAGGCACCCCCCAGTAGGGGCAGACTGACACCTCACACGGCGGGCTACTCTTCTGAGACAAAACTTCCAGAGGAATGATCAGACAGCAGCATTCGCGGATCATGAAAATCCGTGGTTCTGCAGACACTGCTGCTGATACCCAGGCAAACAGGGTCTGGAGTGGACCTCTAGCAAACTCCAACAGACCTGCAGCTGAGGGTCCTGTCTGTTAGAAGGAAAACTAACAAACAGAAAGGACATCCACACCAAAAACCCATCTGTACATTACCATCATCAAAGACCAAAAGTAGATAAAACCACAAAGATGGGGAAAAAAACAGCAGAAAAACTGGAAACTCTGAAAAGCAGAGTGTCTCTCCTCCTCCAAAGGAATGCAGTTCCTCACCAGCAATGGAACAAAGCTGGACGGAGAATGACTTTGACGAGTGGAGAGAAGAAGGCTTCAGACGATCAAACTACTCCGAGCTACAGGAGGCAATTCAAACCAAAGGCAAAGAAGTTGAAAACTTTGAAAAAAATGTACACGAATGTATAACTAGAATAACCAATACAGAGAAGTGCTTAAAGGAGCTGATGGGGCTGAAAGCCAAGGCTCGAGAACTACGTGAAGAATGCAGAAGCCTCAGGAGACGATGTGATCAACTGGAAGAAAGGGTATCAGAGATGGAAGATGAAATGAATGAAATGAAGCGAGAAGGGAAGTTTAGAGAAAAAAGAATAAAAAGAAATGAACAAAGCCTCCAAGAAATATGGGACTATGTGAAAAGACCAAATCTGCATCTGATTGGTGTACCTGAAAGTGACGGGGAGAAAGGAACCAAGTTGGAAAACACTCTGCAGGATATTATCCAGGAGAACTTCCCCAATCTAGCAAGGCAGGCCAACACTCAGATTCAGGAAATACAGAGAACTCCCCAATCTAGCAAGGCAGGCCAACACTCAGATTCAGGAAATACAGAGAACGCCACAAAGATACTCCTCGAGAAGAGCAACTCCAAGACACATAACTGTCAGATTCACCGAAGTTAAAATGAAGGAAAAAATGTTAAGGGCAGCCAGAGAGAAAGGTCGGGTTACCCACAAAGGGAAGCCCATCAGACTAACAGCGGATCACTCAGTAGAAACTCTACAAGCCAGAAGAGAGTGGGGGCCAATATTCAACATTCTTAAAGAAAAGAATTTTCAACCCAGAATTTCATATCCAGCCAAACTAAGCTTCATAACTGAAGGATAAATAAAATACTTTACACACAAGCAAATGCCGAGAGATTTTGTCACCACCAGGCCTGCCCTAAAAGAGCTCCTGAAGGAAGCACTAAACATGGAAAGGCCCAACTGGTACCAGCCGCTGCAAAATCATGCCAAAATGTAAAGACCATCAAGACTAGGAAGAAACTGCATCAACTAACCAGCAAAAGAACCAGCTAACATCATAATGACAGGATCAAATTCACACATAACAATATTAACCTTAAATGTAAATGGACTAAATGCTCCAATTAAAAGACACAGACTGGCAAATTGGATAAAGAGTCAAGACCCATCAGTGTGCTGTATTCAGGAAACCCATCTCACATGCAGAGACACACATAGGCTCAAAATAAAAGGATGGAGGAAGATCTACCAAGCAAATGGAAAACAAAAAAAGGCAGGGGTTGCAATCCTAGTCTCTGATAAAACAGACTTTAAACCAACAAAGATCAAAAGAGACAAAGAAGGCCATTACATAATGGTAAAGGGATCAATTCAACAAGAAGAGCTAACTATCCTAAATATATATGCACCCAATACAGGAGCACCTAGATTCATAAAGCAAGTCCTGAGTGACCTACAAAGAGACTTAGACTCCCACACAATAATAATGGGAGACTTTAACACCCCACTGTCAACATTAGACAGATCAACGAGACAGAAAGTTAACAAGGATACCCAGGAATTGAACTCAGCTCTGCACCAAGCGGACCTAATAGACATCTACAGAACTCTTCACTCCAGATCAACAGAATATACATTTTTTTCAGCACCACACCCCACCTATTCCAAAATTGACCACATAGTTGGAAGTAAAGCTCTCCTCAGCAAATGTAAAAGAACAGAAATTATAACAAACTATCTCTCAGACCACAGTGCAATCAAACTAGAACTCAGGATTAAGAAACTCACTCAAAACCGCTCAACTACATGGAAACTGAACAACCTGCTCCTGAATGACTACTGGGTACATAACAAAATGAAGGCAGAAATAAAGATGTTCTTTGAAACCAACGAGAAGACACAACATACCAGAATCTCTGGGACGCATTCAAAGCAGTGTGTAGAGGGAAATTTATAGCACTAAATGCCCACAAGAGAAAGCAGGAAAGATCCAAAATTGACACCCTAACATCACAATTAAAAGAACTAGAAAAGCAAGAGCAAACACATTCAAAAGCTAGCAGAAGGCAAGAAATAACTAAAATCAGAGCAGAACTGAAGGAAATAAAGACACAAAAAACCCTTCAAAAAATTAATGAATCCAGGAGCTGGTTTTTTGAAAGGATCAACAAAATTGATAGACCGCTAGCAAGACTAATAAAGAAAAAAAGAGAGAAGAATCAAATAGATGCAATAAAAAATGATAAAGGGGATATCACCACCGATCTCACAGAAATACAAACTACCATCAGAGAATACTACAAACACCTCTACGCAAATAAACTAGAAAATCTAGAAGAAATCGATAAATTCCTCGACACATACATCCTCCCAAGACTAAACTAGGAAGAAGTTGAATCTCTGAATCGAGCAATAACAGGATCTGAAATTGTGGCAATAATCAATAGCTTACCAACCAAAAAGAGTACAGGACCAGATGGATTCACAGCCGAATTCTACCAGAGGTACAAGGAGGAACTGGTACCATTCCTTCTGAAACTATTCCAATCAATAGAAAAAGAGGGAATCCTCCCTAACTCACTTTATGAGACCAGCATCATCCTGATACCAAAGCCTGGCAGAGACGCAACAAAAAAAGAGAATTTGAGACCAAGATCCCTGATAAACATCGATGCAAAAATCCTCAATATAATACTGGCAAACCGAATCCAGCAGCACATCAAAAAGCTTATCCAACATGATCAAGTGGGCTTCATCCCTGGGATGCAAGGCTGGTTCAATATATGCAAATCAATAAATGTAATCCAGCATATAAACAGAACCAAAGACAAAAACCACATGATTATCTCAATAGATGTAGAAAAGGCCTTTGACAAAATTCAACAACCCTTCATGCTAAAAACTCTCAATAAATTAGGTATTGATGGGACGTTTTTCAAAATAATAAGAGCTATCTATGACACACTCACAGCCAATATCATACTGAATGGGCAAAAACTGGAAGCATTCCCTTTGAAACCTGGCACAAGACAAGGATGCCCTCTATCAATCACCACTCCTATTCAACATAGTTTTGGAAGTTCTGGCCAGGGCAATTAGGCAGGAGAAGGAAATAAAGGGTATTCAATTAGGAAAAGAGGAAGTCAAATTGTTCCTGTTTGCAGATGTCATGATTGTATATCTAGAAAACCCCATTGTCTCAGCCCAAAATCTCCTTAAGCTGATAAGCAACTTCAGCAAAGTCTCAGGATACAAAATCAATGTACGAAAATCACAAGCATTCTTATACACCAATAACAGACAGAGAGTCAAACCATGAGTGAACTCCCATTCACAATTGCTTCAAAGAGAATAAAATACTTAGGAATCCAACTTACAAGGGACATGAAGGACCTCTTCAAGGAGAACTACAAACCACTGCTCAAGGAAATAAAAGAGGATACAAACAAATGGAAGAACATTCCATGCTCATGGATAGGAAGAATCAATGTCGTGAAAATGGCCATACTGCCCAAGGTAATTTATAGATTCAATGCCATCCCCATCAAGCTACCAATGACTTCCTTCACAGAATTGGAAAAAACTACTTTAAAGTTCATATGGTGCCAAAAAAGAGCCCGCATCGCCCAGTCAATCCTAAGCCAAAAGAACAAAGCTGGAGGCATCACACTACCTGACTTCAAACTATACTACAAGGCTACAGTAACCAAAACAGCATGGCACTGGTACCAAAACAGAGATATAGATCAATGGAACAGAACAGAGCCCTCAGAAATAATGCCGCATATCTACAACTATCTGATCTTTGACAAACCTGAGAAAAACAAGCAATGGGGAAAGGATTCCCTATTTAATAAATGGTGCTGGGAAAACTGGCTAGCCATATGTAGAAAGCTGAAACTGGATCTCTTCCTTACACCGTATACAAAAATTAATTCAAGATGGATTAAAGACTTAAACGTTAGACCTAAAACCATAAAAACCCTAGAAGAAAACCTAGGCATTACCATTCAGGACATAGGCATGGGAAAGGACTTCATGTCTAAAACACCAAAAGCAATGGCAACAAAAGCCAAAATTGACAAATGGGATCTGATGAAAGTAAAGAGCTTCTGCACGGCAAAAGAAACTACCAGCAGAGTGAACAGGCAACCTACAGAATGGGAGAAAATTTTCGCAACCTTCTCATCTGACAAAGGGCTAATATCCAGAACCTACAATTAACTCAAACAAATTTACAAGAAAAAAACAAACAACCCCATCAAAAAGTGGGCAAAGGATATGAACAGACACTTCTCAAAAGAAGACATTTATGCAGCCAACAGACACGTGAAAAAATGCTCATCATCACTGGCCATCAGAGAAATGCAAATCAAAACCACAATGAGATACCATCTCACACCAGTTAGAATGGCAATCATTAAAAAGTCAGGAAACAACAGGTGCTGGAGAGGATGTGGAGAAATAGGAACACTTTTATACTGTTGGTGGGACTGTAAACTAGTTCACCCATTGTGGAAGTCATTGTGGCTATTCCTCAGGGATCTAGAACTAGAAATACCATTTGACCCACCAATCCCATTACTGGGTATATACCCAAAGGACTATAAATCATGCTGCTATAAAGACACATGCACAAGTATGTTTATTGCGGCATTATTCACAATAGCAAAGACTTGGAACCAACCCAAATGTCCAACAATGATAGACTGGATTAAGAAAATGTGGCACATATACACCATGGAATACTATGCAGCCATAAAAAATGATGAGTTCATGTCCTTTGTAGGGACATGGATGAATTTGGAAATCATCATTCTGAGCAAACTACTGCAAGGACAAAAAACCAAACACCGCATGTTCTCACTCATAGATGGGAATTGAACAATGAGAACACATGGACACAGGAAGGGGAACATCACACTCTGGGGACTGTTGTGGGGTAGGGGGAGATGGGAGGGATAGCATTAGGAGATATACCTAATGCTAAATGACGAGTTAATGAGTGCAGCACACCAGCATGGCACATGTATACATATGTAACAAACCTGCACATTGTGTACATGTACCCTAAGACTTAAAGTATAATAATAATAATAGTAAAAAGAAAAATTCAAACAAGACAAAAAATAAAAAAAATAAAAATAGTTAAAAAAATAAAATAATGGAGACCACTCTTAATCTTTCATGTACCAGAAGGCTGACTAAATTGAATATTGTCAATATATAATATTGTTATCAGAAAAATTAGATATATCATTCATTGATTGGATTTCTTAAGATGTCGATTTTTTGATGTTTGTCATATGGTTTAAACACCTTAACCTAAAGAATGTTGCAATCATCTTCTTAAAAACACATAGTAAATTTGAACAAGTGTTGATAGTAAAAGAAAAAAATAACAGGGTCTGGGTGTGGTGGCTCACGCCCATAATCCTGGCACTTTGGGAGGCCAAGGCAGGCAGATCACTTGAGCCCAGGAGTTCAAGACCAGCCTGGGCAACATAGTGAGACCCCCGTCTCCATAAAAAATAAAAAAGTTAGCCAGATGTGATGGTGAGTGCCTATATTCCTGGCTACTCAGGAGACTGAGGTAGGAGAATCACTTGAGCCCAGAAGGTCAAAACTGCAGGGAGTCATGATTGGGCCACTGCACTCCAGCCTAGGCAAAAGAGAGAACCTGTCTCAAAAATAAAAAAAAGAAAGAAAGAAAAAAACCCAATTTACTATCATGGTAAATTTTCTGATGTCTTTCTTTTAAGAAAGAGTTATACCATAAAAAAGAAGAATTACTGGAAACAATGCAGTGTTAGAAAGGAGTAAGAATGGAGGAAGGCACAACATCATCTCTAATTGCTAGCACTTGCAATTGCATAATTGCAAAAGAGAATGTCTATAAATAAACCCTTTTGAGTGTAAAACAAGAATGCTCTTATGTAATGAATTAAATTTAAATTGGAGGAAAACATTTTGTCAAATTAGAATTTAGTCAATGCTTTGTTTCTCAGAAATCAGGGTTTAACCTCAGGAGCACTTTTCATGAATGGTAAAAATAGCTCTCCTAAGTCTCTGACTCCTTTATGGTTCAGTTTTTCTGATTGTCTGTACGTTATAGTTTTTACCCAGTTTTGTTTTTCTTTTTCACCATTGACAACATTCCTCTCCATATGGCAAAATGATTTCTGTTTAAAATGAAAGACTGACGGGGAAAACAGGACTCCATAAACCCCTCACACTTGCACTAACTCTACATACCTAAATCCACCTGACTTTCCTCTTTCCAGCTGCAGTCCAGATTCCTTCAGGTTAGGAGTGAGGGAATGTATCAAAAATGTTTCTTGCAGTAGGCGATTACACTACAAATAAACTTGCTTCTTCCCTGTTTTTACCCACTCTGATCATATATATGTAAAATAATACCTGAAGCTTTCTCTTAACTCAGGACTTTTTGAAAACATCAAAAGCTACTTTGAGAATGACCAAAACCCATATTGCTGAAGGATATATATATATATATATATCATATATATATATATATATCATATATATATATATATCATATATATATATATATATCATATATATATATATATATCTAGGATAATTTCTTATATCTATCTCCATCTGTCTATACACACATGCATTCATTTACATATGTTTGTATTCTGAAGAATGGAATCAGTGGCGGATTCTAAATGTAGCAATTCTCTGGACTTTCAGATACTTATGAGTTGCTTACCATCACGGTAAAAATTTCCGTTTTGCTTAAAGCTAGCTCCAGTGACTTTGCAAGTTTATAGCAATGACAAATGCTTTGTCTATATAGCAAATTATTAGCATGCTTATAATTTGATTAATCAAAATATTTGATTAGTTTATAATGTGTTCATTAAAGTGTTAAAAAATTTGAACTGGAAACTTTGGATTGTCTTAGTGCCACATCCTTTTGTAACAACCCTAACTGCAAAAACGTAATTATTTAATGTGTTAAAAAATTGTATGGGAATAAAATATACCTCTGTGAGTTGGAATTTGCTTTTTAGTTTGGATATTTAACTTTCAAATCCACATGCATTATGGGAAAGTAGGAGAGTCCTCTTTGGGTTCATGTAGATTTGTTGCTTTGTCTGTTCTGCTCTGCCTAATCTTTGTGCTGTATTTTATGCTGCAGACATCAATATTTCTTCTTCTTCTGAGATTGAAGAAGGGTTTAAAGCTTCATGTTTCAAAATGAGCCTTTTTTTTTCTTCGTGTGTGAAAATGGCACCTGCCTCTGGCTATAAAACAAACATATAAGTCAGGAACTTTTCATTGACTACCATTAAATATTTTCTTTGGTGTTACTCATTTACCTCTACTCCCATTGCAGCCAGCTCAATTCTTATTTAATGATTTCATATCTAATATTTTGTAGGTTACCTAATTAAGTGAGTGATTTTATGGGAAAGTATTCACTTCACATATGATACAAAATATACTCATTATTCAAACTCTTTTCTCTTTATTTCATTTGTAAGAACCAGCAGCCTTTATAGTTATGTGATGAATATTTGGTGTGCATATATAGATACATAAACACACATATGTACATATATACACACCATATATGTATATATGTATATATACCATATATGTATATATATTATATATGTATGTGTATATATACCATATATGTATATGTGTATATATACCATATATGTATATGTGTATATATACCATATATGTATATATGTATATATACATATATGTATATATGTATGTATATATGTATGCATGTATACATACATGTATATATGTATACATATACATATATGCATATATGTATATATGTATGCATGTATACATACATACATGTATATATGTATACATATACATATATACGTGTGTATATGCACATATGTATATATCATATACACATATATGTTTATATATACCATATACACACAGATATATATGTGTATATATGCCATATACACACATATTTATGTATATGTATATGTGTATGTATGTACAGTGTATATATGTACATATATGTATATATACATACACACACCATACAAATATTCATACAAAGATATACCTTTGTCTACTATAGTTGCCTCCACTAGAGGAAATAGCTTAAATTATTGTCAGAAAGTCTAATACTTCTTCTAATCTGTTCATTCTCTATCTGCAGTATTATTAATATAGGGTAGTTCAAAAGTAAATGAAGACAATGTTATTTTGAAGGAAAATAGAACGATAATTGACTATTCTGTAGTTATTGATGTATTTTTCTCAAATTGTACCTATTTTGGCACCTAGAAAATAAAAATCTCTCATCATATGCTTTATAAATAGATATACTACATTTATTTACTAAAATTCTATTATTAAATCTTCTAAAGAAATATAGTACAATTCTTATAGTAGGATTTAGAGTGATAGAAATATTATCCATATATGGTTGGCTTTGGGATTCTCTAGGGTTACCAAGGAACAGTTCCTTGAAGAATGTCCTGCAAATAGCATATCTGTATATAAAATGTTATCATATTTCATTTAATCAATAGCAACATTCTTACTGTGGTGGCTAATTTTCTCTGTCAACTTGACTGGGCTTAGGGGATGCCCAAATAGCTGGTAATACATTATTTCTAGGTGTGTCTGAAAGAGTGTTCCCAGAAGAGTTTAGCATTTAAATTAGTAGACTGAGTAAAGAGATCACTCTCACCAAGGTAGGTGGGCATCATTCATTTTGATGAAGGCCCAGATAGAACAAAAAGGTATAGGAAGAGTGAATTCTCTCTTTTCTTGACCTGGGATATCTATCTTCTCCTGCCCCTCTTCTGTTTCTAGAGCTTTCAGATTCCAGTACTTACACCAGTACTCACATCAGTACTCTCTCTCAACCGTGGGTTCTCAAGTGTTGAAACTCTAACCGGGAATTACACCATTGGTGGTTTTGAGGTCTTAGGATTCAGACTGAATTACATCACTGACCTTCCTGGTTGCTCAGCTGACAGACAGCAGATGGTAGGACTTCTTTGTCTCTATAATTGTATAAGCCAATTCCAATCATCAGTTTCTCTCTCTCTCTCTCTCTCTCTCTCCAATCTCCTATTGGTTCTATTACCCTGGAGCACCCCGACTAATAAATTTACCTACAAAATGCTTATTTTGTGTCTACTCTATACAAAACATAGTGGTAAATGTCAGACTCCAAGTTCAATTTCTTCAAGTTCCTTATCCTAGAACTAGTTTCAGACCTTAATAAATTCTAGGGGAAATCAAAAGAACAAAAGAATCCCATTGGATGAGATGAAGAGAAAGGCTTTAAAGATGAAATGAGTTTTGACTTGCATTGTGAAGAAAAGTTACATTTTAGCTAAGCACGGAGAAGAATGAGGGACATTCTGGAAAAGATAGAAAGTGCAGGGAAACCCTAAAATCAGGATTTATGCAGAATATTCCTAGGAACACTACATTAAACAGTTTTCCTCAAATAAGTTACTTGATTAGGGAAATGGTAGAAGGCATGTAAATCTAAACTGTTGTAAGCAATTTAGATTTTTGTGTTGGAGGCAGATTTTTGTCTTGGAAGTCATCGACTATTTTGATGGAATACAATATTATATATCATTTCTTTTATCATTAACCTTTTTCTCAATTAATTGAAGTACTTTTCTTATATGACCAGAGTTTTGAAAATACTCACATTTTTATGCCTTTACATTATGTTTTCCAGTTATCACTCAGTTAATCTTTTCATTTGGTTTTTTAAAGCAAATATCTCTATACATCATATTATTTGTGCTTTGCCAACCTGCAGATCTTACAAAAATTATAATTCATTTGGTAAAGAACAAAGGAAAAATAAGTGTCTCTTTTCTACATTAAGAAGAATGACATATTAAAGTTAACAAATGAGAGTTTACAATCACTGGTATTACATTATTTAATATATTAACTTTCACTTCAATGAGAATTTTCTCTCTGAGAGACTAAATGCATCTTTTGATAGCATAAGAGAAAGAAACACAAGCAGCTCAAAGTATGATCTTTGGCTCTTCTATCCAAGCTGTGACCACTCATCAAAATTTCATGTGTAGTCTCCAAAGTCATTTGGAGTTCACTAAATCAAATCACCTCTCATATTACCCCTTTGCCTATCCTAACATGTTGTTATACCTGCAAACATGGCATGATCACATTTCCTATTGTCATACTTGTCTGGAGAGAGATATATATTATATCCAATCCTTTCATCAATTGGCACGAATTAACATAATAAATGGCAGATCCCTCTTTATGATCATGGATTAATACTACGTTAGCCAGCATTTTTCTTCTTTTTATCCAGATGTCAAGTAACCTATATAGTTCCTTTAATATGTAATAAATTGAGATATTATTTCCTTTCCTTTTTGAGTCTTAGTCTGAAAGCCATAGTCTGAGTAATGTCTTCTTTCTATCCCTAAAGTTGCAATAATACTCTAAAATAACTTACTACAATAAAAGGATAATTTCGTAGACAGGTAGTAACATTTACAGTTTAACAGACTTTTTTTCCCATCTAAAGTGACTAATCTTTAATCAGCAAATGCCCGTAATTAAGTAAGTATTATCTGGAGAATTTTAGTACTACACTTACCCAATGCAGTAATGTGTCATTTCTAGTATCTTCTGTGGTTATTATGTATAATCCTATTTTAGAAAGTGCATTCAATCTTTTTGTTTCATTAAATGTCTGCTTTGCTTGTAGAGTGCTTGAAATGAGGATCTTGAATACTTACCACACTTTTTAATTTCTGAGTTAGCTACCCAATAGCCTGTAACTATGGTTTGACTCTTTTTGACCCAGAAAGACAGTAACCAAAACAGCATGGTACTGGTACCAAAACAGAGATATAAACCAATGGAACAGAACAGAGCCCTCAGAAATAATGCCGCATATCTACAACCATCTGATCTTTGACAAACCTGACAAAAAAAAGAAATGGGGAAAGGATTCCCTATTTAATACATGGTGCTGGGAAAACTGGCTAGCCATATGCAGAAAGCTGAAACTGGATCCCTTCCTTACACCTTATACAAAAATTAATTCAAGATGGATTAAAGACTTAAATGTTAGACCTAAAACCTCAAAATCCCTAGAAGAAAACCTAGGCAATACCATTCAGGACATAGGCATGGGCAAGGACTTCATGTCTAAAACACCAAAAGCAATGGCAACAAAAGCCAAAATTGACAAATGGGATCTAATTAAACTAAACATCTTCTGCACAGCAAAAGAAACTACCATCAGAGTGAACAGGCAACCTACAGAATGGGAGAAAATTTTTGCGATCTAC
The DNA here is from genome assembly GCF_000001405.40 of Homo sapiens. NCBI lineage: Eukaryota > Metazoa > Chordata > Mammalia > Primates > Hominidae > Homo > Homo sapiens. The sequence continues at coordinate 106,892,756 of NC_000005.10, read as the reverse complement.
TCATCTGACAAAGGGCTAATATCCAGAATCTACAATGAACTCAAACAAATTTACAAGAAAAACAAACAACCCCATCAAAAAGTGGGTAAAGGATATGAACAGACACTTCTCAAAAGAAGACATTTATGCAGCCAAAAGACACATGAAAAAATGCTCATCATCACTGGCCATCAGAGAAATGCAAATCAAAATCACAATGAGATACCATCTCACACCAGTTAGAATGGCAATCATTAAAAAGTCAGGAAACAACAGGTGCTGGAGAGGATGTGGAGAAATAGGAACACTTTTACACTGTTGGTGGGACTGTAAACTAGTTCAACCATTGTGGAAGTCATTGTGGCTATTCCTCAGGGATCTAGAACTAGAAATACCATGTGACCCAGCAATCCCATTACTGGGTATATATCCAAAGGATTATAAATCATGCTGCTATAAAGACACATGCACAAGTATGTTTATTGCAGCACTATTCACAATAGCAAAGACTTGGAATCAAGCCAAATGTCCAACAATGATAGACTGGATTATGAAAATGTGGCACATATGCACCATGGAATACTATGCAGCCATAAAAAAGGATGAGTTCATGTCCTTTGTAGGGACATGGATGAATCTGGAAACCGTCATTCTCAGCAAACTATTGCAAGGACAAAAAACCAAACACCACATGTTCTCACTCATAGGTGGGAATTGAACAATGAGAACACATGGACACAGGAAGGGGAACATCACACACAGGGGCCTGTTGTGGGGTGGGGGAGGGGGTAGGGATAGCATTTGGAGATATACCTAATGTTAAATGACGAGTTACTGGGTGCAGCACACCAGCATGGCACATGTATACATATGTAACTAACCTTCATGTTGTGCACATGTACCCTAAAACTTAAAGTATAATAAAAAAAAAAGAACCTACATGTTCCTGCTAAGCTTTACTTTGTCATTTATTTTAGTACTGCATTAATAATGGTGAAATATGACTACCTTGATTTCCTATTTGCAAATGATCTTTATCTATAATTTATATTTACTACTATTACATATGAAATAATATACCCAGGAATGAAACAAATATCTAATACATCACAATGTAATCCTAAAATGCCCTTTGGTGACTATATAAAAACAACTCTGAGATAACAATAACAATTAATAAGAGTTGACATGTATTGAAAGATTACTATGTTGCAGATACTAAATTAAGCACTTTGTAAATACCATCTCATTTACTCTTCAAAACAACCTTAGGGTAAGGAGTACAACTGTTCCCAGTTTTAGGTGAAGAAACTTAGACATAGAAGCTAGTAAACGGTAGAATATGAAAATAATTCCATGCTGGTTGATTCCAAAAATGGTAACTTATCAATTAATAATGTTATCTTTTTAATTAACTTGCAAATTAACTTATAATATTAGCCAATAAAACAATCAAGTTATAAGGTTTTAACTTCAAGTTGTTTTCAAAGGAAAAAATGGATAGTTTCTTTTTTGGGGGGGCAGAGTCTCGCTCTGTCACCCAGGCTGGAGTGCAGTGACACGATCTCTGTTCACTGCAACCTCTGCCTCCTGGGTTCAAGGGATTCTTCTGCCTCAGCCTCCTGAGTAGCTGGGACTATAGACATGCACCACCATGCCCAGCTAATTTTTGTATTTTTAGCAGAGATGGGGTTTCTTCATGTTGTCCAGGCTGGTCTCAAACTCCTGACCTCAAGTGATCCACCCGCCTCACCTCCCAAACTGCTGGGATTACAGGCTTTAGCTGCTGCACCCAGCATTTTGTTTTGTTTTGTTTTGTTTTGTTTTTATATATTAATTATCTTACCATCTTTAGGAACAAACATTTCCCCTTTATCTGGAAGAAAGGAAAAATGTTCATCTGGTGGTCCTGTAGAATCTGTAGTTCCTTAAGTGGAAAATCTCTGACCTTGACTGGATGGATGTTCATTAAGTTCACTGATAACAAATGGGCCTGTCACACTAAGGTTAAGAAAGTAGGAAGTTTGTGTCAGGGAGAGCATGGAATAGCCAAAGACCGCAAATAACAAGCACAGGAAAAGATGTGTTGCTGGTTTGGTCTCTTTTCCTTGCTCTTCAAAAGTATTGTATGTGTTGACGACAGTGCCCTTTGCCATTGAGCTTGAGAAGGTAGGAGACGCAGAGAGATACTACTTACTTCCTCCTTTCGTTATAAACTTCAGATCCGCCTCTACCCAAACCTAGCTAGCATCATAGTTCTTCAAAGTAGTCTTTTCTTATTAGCATGTTACATTAAATGATTTAAAGCGGCTCACTAATTTATTAAAATTGACCATAACATTTTCTTGTAAATTCCTTGAAGGTATTTTTTAGGTCTCCGGAAGAGAAAATTACACATTAAGAAAACTGAATAATGAAAAAATTTTCCAAAGACAGAGAGAGCACCTCTAAAATAAACAAGTATCACATGACAATAAGTTAAAAAGTGTTTACCTTAGAGACAAAGATAATATAATTAGCTTGATTAGATATTAAATAGAAAAATCAATTACAATCCATTTAGTTATTACAAGCAGTAATCATTGTTTTAGCTTTACTTGGTATTAAAATATTTCAGAATTTTAAAGGAATATCTTAAGATTTATAGTAGGATGTGACAAGTCTAACAGAGGCTTACAAACTGTCATATAGTATTTTAGGATATTTATAATGGAGAGGGAGAGTATGTTTTCAAATGGAATCTTAAGAATAGAAAATATAATGCAAATTAATACCAATATATGAAACATTTAAGATTTAATTGAACTCTTTTAAGTTAGTTTCTATTTATGTCTTTAAAATGTTTAAATAAGCCTCAAAAGATATAAACTGACCCATTCATCATATTTCAAAAGTGTGCAAGAATATATGAAGCTAGAATATAGGCTCCAGTGAATATTTTGCTTTCTAATATTTATGGTTTTATGGAAAACATTATTTGTATGAAGTCCAGTAGGTGTCTTCCTGAGATAAAAACTTATTCAACAAACAAAATATAAGTTTATTATTTATAACTTGTTTGGTATGACACCAAAGACCATACAATACTGGTAAACGTATTTATAGTAAGTGAATGTGAATACATTAAAATATATAAGACTTAATATGAGAGGAGACATGAGAAGGGTAAAATTTTTTTTTCTGTTTAATAAATGTCAGAAAGTTGAAAGAAAAAAGAAAGAAAAAAGCTATCTAGTGTGAGACTTGTGTAGTAAATGATTTAAAACAATGTAGAGGGACAGGAAGTTAAATGATCCCATTATTATTTGGAAGAAAATGTAAAGGGCTTCACATCATAGAGCTGGGATGAAATGGACTCTCTCTTTCTTGATGGCTGTTGAGAATGATTGTGGTTCGCCATATTTAGCCTTGGCACTCATTACCTAAGAGCTGTGTACGCACATAGGAACTTCAGAGAGGAGCAATGGATAAGATTATGGGAAAGAGAAGAGAGGGAATGATTTAAAACAAGGTTAAAGATACCGAAGATTTTTGCAAGTTCTAAGGAACAACAAAGTAAGAAAATGGTAACAGTCTACAAATAGATAGCAGGTGGAAACCATAAGTACTGAACATATTTGAAGGAGATAATGGGATGAGATTAAATTTAAGTGAAAAGTTGGTGTGGAAACAATCCCTTTGTATGAAATACACAGCAGGCAAAATATATAACTTCATGAGAAAAGTTACCTTATGCTTGAGGTCTCCATGAATTCACATTCTATGAGACAAACTGGGATTAACACTAGAGGTTCCACATCCAAAAAGCAGGTCTATCAACCTTATGAAATATAGAGTTAAACTGCAGCTGCTGTTTGAATGAACTGGATCTGCTAGGTTGCCATTGATAACCAGGATATAAGGGCCAAAGTACATTCAGGATTTCCGCTTGGTCAGCTGGACAGGGGCAGAACTCACTAAGGAGGTAGTGATACAAAAAATTGGTTAAACCAGGATGGAGTAGAGACTGAAAATCTAGGAAGGAAGCTGGGAAAATGTGTGTAGTGTTGTTGGATAATTGGATATTCTATCAAAATTGGGTCAATATCAAAAGACTACATGCTGCCACTAAATTGGGTTGTAAATATTTAGAAAGGAAGAGGTTTGTTGGGAGAAATGCTATAGGAAAACTCTACAAGAGGATTAGAATATTCAAATGCATATAGCAGAGAGTGAAGTAGCGCAAATAAAAGAAGTGGACTCTATTGATTATAATGAAAAAAAAAAAAAAAAAGGCTAGGCACGGTGGCTCATGCCAGTAATCCCAACAATTTGGGAAGCCGAGGCTGTGGGTCACCTGAGGTCAGGAATTCGAGACCAGGCTGGCCAACATGGTGAAACCCCGTCTCTACTAAAAATACAAAAATTAGCTGGGCATGGCAGTAGGCAACTGTAATCCCCAGCTACTCAGGAGGCTGAGGCAGGAGAATCACCTGAACCTGGGAGGCGGAGCTTGCAGTGAGTCGAGATCAAGCCATTGCACTCCTGCCTGGGCAACAAGAGAGAAACTCCATCTCAAAAAAAAGAAAAAAGAAAAAAAAAAGAATCGTCTTTCAGATTTGGGCATCTATCGTCTTCTGCTACTTCTGCTATATATTATGATGTATTATTATATAGGTTCTTAAGATATATAACAATATACTATATATTGTAAGATATATAATGTATATATAACTCTTCAAGAAATCATGTACCTATGATAATTTCTCACCATCTTAGGAAGAAAAACAATGGTTTGCAGGAAGCTAATCCTCAGCTTTCTCCTGTTGCCTTGATAAAATTTTTAATGATAATTAAGATCTGCATTTAAAACAGGGAATTTGTATTTTGTTCCTAAAACTCTTTTTCACTCTTTTCCTGTGGGGCCTGCCACACTTGGTCCTATGCTTTACTTGGGCAAGTAATCAAAAAAGGCGCAATTTAAGATGGCATATTGGCTTCACGATTTAGACATACCCCCTACTTAAACTCTGGAGAATTGCGTGGATAAAAGGCATAAAAATCAGGAAGTAACCAACCAAATTGCTCTTATTTTTAGATAAAATACCTACATTGAACCCTCTCTCAATCAACATAGAAAATATAACTAAAAAGATAATTTAGCAAGGTTGTTTAACATGAGTCCTCACAAAAATCAGTAGTGTTTTTATACAAAAGTAATCTCATTTAAAATATAACATTTTCTATTCACAATAGTAACAAAAATCTGTAAGCTATGTAGAAAGAAATCAAACAAATGTTGTAACCACCTGTTACAAACTAATTAAGAACATATAAGGAGACCAAAATATTTAAAATAATATAAATGAGAAGGCCAAAAGGTATAATCAAAATATACATTATTCCCCAAATTAATTTAAAACTTGATTTCCAATCAAAACCTAAACTGTTCTTTGGAAACTTACAAACTAATCCTGAAATTTGTTAGGGAATTTATATAGTTCCTTAAGTGGAAAATCTCTGACACTGACTGGATGGATATTCATTAAGGTCACTGATAACAAATGGGCCTGTCTCACTGGGGTTGAGAAAGTAGGAAGCTTGTGTCGGGGAGAACATGGAATAGCCAGAGACAGCAAATAAGAAGCATAGGAAAAGATACATTGCTGGTTTGGTCTCTTCTCCTTGCTTTCAAAAGTACTTTATTTGTTGATGACAGTGCCCTTTGCATTGAGCTTGAAAACATAGGAGACACACAGAGACAGTACTTATGTTCTTTAAATCTAAACTATGTCAAGTTGGTTGATTGTGTTTATAACTTCATCTTTACTAACTATTTCTGTTTCATATTCTACCAAAAACTCAAAAAGGAATGCCAATGTCTGCAACTATATTTGTTAATTTGTCTATTCCTTCCTTTAGTTTTGTAAATTGTTACAATGTGTATTCTGAAGTTCTGTTATTAGGTATATAAAATTTAAAATGTTAACATCTTCTTGGTGAATTGATCCTTTTATTATCAGGAAATATTGTACTTTGTTTCTAGTGTATTCTTTGTTTTGACGATTTTTATTTATTTTTGAATCCTCTTATGCCATTTTTCTTATGTTTAAGGTTTACATTTTATGTCTTCTTTCTTGTTAATGATATACTCTATTTTATTATACTGAAAAACTGAACATGTTTTTGCTTTTCATACATTTTAGTTGTGGTTTATCGTAATAGAATTTGATTTGGGCTACATATGTCTGCACCCTCACTGAGGTTATAAGAAAATATGGCCCCTGGCTGAAAAACAAACAAAAATAAAGGTATTCTATTTAGGAAAAAGAGTTTTTCTTCACTACGTGCCAAAAGGTGTAGGATTTCTTCTCCAAAGCTGGACCTTTGTACACATAGCATCTATTCCTTTATGACTAGACAAGACATGGGTAGAAAATCTCAGTGTTTCGGTTTGAGTTGACAAACATTCATGGGCAGCATGAATGTTAGCCATTCTTTTTCCTGCTTCAACTTTGATTCAAATTTTTAGTGTAAAGCTAAAAATAGTTCTTACATCTGGGAAACTGAAGGAAAATGTTTCTATGGATCTCACCCAACCTATCTTCTTCTTCTTCTTCTTTTTTTTCAAGATGTGGTATCACTCTGTAGCTGAGACTGGAGTGCAGTGGTGGGATCTCAGTGCACTCTGATCTCTGCCTCCTGGCTTCAAGTGATTCTCCTGCCTCAGCCTCCTATATAGCTAGGATTACAGGGGTGCGCCACCATGCCTGGGTAATTTTTGTATTTTTTTGGTAGAGACAGGGTTTCGTCCTGTTTCCCCAAGCTGGTCTTGAACTCCTGGACTCAAGCGATCTTCCTGCCTCAGCTTCTCAAGGTGCTTGGATTACAGGCATGAGCCACCTCACCTGGCCAGCTATCTTTTTTATTCATTTGGTCTGTGATTATGTCTTCTCTTTCCTTATAGCCAGGTTCCCACTCCTTCCATTTGATCAGAACATTCTGAAAAAATCTACTGTCTTCTCATCCTTTTTGTCTTAAATATATATATTTTTTATTTCAGAGTAGTTATATTTACAAGAAAATTGCAAGGATAGTATAGAGTTCCTATATAACCATCACCCTTTTCTCTCATTCATTATTCTCTTACATTAGTATGGCACGTTTGTCATAATCAACTACTGTTGATACATTATTAACTACAATCTATAGTTTTCCAATTTTTCTTAATTTTTTCTTATCCCATTTCTGTTCCAGAATCCCAGACAGGGCAGCACATTACATTTAATAGTCACGTCTTCTTAGGTGACTCTTGACTGTGACAGTTTCTCAGACTTCTCTTGTTTTTGATGATCTTCACAGTTTCAAGGATTACTGGTCAGTTATTTTGCAGAATGTCCTTAGTTGTGTTTTGTTTAAAGCTTTACTTATGATTACGCTGGAGTTACAGGTTTCTGGTAGGAAGATTGCAGAAGGTATGGGTCATTTTTATTACATAAAATCAGAAGTATATATTATTAACAAAATTTATCACTGCTGAGTAATGTGGCCTGGATCACATTCTTGAGATGGTATTTCTCAAGTTTCTTCACTGTAAAGTTTCTGTTTTCCTCCCCTCCTCACCATTTCCATACTGGGTTCTTTAGAATGAATTCGTTGTGTGCAGCCCACATTTAAGGAATGGGGAGGTGTTCTCTACCTCCATTAGGGCAGAGTACCTATATAAATTGTTTGGAATTTCCTATATGGGAAAGTTGTCTCTTCTCTCCCCTATGTATGTACTTATGCAATTATTTATTTACATCCATATGAACGGAATATTTATTTTATGCTACTTTAGTGTTCAAATTGTTTCAGCCTTGGCGTTCACATCTCTTTTATTTGGTTCTTATTTTCCTTTAAAATACCCACTCTTTGTAGGTTTTCTGCTGTTGTTTGGCTGGGGTTTTTGTTGTGTTTTTTTGTTTGTTTGTTTTGTTTTGTTTTGGCACTTCCATACTTTCTGCCAATCTCATGCTTCACTTCCACACCAGCCTACATCAATTAGAGTTACCATTGATATGTTCCAGCCAGTTTACAGCTGTTTTACTCCAGGGAAGAAGTTATGATCTTGACTGATTTTCTCTGGATGACTCTGAATTTCCACATTTTGGGGTGGATTTGCACTGCCACCTCAGTGCTCTGATGAGTCCAAGAAAAAGAACTGATTTTCATTTTTTCCAGCTGTTTAAGAATGAGAGTGCTGACTTCTAAGCTCTTCCTCCGTTGGTACTGAACCTGGAAGTTCATCTATGTTTTGCTTAACATGTTTATTTTAATATGCCTTAGAAAAAAAAAGAAAGTGTATTTGTTCTTGCTTTTTAACCAGTATGATAATCTCTGACTTGTGTTTAGTCCATCACATTAAATATAGTGGTCACTATGGTTGGGTTTAATACTTTTATTATGCTATGTGTTTTATATTCACACATGTGCTTTAGTCCCTGTGCTTCCTTTCCTGACTTCTTTCATGTAAAGTGCTTATTTCTTAATATTCATCTGCTTATTTTCTCAATATTCATCTCCTGTTTTGACTTTGGATCTATTCCACCTTACATTATGCATGTCTTTCTCTAGTAATGCACACTTTTATTTTTCTCTTCAAGTAATATGCTACTTCACAAACAGTGTAAAGACTTTACAATGGTGTATTTCTTCTTTTTATATAAATGACATAAATTCTACAATACATAGTTATACATTATTTGTAATAGTTTATAGTTAAAGAAATTTAAATATCTGTCTCTATATAAATGTTATACATATGTACATATATACTATTTTCCTCTACATATGCTGTGTCTACTGATCTTTATTCCTAAGATACCCCGATTCCTTCTAGTGTTGTTTTGCTTCAGGCTGAAAAACCTCTAGTAGTGCAGGTCTCCTGGGAACAGATACTTTTTTCATTTTGTCAGTTCAGAAACATCTTTACTTCACCTTATTTGGGGTGGATATTTTTACTAGGTATAGAATCTTAGGTTCATACTATATTTTCTTTCAGCTTTGTAAAGATGTTAGAAGGACCCCTACCCTAGTATTTAATATGTCTTTTTACCCCTCTGTCTGCTTTTAAAACTTGCTTTTTATCTTTAGTTTTCTGCAGACTGACTACTTGTGCCCAGGGATTTTTGTTGTTGTATTTATCCAAGTTGGGGAGTTAGATGAGACTCTTAGATTTGTGTGTTGAGGTCTTTGATTAATTTTGAAAATTCTTAACCATTTCATCTTTACAAATTTCTTGTAACCCATGATCTCTCTCCTTTCCTTTCAGGATTACAAGTATGCAAACAAAATACATATTGATATTTTTCCACAGATCACAGACTCTTTTCTTCTCTTGATTTTGTTTTAATTCATTTTTTCTCTTTTTTCTCAGTTTGGATATACTCTATTGACCAGTCTTCAAATATTAATATATTGATTCCATATTCTGCTCTGCTCAATCTGTTGTTAAATCTAACAAATTCATTTCTGATAATAGATTTTGCTTTTCATTTCTACAATTTCATTTGGTTCTTTTATGTATTTTCAATATGTTATTATGCATGTGTTCATTTCCTGTAGATACATTAGTTTTCTTATTATCTAATATTGTCAGATAACTGTGTCATCAAGCCATCTATGTTTTCTCTGTTGACTATTTCTTCTTTGACTATTAGTCACTTTTTTAACAGTGGAGACTGAATTATGTAGTATTTACCTCCAGAAAATATATGACATTTTCTTTCAGTTTGCTAGAGATGGAGGCTGGATCAATCTGATATGTAGTTAATCTGGGTATAGGCATTCCTACAGCTTTAGTTCACCACTGACTTAAACTATTCTGAGATTATCATCAGGGCTTTTCCATCTGTAGAACAAAAAATATGAGTTCTAGTGAGATTCTGGAGGCTTCTTATGCTTTATAAATAACCTGTCAGCTTGTCGAACTGTATCATATCTCTCTCAGATTAGATGCCAGTTTTCTGGGCCATTGGGGCATTGCCTCTGCTTTCCAGTTTTAACCCAACTTTTCTTTGCCCAGGAAAATCTTGTCTTTTCTGATGTAATGCTGTCTTGCCCCCAGCATTGAGAGTGGCTGCATTATATTCCTGGAGTGTTTTAGAATGGATTCTCTCAGCTCTCCTGCTGCCCTCTTGTAGTTAAAACCTTAGAGTATCTCAAAGAGTTTATCTCATGCAGAGCTCTATGAATATGACTGACAGTATGACGATTTTTTTTACTACAATATATGCCTTGATTTTTAGATATACTGTATGTGGTAGGTGTTAGCAAAATTTTACACCAGAGTAACCGGAGGCCCACATAGGTAAAGTAACTAGAATTGAAATGCAACATACATGAGATCTTGTGTTTTTTTAAAAATCATAATTTAAGGTGAAACATTTATGCTAAACATGAAAACCAGAACTACAGAATGAAAGAATGCTGTTGATAAAGTTATCTCATGAAAGTAAACACTGCAAAATAAAATGGAGACAGGAAATATAAATTCACCAAATCTAAAAGTTAATGGGAAATGTCAGAAAATTGATGAGTCATGACAAACTAAGTAGGTCTGAGAAAAAAAAAAACATAAAAATGAAAGTATTAAAGTAGGCAAATAAATATAACAGGACAATAAATGACAAATATGAAGTTGGAGAAGAAATAAGTGTATGTTTACTACAAGAACAATTTATCATATTAAAAGGAATCTTTTAATATTGAAATAACAACAGGAAATTAGAAGACATTAAGTTCAAAAGAATAAATTTATGACCAACGAAAAAAATAGACAATTCTATACAAAAAGAAGAAAAAAATGGAAGGAGAAAGAGTCTACAAGCGTCTGTGTCCATAATACAGGAAAGGTTTAGAGCCAATCTACTGAAGAAGTTAAATAGCGGCATGTGTGGCAAGTTTTGTTTTCATTTGCTTATTTATTTATAAGACCTATACAAATTTATTGACAATTTGTGTTCACTCTGTTTCTCACTAGGCTGTATGTTTGTTAAGGACAGAAATTGTGCCTTATTCATATGTATATATCTTGGGCATATGCAAAGGCCTGGGCACATATTCAGTATTCAAATGCATTCATTGTTATCTTAAGGTTTCACTCCATTCATTCATTCATAAAATATTTTTGAGGACTTTCTACTATGTGCCACACACTCTTCTAGAGGCTTGGGATATAACAGAGGGCAACACAGACCAAATATATGCCTTTGTGAAGCATAAAAGGAGAGAGCAATGAACAGGAAACATAAAACAACACAATGCTAGATGCTGAGGTACTATAAAAGACAGAATTAGGAAGGGATAATTTGGGGACTGTGTTAGGAAAAATGGGTTTTAATTTTAATGTAGTCAAAAAGGCATTGGTGGGCCCAGCATGGTGGCTTATGCCTGTAATCCCAGCACTTTGGGAGGCCAATGTGGGCGGACTACCTGAGGTCAGGAGTTCGAGACCAGCCTGGTCAGCATGGTGAAACCCTGTCTCTACTAAAAATACAAAAATTAGCTCGGTGTGGTGGCATGCGCCTGTAATCCCAGCTACTTGGGAGGCTGAGGCAGGAGAATCACTGGAACCTGGGAGGCATAGGCTGCAGTAAGCTGAGATCATGCCACTGCACTCCAGCCTGGGTCAAAGAGCAAGATTCCATCTAAAAAAAAAAAAAAAGCATTGATGAAAGGTGATAATTTGATCAAAGTCCTGAAGAAAGGTAGGGGGGCAGCCAGGCAAGATGTGAAAGCCTCATGTTCCAGCACACTGAGTGATTCAGACACTGCACAGAGGCGAGTATGAGTGCACTGGAATAATGACGGGGAGAGTAGTGTGAGATGAGAGAATGCAGGTAAGGGTGGGTCAGGTTATGCAATACCTTGCAGGCTTGCAAGACTTTGAAGTAAAAGGAGGAGCTGTGCAGAGTTTTCAGCAAAGAGGAGTGACACTATATGACTCATGTTTTAACAGTTTTGCCTACTCTACAGATGGTATAGCTCATGAAATAGAGCTTTATTGCCTTATCATTTTCTTTTCCATACAACCTATTTCAGGTTCCTATATAACAGTCTGTGGTAAAGAAACAGCATCATGATCCACCTCATAGTTATGTAACTCATGGGCGGGGGAAGAGCTTATTGGGGCCTAAATATCTAGCTACCTATGTCCAAGAGATGCAACAGACAACTTTCCAGACTCTAAAGTTCTTCCATGTTTATGGAAAGAACAAGGCTAACTTGTCGTCTTTTTATATATAAAGAAATTGAGGTTTGGGGTATGAAGAAGAGTTTCTGACACTAAATCTGTATTTCTTCCAATTACAATATGCTGCCTCTCCATAGCTTTATAAAATAAGAAAATGATGATTTAGACTAAGCACCAACACATTTTATTTGGACAGGGCCACATAGTAAATATTTTGAGATTTGCAGTGCATACAGTATCTTTTACAAGCACTGGACTCCCTGTTACATTGCAAGAGAAACCATACACAATACATAAATGAATGGGCTCAGCTGTGTTACAATAACTCTTAATTTATAAAAACAGACAGTGTGGTGAGTAAAATCTGGCCTGTGGGCCATAGATTGCCAACCTTTGATTAAAATTATGCTGGTTGAGAGCAAAGGGGAGATTGTAAAACACAGTTGCCAGAAGTTATACTGATTCTTTTATGCTTAGTAGTTCCTGGGTGACATTGAACAGGAAAAAACTATGCAAATAAGAACATGAATATAATTAGATTTCGATTGCACCATATTCCTACATATAGCTCATCTGCTGCCTAACCAAGAATACCTTTGGGAGGAATTATAAGTTAGTTTGTCTTTTCTTACAAAATAGTAATTGAGAGAGTCCATCATAGGTAGATGAAAATTACATATTTGTTTCTCAGAAATTTGTAAATGATTTGCTACATTTCCCAAGGCATTCGTGGCTTAGAAATACAAGTTTAAGAAATAAATAAACATTTATAAAAATTGAAACTAAGCATTAAAGTTTTAATATTTCTGTGTTGCTACACCTAATAGCTTATATTAATACAGCATCTTTATTCTCTTACTTTCCATGCAATATATCTGTGAATTTTATATATACGTTATAAAATTTTTATTTGTATATTAAAATATATAATTTATATATAATAAATAATATATTTATATATATTATATATAAATAAATGTTATATAATATTATATATGTATTTCCTAACCCTACTTCCAGATAGGAAAACTGAGCCATGATAAGGATTAATAAATGCCTAAAAAATAAGTCAATAACAGGTCTGAGTCAAGAATTCTAATCTCCTGGTACCCAGATTAATGTGGTTTACATTTTCTCTAAATCAATATATGTGTAGGCCCAAACAAGTCTCCTAAAGCAATCAAATAGGAATCCTAGGGTATGCCAGTTTCAGACAAGAATAATAATTTGCATGTGTGCATTTGAAATGAGGACATATCTACACTTTTCTAAAGCTGAAAACCTATCTTTGTGAAACTCACATTTAGCACAGATGTTTCACATACCTTATTATTACTGGTTAGCATATTTAAGTAGTAAACAAGTTTGTCAGATATTTTCCTTGGCTAAATAACTTTAATAGGGAAGATTGTCACTAAAAGAGATGACGAAAAGTCCGCAGTGGCCTTCTACCTCACATCCAAATGCAGGTAGGATATTTGCTAGTTATTACTTAAATCTTTGCTGATAATCACTGACAAAATGACACAAGAAAGCCACTCACTAGAAATATGCTTTGGCTAGCTCCTGATAAGAGGGTTTATTTGAGTCAAGATATATTATCTATAATCACATATATCTGTTTTAAAAATGTTTATAACATTTTTGAAGGCTTGAATTGGAAGAAAAAGGTTAGTTGGCTTTTTACTTGTTAACCTAAAAATAAAAAAGCAACATGAAATCCCAACTACATATGTTATGACAGACACATGAACGACTGATTCAGGTTTCTGTATCAAAACAAATTTTGCTTAGGTAAAAGAGGTCTTATGGATACAAAATTTAGATTTAAAAAATTGGAAGCAGCATTTAGGCTTTTTCTAATAAATATATCTTTCAACTTGTCATGAAAAAAGGTTGAAAATATGTAGTTTATTTCAGACCTGTAATGGACACATAAAGGAAACAGAGAACCTCTGCAGGTATCCTGGATAGTTTTGAGAACTATGTGTTGCATTTCATATATTGGAAAAATGTTTTCTACTTGAGTAGAGTTGTGTGTATTACCTTATTAAATAATATCTAGTAATCTTAATGTCAAGATACAAAAAAAAGTATTAAAGTATTTGTTATTATCATGTTGAATACTAAAGATTAATCAGTAAGTATTTGATTAACTGGTTATATAAACATTTAAATATAGGTCACACCCACACAGACACATATGTACACACACACACACATTCTGTTGTATCTTTAACTCACACATTATTGCATATATATGGGTAAATTAAAGGTGCATTCTAAAAAATGTCGTAGCCATATGAGAAAGCTTGAATTATATACAGAAAATGTTACATTATAATCTAATGGAGTATCCATTTATGATAACGTCCAATGGTAGTATCCATTTCAAGCTCTGACTTTGAGAAGGAAATACATTTTCCCTAAAGAGAAAACTTTCAAATTAGTCTTCTTTCATCATAGCTTATGGAATGCTGAACTTGGCAGAGGAAAAGCAAAGAATCAGACACAAGATGTTGAACAGCCCGATTTGAAAGTTAGAAATTTGCAGTTGTGTATAGTCACTTATATTCAAGTAATACAAGAAGCTAAGGTTTTTATCAAGCATAGTAAAGGGACCATTTGGTAAAACTCCATGCTTAACACCCTGGTTTTGACCAAATTAATATGTCAAAACAGAGAACTTTAGGGTCATAGAAATTAACAACCTGAAATAAGAAACAAAAATCTTGGTGTAAGGCAACAATATTTTAGAATGCTAAACAGAGAACTGGATTGATTAAAAAAAACTGATGCAAACAAAGCTTTGTTAGCCAAGAGAACATAGAAATGTATTTTAGGACTCATGGTATAGTAATCGTAATTCGTGTATGTAAGCCTTTATGATAAAAACGTACATTGCTCTCATTAGGGAGATATGATCAATATTTTTGAATAAGTCTTTTTGTTAATTTTATAACATCCAATATGAAACAAGCCACTTGGTATTGTTAAGTACTTCAAACTGTACAGATTCTCTTGAGAACCAAATAAATATATTTTAAAGGAATTAAAGCTCAGTGTCTGATATAAAATACATATAATTAGAGAGAAGATAACCTTACATAAAATTGAATAATACAGCCAGAAATTATAATACTTATAATGTTTTTTATTGTTAGAAGGGCCTTGGTGTGGAGGCTCATGTCTGTAATCCCAGCACTTTGGGAGGCCAAGGCAGGAGGATTGCTTGAGGCCAGGAGTTCAAGAGCAGGCTGGCCAACATGGTGAAACCACATCTCTACTAAAAATACAAAAATTAGCCAGGCATGGCGGCACGTGCCTGTAATCCCAGCCACTCAGCTGACTGAGGCACGATAATTGCTTGAACTCAGGAGGCAGAGGTTGCAGTGAGCAGAGATCGTGCTGCTGCACTCCAGCTTGGGCCACAGAGCAAGATTCTGTCTCAAAAAAAAAAAAAAAAAAAAAAAGAAAAAAGAAAATCTACATGCTAATTTGACAAAGCTTCAGAATGTCCATAGTTGTCCTAAAAAAAAAAATTGTTAGAAGGGACCTTTATATTTTAAAAATGCAATGGTCATGTGTAAGGGAAATGTCTGTGCTTTAGTCAGGAGTAGGCTGAGGTGGCCTTCCAGCAGCATAACTCAGCGGGTTTGGAGCGCAGGCACCACAACTCCCCACGTTATGTAACCACGCCATGTGAGGCACATTACCTAACCACACCACGTGAGGAGCATTAGGTAATCACCAACATGAGCTTGTGCTTGGCCCAGAGCCACTACTGTCGGTAAAAGGTATAATTATGCTGCTAATGCTGTACATACAGCATGCTTGTGCCCATGGCTTGCCTGCATCCAGGCTCATTTGTGCCCAGAGAGTAAAAGCCATGTTGAAACTGTCTACGATTCCTCAAGTGTTTTTCCAGCTACCCACCACTGGCCCACCAACTCCCCTCAGACCTCAGTTAGAACCTGACAGTTGGCAACATGAACAGGATCTCAAGCTGTGCTGCTTGGATGGGCTATGGTGGAAACCTGGGTGGTGGTAAATGGGTCCCCGGCAAGCATGAAGGCGCTGGTGCAGCTGGAAGCACAGAGCACTGAGAAGGAGCGAGCCTTTGTCGGCAGAGTTGGATGGGTGTTTTTGAATGCACTATGAGAGGTATACACTCAGTCCCTGAGGGATGCAGCCCAGGTAAGGGACCTTCAGGCACAGGCGGGACGCCTGGAGACCTGGCTACAGAACTTGGAAAAGGAATTAGAGGCTGCAGTGAATGCAGGCCTGGGTCCGCCATCTTGGCCTGAGACCCCCCACTCAGTCTGAGACTGAGGAGGATGAACCCCCGTTGTGGGCTGGCCCAGTGGTCCATCAGAAAGTAGATCATGAACAGCCGTTGGGCCCCAAGGGCAGGCTCAGGGACTCCCCCACCATAACGCAACACACTTTATATATTGCCCATACCCCAACTGAGTTGTAGGAATTAGGCAAACAGTGCCGCCAGCATCCAGGGGAACCTCTGTCCGCCTGGACAGCCACGTGGACTGTGTGGAATGACGCTGGTGAAATACCAGAAACTGTCAGTAGATGGCAGTCGTATACAGATTTGGTGCAAGTCATTCGGGAGATGGGCATGCGGCAGGCTATGTTTGACCTGAATATCTGGGGGCCAGATGATGAACGTTTCACCTTCCACATGACGGATCTCCTGTTGGGTTCTGCGTCCCCAAGTGCTTTCAGCTCCCTAGCTGCTGTCCTCGCCCTGTACGTAGGGTGCTGCATACATGAAGTGACCACTGCTATGGCGGCTCTCGGGGAAGCAGCAGACCATCACTGGGACCGCGCCCTAAAGAAGGAGAAGCTGCCCCACCCACAGGAGACTCCCCCCAGAGGAGAAAACGGAGCCCCAGTGAGTGACATGCTCACAGATGTAGATAGATTTGATTTTGGCTGGGGCTGACTGAGAGAAAATTGATCAGCAGCCCAATGAAGTACTCTGACTTTGTGGAGACAGTTGTCTCTGGAGCAGCAATTCCAGAAAATGCCCAGTGGGGAGAAAGACATTGCTGCGCGAGCTAGTCCCGCCCAGGTGCTTCAGCTCAAAGACTACTTGTAGCCAGATGGAAATGTTTTTTCTGTTTGATTAGGGAACTGGTCGAGGTGCCTGGCTTGAGAGAACACCAGACAACCAAAGGCCACATGTGGAATTAGCAATCCACTGGTCCCCCACCAATGTACAGCGGCGGGTGCTGGTGCAGGTGGATATTGGCAAAGATTGCAGCCTTGTTTACGGGAACCCGGATAAGTTTCTGGGCAAGGTTGCATAGACAGCTCTGAAGGCCAGTCAGTGAAAGTGAAACCTGTATCTCGCACCTAGGCATTGGCCGTTTGGCTCCCCACTTATGCACTGTGCATGTCTCTCCCATACCTGAATACATCCTGGGGGTGGATATTTTGGACGGCTTGGCAGCTGTGCCGTTTATCATGGACTTGATGGACCGCTTGACAGAACTGGGCCAGTACCAGTGTGTGGTGGACTTGGCTAATGCATTATTTTCTGGAGAGCCAGGAACAGTTTGCCTTCATGGGAGGGCACAAATGGACTTTCACAGTGTTGCTGCAGGGCCATATGCATAGCCCCATCATACTTCATGGTCTTGTTAATGATCTTATGTTAACCCATGGCCAACTCCTGGAATACAATGTGGCAAGCTTTGGACAAAGGATTCTGCAAGACCCATGGTGCACCTGCCCCCTGACTGGCTTGTAGCATCTATGATGGGTGGGGATGGCTAGTGGGGGAACAGGTAGTACCCCCGGCCCAGGCACTGTGGTGCATAGAGGAGCACTACGGTAACACCCCTGTGGGATAGGTACCTACCACGGCCTGTGTAAACAAAACACGTGTCATCACACTGAAGGTATGGTGGAACAAGCAGCCCCACCGAGGTTGGGCCTCGATGGATTTGGTGCCCTCTGGGGGTTTATGGGTCTGTGGGGACACAGGGTAGCCTTACCTACCAGCGGACTGGACTGGACATTGTACTTGGGGGTGGCCTTATGTACTTGTCACTGTTCTTCCCACATTGCCCAGACACCTACATAACTGAGAGATGCCACACTCTTGGTTTCTGTGAATGCAAGGAGCCCTATGGTGTTTCTACCCCTTGGCAGTGACTATCCCTGGAGCTGGTGTCATAACTGTAGGAGCACAGGTTACTTCTCTTGTAGAGCACACCGCTTAGGCTCTGAATTATACCTGAGTGGCCCTCCACCTATTAATGGGTGAGGTTGATCAGATGAGAAAGGAGGTACTGCAAAACGAAATGGCCTTAGACATAGTAACTGCTGCACAAGGAAGTACCTGTGCCCTTTTAGGAACACAATGTTGTACCTTTATCCCTGACAATCAGCAGAACACAACAGCCCTGCGAGGGCTCCTATGGGAGATTAAGGCAGTCTAGAGCCTTACTGACAACCACCTGCAGAGATGGTGGGCATCTCTAGGCTCTGGCCTACACTGGGCCCTAATAATCATAAGTAGCATAGCTGGGATCCTAGTAGTGAGCTGTTGCTCTCTGTATTGTTGTTGTGGGTTATGAATTCAGGGCTCTGCCCTGTGGGCACGTGTTCCTGCCCAGAGGATTCCCTTGGCCTAGGGGGTGGAGTGAAAAGGAAATGGCTGTGTGTTAGTCAGGAGTAGGCCGAGCTGGCCTTCTGGCACAGCATGACTCAGTGGGTTTGGAGCACAGGTGCACAACTCCGCAAGTTACATAACCACGCCACGTGAGGTACATTATGTAATCACGCCATGTGAGGGGCATTAGGTGATCACCCACGTGAGCTCGTGCTTGGCTCAGAGCCACTATTGTCTGTAAAAGGTATAATTATCCTGCTAACGCTGTACATACAGCTTGCTCACACCCACCGCTTGCCTGCTCCCAGGCTCGCTTATGCCCAGAGAGAGAGAGTAAAAGCCATATCGAAACTGTCTACGATTCCTCGAGTGTTTTTCCAGCAACCCCATAATCACCCACCAACTCTTCTCGAACCTCAGTTAGAACCTGACATCATGCCTACAAATGACACAATATTAAAAACAAGCAAACAAAAAATCTCTCTCAACTACTGAGTCAAAAAGACAAAGTAGAACACAGTAATACACACTGATAAACAAAAAGTTACAACTATGAAAGATAAGTAGAAGACAGGTGGATAGATTCATACACATGCAAATTTAGAGAGAGACAAATATAAATAAAAGCAACCAGGAAATACAAATGTGATACGGTCAATGTTGTAGGAGGCTATCACAGATCAATAAAAAATTAACGCTTAAATATAGCTTTAAAAGTATATATTTTAAAGAACAAGATAAGAATCAGATATTTGGCTCTATTTAAAATGTTTAGAAGTAGAACAAAGTGCCAAAAGAAAACAGAAACCATCTGCTGCTTCTGACCTGTTTCTTTCCTCCTACCTGCCATGGACACAGCTCAGTTTTGAACAATTTTTTTCTTTTTGTACTTTCTTTGCCCCTGAAGAAAACCTAGAGCTCCCTGGAGAGCTCCAGTCACCGGAGGACAAAACTTCCCTATTTTGCTTAGCTTTGCTTTCTTTTTATTCACAGTTGAATGTGAAGTCATTGAGTACATTTAAAACAGATCCCTCTACATTTTAGGTAAATAGAGAAACAGGCTTTCTTGGAAGTGTTGTTGCCAAGACAGGGGCAACCCAGAGACAGGGGTTTAGTTTCTGGGTGGGGGTGGAATCAGGAATCTATGTTAGCTGTGTCCTGAATACTTGGGAAAATGTCTCGAGAAGACTGTCTTGGTCTTCTTGGATAGAAGTCTTCTATATTGGATAGAAGACTATCTTCCATTTTTTGAAAATTGTGCAAAAATAGTGATCTAAGATGGTTAACTTGCAGCTTAGGCTACAAAGATTTGAATTTAATCAAGGCTTATTTCTGTAAAACGAAATTAGAGATACACTGCTTTATTTTGACACATCATTTGCTACCTTTAAGAGGGAGAATAATGATGGAGTTACTGGGTTCCTGTTATTTTTTAGTTTGGCTTTCTTTAAGAGTTCAAGTTATACTCTGACCCACATAATTTCTGAAATTCCTTGGGGAGTTTGGTGAACGTGAGTTAAATTATTGATTATTTTGTTATTTTACTTCATATTCAACTTCAAAAGTAGGCTTCTACAGCTAAATTACTGGAAATACCATTTGGGTATTAACATCTGCTGGATTTTAGAAGTTTAGTCAGCCTAATTTACATCCTCTGAGTGTTTAAATGCATGTTTTAACATATCTCACTTTTATGTGTATTACATATTTCCTCAAGTATTAAAGTAAAATATAATCATTGAATAAAATTTGAAAAATAGCAAACACTATCAAGCAAAATCAACCATAGTCCAATGTCAACATATTATATATATATATATATATATATATATAAAATGCCAGGCATAATAAAAGGTGCATTATAAATAGGACATAAAAGTCAATTAAATTATATCATAGAGAAGTACACTTTGGATCAAGCTTTTAAAAATTATGATTGTATTACATCTATCTTTCCATGTTAAATTTTCTATTATACAGCCATTTCACAAATTATTAAGCCAGCATTCTATTATTTGGTATTGATATACGGTATTTTCTAATTATTTTTTACAAGTGATGGTTCATTTCAAGAAGTGGGATTATTGAATCAAATGCTATGGTTTTCTATATTTCTTAATAATTAACTAGTAATCTAGATAGCGTGATGAAAACAAGTTTCAGAGCTTCACAGACTTAGATTCAAAAGTAGGAAACTCCAATTTTAAGCTTTCTGCTTCCACTAAAAAATAATTTTTAAAATCAAGATGTTGAAATTGTACATCAGAAGAAGCCTGTTAATAGAATATAATTAAATAACATATTGAATTTAAATATGTCTACTTTAGATCAGGCACGGTAGCTTGCCCCTATAATCCCAGCACTTTGAGAGCCCAAGGAGGGAGGATTCCTAGAAGACCAGAGTTCAAGCTTACAGTGAGCTGATTGTGACACTGCACTCCAGCCTGGGCAACAGAGGAAGACCCTGTCTCTAGGGGGAAAAGAAAAGAAAAAGAAAGTCTATATATCTGTTTATTTTAAACCTACTAAAGTATTTAGTAGAGAACCTGGCACATAGTATATTCTGAAATGATAAATATTTTTTACTTCAAAAGGCCTTATAACTGTCATATTTGTTCCAAACATTACTTTATTATTTGCAGTTTATTTTTGTACATGGTAATTTTGACATCAAGACGTTTATATTATTATGGAACAAAATCTACTTTTCTTTTTGTATTATTCCCATTTTCTTTTACGTTTAGAAAGTTATTCCCCAAATTGAAGTCAGAAAATAGATCAGCTATATATTTTTTAATTGTGTGTCTTAATTTTTTTTTACAAGGAAAAGTATTATAAACAAGGTGAAGAGTAGAGAACTGAGTGACTAATTTTCTCGAATATTACCTAATTGGATAATAACTATAGATTCCATTGCATTCTCTATTTGAATAAAAAAAACTAGATGTCTGAGCAAATTCAACTGCACAGGAATAGACTCACACTAGATCAAAGCTTATTAGGTTTTGCATATTGAATTAGGGCTCCTGATGATAACCTTGACCTTCATACATATCTTAGAAAAGGAGATGTCTATCAGCATAGAAGCAGATATTAAAGAGGGATACCAAAGGCTCTTCTTTTACCATGTATTAAACACTGAACCTTGGTATATCTCTCCCACTTCAGTGATTGGCAAACAGAATCTAAACAAAATGTGAAACATAATGGGTTTTTAAAAAAGAAAAAAAAACCTAAGGGAAAGTGGACAAATAATGTAAAAAGTTAGAGGAGTACTTTTCTAAGATTGACTATAAGGAAAATAGTTGAAAATGTTAAGAAAAGCAAAGGGAATTAGAAAGAAGGCAAATAACCACAAGAAATGAAAGTTTATAATGACTTCAGAGATGTACAATAAGCTGGCTAGAATCAGGAAAATAAAAATGCCACACTATTTCATTGTGTATAGAAGAAATCATTAAAAATACAAGAAAAGAGAACATTTCTGAAGTGAAGAAATATTAAATATAAAACTGATAATGTATGGAGGCAGAAAAATTAATTTACTTAAAACGTATTAAAAATCAGAGTGGTGTGACATTTCTTTTCTCCAATACAAATCACAGGAGCCAATAGAATTTTGAATTAAAAAAATCTCATTCCAGGATAGTGTGCCCCATAAGGTCGTTTTTCACATGCACATAATACTTATATAATTATATAGGAAATAGAAATTGTACCACTCCTTACCCTTCCCAATAACATTATGTGAACACTCTTTCTAAGTAAAATACTTCACTGATGTTAACTTAACATTAAATTGACAATCAACTGAAAAGTAAATCAAAATTAAGTATTCAAAAAAGTCATAGCATTAAATGTATGATGGAGAACACTGAAACCAATGAACTCAATTGAGTGAGGTATAAATAGTGGTTATAATCATGGCCATAAACTTGAGTGCAAAAGCCCAAAACCATCTTAAAAAGTATTTTTATGTGGTAATAATACATATAAAATAAGCTTGACCTGAAATATATATTTAAAGAGAACATATATGTTGCAGTGTGGAAAATTAGGGGATATAAAAACATGCTTTATGATTTTTCTCTATATTTCAAGTTTCTGGCAATGAATATGTTTTTGTAAACATTAAATGGTATAGAAAAGGATTTTCAATAAATATTTGTAATTTACCTATGGAAAATCAACTACTATATTTACTAAACCATAAGATCTAGCTGGATTCTAATTTTATGCCATATCAAAGTAAAATATGTAAGAAAATCTAGATAGTTATTTAATAAATCTCTGGAGAAGCAAGCTGAGAAAAAATAATAGAAACAAAATATTTATAGATTTGACCCCATTAAAACTTTAAAAATACATATAAAATAACATGTAAATAATCAAAACAGAAATTACAAGCTGAGTAAAATCTCCAACAAATAAATATTTTTATGATATAATTCCATAAAGTATTTGGAAATCAGTAATAATAATAAAAATTATAATACCATAAGTATGTAGTCAAAAATAATATATAACCAATTCCAGAAGAATTATATTTGGAATGTAAGCATGAAAAAGTCAAATTTCCTAGTCAACAAAATGCAAATTGGCAATCAAATAATTTTTAAAAACATAAAAATTTGATGAAGAACAACACAATATATAATACTTAGTACTGGCCTCACTGTTGTAAGGACTTTTGGGAGAGAATTTGACAATGTCTATGACAGGCCATGAAAGTATCTATATCTTTTGACACAGTTATTTTAGTTTATGAATCTGTTTCACAAAAGGAACTAAAAAGTGGGGGCTCAGAAGTATATGAGCATAAGTTTAACATTCATTAAAGAAACACGTGCTACAAAGAGGAAAAGCATCATTGGGAAATAAATGATGACATTTGAATTTAGCAATATAAACCACATTTGTCTAGGAAAAATATAACAATGATCAAAGCTATACCATACTTATTGACTTATGAAAATACGAGATATTAAATAAAAATAAATAATCTGTTTTATTCAGTACGATAACTTTAAATAGAGAGATATAGAGCACCATAGAAACTATAGAGCACCGAAGAAACTCTACTGAAATAATATACACCAAAATAGCAATGAAGACTTTTTGCTAAAGGGTGGCATAATAAGTGGTTTTAATTTCTGCATTATATTTTAATGCTTTTACACTATGTATTTATCATATATATTGTGCATATATATACATACATATATGGTACAAATATTGTTTCTATAATAAAAAGCCATGAAATGCATAGCTGTTTTACCTGCATGATGTATTAGAGATACATGAAATACAAAGAATTAGGAGATTTGAGTCCAGTCCTGGTTCTATCTCTTAATACCTGTACCGTTTTGTACAAGTTACTAAAATTTTAGTTTCTTCATCTCTAAGCTAGGGATAATACTATATTATAAGGTTGGCATGATAATTAAATAAAATAAAATAGTACTTTGAAGTTTCCTCCACTATTCACTAGGCCCTTGATAACAAATGGTGTTTAGACCACATAAAATTTTAACCCAAAGTTTGATTTATCACACCTTTAGTTTCAGAATGCTCTTTGGTTGGATTATATACATGTATATCTATTTTATTGTTGTTGTTTTGTGTGTGTGTTTGTGTGTATACACACAAATATATTAATAGGGAAGGCAAGCCATAGTTCTCTTCCCTACTGTTCTTCAAACCACTTAAGAATCTCATTTTTCAACTATAAAATTGATATATGGAGGTTAAACTTCTCAAAGGCTGCAAATTCCCTAAAAAATTTCACAAGTACTTTGTGGATCATAATGCAACTTTTAAAAAAAATTATTGAGCACCCTATTAAGGTGTGCTGTTTCCTTTTCTGAGGATGGCAGCTCTGCTTCTGCTCTGGCACCAAACATTTTCAATTGAACTGACTCTACACAACCTTCTTTTGCATTTGTAACCAATTCTAGGAAGAACTGAGTTGGATTTCAACTTCATTATTTAATAGATAGCCTAATTGCTTGAATAAGCAGGTAAAGGTGCATGTATCTTTATGTCTATAGTCTTGGGCTTTCCTTTTACCATTTCAGAACATTTTCTATTGTTCAGTGGATGTTTGCACCTCCAATTAAGAAAGGTGCTAGAAGTCTGATTTTCTGGTAACTCAGTGTGTGTTAAATTTATTGCTTCTTTAACTCCACACTATGCTAAATTCGTTTCAGAGTATGGAACTCAATATGATTAAAATATAATCACATGGTTAATTGCAAGTAAAACCTCCTCTAAAACTAATATTTAAAGTAGAATTGCAGCCAAAGTAGAATGAATGAGGAGGTATTGTTATAACAGAGTGCCCTAAAGGAGATTAGCGCATTTCAGAGAAATTTGGGTTGTGAGACAGGAAGTAAGTCTCCAGAGAAGGTCACTCTACTTCGAGAAACTATATTTATCACAGTTTACATACTCCTTCTTGCTTTACCACCTTTGCATTTGGCTAGATAATCTCTTGTAAAAAAGAAAAATAAAGCTTTTTTTTAAGATCTTTTTGATTTTTTTTTAATCTTTCAATGGCTGACGGTAACGGTTTTTGCTTCTATCATGAGCACCTTTTGTATAACAAGACTTTTTGTTTTGCTTTTTTTTTTTTTTTTTTTTTGAGACAGAGTCTCACTCTGTGGCCCAGGCTGGAGTGCAGTGGCGTGATCTCGGCTCACTGCAACTTCCGCCTCCCAGGTTCAAGTGATTCTCCTGCCTCAGCCTCCTGAGTATCTGGGATTACAGGTGTGCACCACCACATCCAGCTAATTTTTGTATTTTTAGTAGAGATGGGGTTTCGCCATGCTGGCCAGGCTGGTCTCGAACTCCTGACCTCAGGTGATCCACCCGCCTCGGCCTCCCAAAATGCTGAGATTACAGGCTTGAGCCACCACGCCCAGCCGTCTAACAAGATTCTTCTTTCCACATGTTTGCTAGATGTAAGAACTAAGCTCATATCCTTTGCTTATTCCTATTTAGCATTAAATTATTAGCAAGTATTTCAGTTTATCTTCTATCTCAGAAGACTAATTGAATAAGTACATATGTAAATTATAAACAGATACGTTTTTGTGGCTGCATCTTATTGTGCTTTGTTGATTTAGTGCAATGTAAGATGAGATTTATATAGGGAGTTAATGATATGGTATTGCACTCAACTTTAAATATTTAAGCACTCTCTCTGCACTTATCAGTAGTCACTTGATTTCTAATGCTGTTTAGATCATATAGACTTTTAATAAAAAATTTTAACTTATCAAATGTTAAATATAGAGATGCCATTTTTATAAATATTTTTTGTTTTTTTTCTTTGAAAGAAAGGGAGCATAAAGCCATAATAGTAAAGATTTTTTCTAACTGATTAGAAGAATATTGAAAAGGTTCTAAATCCAAAAATCAGTCAAAAATTACCCCCAATACGATCTGAAATTTCAGAAATTCAGTTGACTTCTAGTGTTCTGGAGAGGTGACTTTACATACCATCTTCACTGGGCATCTGTCATAAAATGTGTCATAGCACAGTACTCATCTATACTCAATATCATAAAAGAAAAACGATTCTTCAAAATAATTTTCCCTTAACACATGAAATAGGTTGCAGTTATGCCTATTTGGATTCTTTTTGGCTGGTTAATGATGTCTAGTTGGTAGTTTTCTTTTGCATTTCTTGACTCCTGAAAATAACTGAATAAAATTAATTGTAACAGATGCATTAATACTGAACTGAGAAAAATACAAGTTCACTTGTTCTTTTAGTCTCAGATTAAATTTCTTCATTGATAGAATCATAGCATGTTTACCTAGAGAATTTAGGAGATTCCTCAGGTGTGATATTTAATTTTATAAATAACCGAGACCCTGAGAGTGTTTTATCTTAAGTCACTGGGCAGTTAGTAAGTGGACTTCTCCCTGTACTTTGCTGCCTCTCTGGTTAAATATTTTCTCATCTCTTTGGACTCTGATAAATAGATTTCACCAGATGATGGTGATAGCCCAGGAGAGAAAACCTGGAGGAGCTTTATCAAGAGCCCAACAAACTCACCCTCACTCCGTCTCTGACTATAAGCTTTTCATAAAACCTGGCCATTTCCTGTCTCCCCATGATTTGGGCTCTGTGGGCTGTACCATGTGTGTTTAACTGGTTAATCTTTTAAAAATTCACTCAACACACTTTTATTTATTTGAAGCTCTACCATGCACTTTTAATAAAGGGAAAACATATGCAAAAGCTATCTACAATATTTATTAGAATAAAATGAAATTTAAGTGGACTTTCAGATTGTAGGAGGAAAGGGACTTGATTCTAATAGAGAAAAAATAGGCGTAGAGGAAAAGGCGCTCATCTACACCTTAAACTTGAGGAAACATTTGAAGATTGAATCTAAACAGGCATACCAAGAAAACCACATTCAAAAAGTGTGAGAGGTTCAAATGGAGGGAACAGGAAATGGCACGGATTACGGTTTGGTTGAGATGGTTTCATGAAGTATCATATGAAAGGTTGTGGTCTCATTGATCTATTGATCTCATGTATATTCCAGCCCTTTCTGCTACCTATGGGGCAAATAATTCAGCTACTTGTCAATTTTGAGATACGTGGGCTTATTTCAGATTATGAGTATTTGCTTTAGGGATTACAACAGTTGTAGTTCATGTTCTTCCTAACTTATCAGGCAGCCTGTATGTTGTGTGTTTAGAACAGGCAGAAGTCTGGATGTCATGAGTTAATGTTGAAAATACCTTTAGCTGTAAAATAACACAAGGCAATCTGTCCATGAAAATATAAACTTCACTACTGAGAGATACCTTAGTGCTGGAACCAGGCATTTTATTAAAGCAAGCAATAGAAAGGCAGTATTTTGGTCACAATCTTGTAACATTGGTAGTATCACATACTTGTTTTTGAATGAAGAAATTGTATCTGTAGAATTCGCCTGTCATAAAATTATAAAACCCAAAGACTCTCTGAAGAAGAAATACTCATTTTAGAAATACACACACGCACGCACACACACACACACACACACACACACTTTTTTTTTCTTTTTTTCTTTTTTCTAGAACCCAAGTCACAGAGTATCATTAATTATGGCTTGTGGTTCACAGCTTACTGACACCTTGGTCCATACATGGCTCTCTTTGGTTATATTTGCTTAAATATTTATTAAATATAATTAACACCTCTAATGTACCATGCAATACAAGATTTCAAATATTTCTAAAAATGTGCATTTACTTTTGTACTTCTTCCATATCTTGTCCTTGTCCTTGGTCTGACCCAGAAGCAATTTGTTCCGGAAATTAATGCTTATCATTCCTTGTTTTTCTTCAGTATTTTCTATTACACACATACAAATGCTTAACAAATATGTTGTGCATTTTTGCTTATTTTTTAACTTCTTAAAAGGAGTATAATTTTGTATAAACGTCTTAATGTAAGATTATTTTGTCAGATACTTAACTATACTTTGAAAAAAAAGAGATAAGAGCCTGAGGGAATAATAATAAAAGCCCATTCAGCAAACATTTGTGGAATAGTTACCATTTCCAGATGCTGGAGATACAAATAAGATATGTTCCTTTCTTTGAAAAATTTGTGACTTTGAGAAATGAGTATTAACAGATAATTGTGATAGCATATAAAAAGTACTATACAAACATGTTTGTAAACCAGTATGACTATATGAGAGAAGTGGGATATTTCTTAAGTCCTTAAGGATGTTAAGGGTATTACTATAATAAGAGATATATTTCAGGTTGAGGGACACAACTGTGTAATGCTACTGAGGTGGATTACAACAGATGTCAAAAGATCGAGAAATTATAGACTTAAAGCAGAAGGAATTAAGGCTGATAGATTAGGAGTAGTGATGAAGTAATGGGGGGATTATACGGAATTTTAGAAGTTATATCAATACTATCTACACTGTAGATACTATTGATTCTATAGGATTGGTGATTGTTAGAAAAAGAAATGAAAAAGCCAAGTCAAAGCCAAGGATGACATAGACTCTTACATTGTATAGCTGAATAAATTACAATGCACCAGAGGAGAGTAAGAGGAATGAGTAAGATAAATAAAACTTTTTTTCCATATTTAACAATATTTGTTTTACATAATTACAAAAGACATATGTTTTCATTGTGGAATATTTTAATAGGTATGCAGCAGTACAATCTGTCAGTATTTATGCAATTTTAATGTGCATGTACCTCATGATGTGTGAACCTGTGTGTGTGTGTGTGTGTGTGTGTGTGTTTGTGTGTGTATTCCCCAAATTCTCATAGAAGTGGGAGTATTCAAGGACATTCAAGGCAGCATTATTTGTGGTGTCAAGGAAGGAGTGGGAGGCAGCCTGAGTATCCGTAACATGAATCAGTAAATAGGGTATGTATATAATGAAACTTTAAGCAACAAATAAGAAAAGTGCTTTTATGTTAGATGAGTCTTGTGTTGCATCTTGGTGTTCTTTATTCTTATCACAAAACTGGCCAGATGTGATTGAATTGTCTAATCCATGACTTTCGCTCATGTGGAGTCACTGTACTCTGAAATCTCATTACTGCAGAGTTTCTCTGCCATGTGATGTTAGGTGTAGCATGGGTGTAATTTGTCTGGAAACTTCAATGACTACTACACTGGGTCCTGGCCTTGCACTCATACCCTTTTTAATAATCCAAACAGTTCACATGCAACAATCTGCCTTTTTTTCTGAGGCCCACATCAGATGCCTGGTGTCTGGTTCTCATAAAATTATCCTGACATTCACAAAGCAAATGTCCTTTGAGCTTTGACTGCAGGGTGAGGTGACCCACCAGATGTGGTATTCTGGTGTGGTTTGAAGGAAGCAGACGATGTTTACATTAACCTTTTCAGGCCCTTTCCCATGTGGGGTTAGCAGCATGGCAGTTAAATAAAGATGCTTAGTCATCCAGAATCCTGTAAGCACTTGACACCATGTCAAGTAATCTACTCTACCCCAAATGATTTGGCAGTCCCATATATGGTGGAGAAGCAGCTGGTAATAAGAATCCAGTGCTATTTGAGTACCTATCTGCGTCAGGACATTACTCTGACTATTTTCTTTTCCCTTTGGTAATATGCTTTTACCAAACCTCATTATGAGGAGACTGGCCACTAATAGGAGAGGGATGAAAATTTCATCCTGACTTTATGAATTTCTGGACTGCAAATAGATTCCTCAATTATCTTATCTATTTCTTGGACTGTGATCTCGTAGATAGAGCATTACAGACAGGGTGGATTAGTAAACAGTGTTCCTTCAAATTGTTAAATAGTTCACCAAGGACATTTTTCACTAACAGGAGAACTCCCTATTGGCCTACTTTATGCTTTACTGTAAGTGATAAACTATTAGAATCTGGCAATACTGGTAGCTTATTCCAAGAAAGGATAAAGATACTTTTGGAAATGACTATATTTAAACCTTATATGCATTTATTTTTCTAAGAAATGAAAACCAAATTTAAACACCTGCCTTTTCTTGGGTAAGCTCCTGTCTTAACTTAAAATAGCATGTGGTTTTCTTGAAACTTGTTATTTTTCTCCTTTCCCTTCTAATTTATGAAACAAGAACATAGCAGTAGATTTAAATGTTCCAATAGCTTCAAGGCAGCACAAATATCATTTTACAAAGGCGAAATTTGTCATAGTGCTCAAGTAATAGAAAAAAAACATTGTGACTATTTCCCTTTGTAAGCACTTGTGACAGCTAAAAAGTAATTATTCCTATTAATAAGCGATTTAACGTGTCCCAACATGTGTCCAGGCCTGCAAATATTATGTCAATAAACAGCTAATCAGTTTAATGTGCTGTAGGCAGGGACTAGTAGCGCATACAAATGTAAAGATTACAAGGAACAGAGTCTTTATCTCATCTACTGTGGGTTTTTCCCAGTGGTAACACACTTGGAGACATCCCTATGTGAATTCTCTTTCATTTGTACCTGTCCAAAATGTCTGTTCTCAAGTTTATTCTTATCAGCAGGCTATTTTGAAGCCATTTTTATTCCACTCTAATCTTCCCAGTGTATCTTGCTGCCTCGGCAGTGTCTTACTTTGATTAGGGTGTATACTCCACCACCCTTGACAGGAAGACTGAGAGTGTGGGAAAGAAGGAAGATGGGGTGGAGGAGGAACAGGGTAGAGAATTGAAATAGATTTTCTCTGTCTTGTTCTTGGGTTGAAAAAGAAATGCTCACAAGTTACTACAGTTAAAAGATTTCTTTATGAAGCTAGTATTTAGGAACACAACTATGTTGAATATATATGTGTATGCTTTTGAGTCTGTGTATGTATATATGAGTATCTACAGTCATCAGTATGTTACATGTTAATCTGATCATGGAAAACTTTTCAGATTATAATATTGGCATTAAATGTGAATGAGAAGACTAAAAAAAAGCACAAATGCTAGATAACTCCAGAAGCTCTAGTGTCTTATGTAGGTACAATGATAATGATTAAAGATAACTATTATTTATCCAGTATTTACACTATGCCACTTGCTTTATAGAACCTCTTTAACAGTACTCCCAATATTCCTCTGAGAAAAGTATTGCTGTTGCAATGATAATGATTAAAGATAACTATTATTTATCCAATATTTACACTATGCCACCTGCTTTATAGAACCTCTTTAACAGTACTCCCAATATTCCTCTGAGAAAAGTATTGCTGTTGCATCTATGTTAGATTATTGAAGTACAGCAATAAATAAAGAATTTTGTTTTCTTGAACCTACTTCTTTTCTTTTCTCCTCCAGCATAAACTCCAACCCCTGGAAAAAAACAAAACAAAACAAAACAAAACTTCTTTGTTGATAGAAGCAAGAGACAAAGGCATGAGTTTCCTAGTTAGGCTCTGAGATGTGGCCCACAGCACCAACACAATAGTTACCCTTGTAGGCACTCTACACTGAAGAAATTGAACATATTTGAAGTATTCTCTGGCAGGGCACTCCAAGGCTGAACATCCCTGCAGGACAGTGCATTGACTCGGCTGGGAACAGAGTCCTATGGCAGAACTCGTAGATTGAGTAAGAGTATTCAGAGAGAGAAGGGACCACACAGCACCCATCTGTAAGAACTCTTCATGGCTGAAGTGAGATTGAAGGGGAAAGGTGGAAGCCTCTTTTGCAATATCCTCTGGTCTTCAGATGGTTTTATAATTCTCTAGGAGTAAAGCTATTTTCTTTTAAAACACAGATTGTTTCTGCAAGCCTTTCTAGATGCGGCTAGCAAAAGTTAGCTGTTTGTTATAGAAGGAAGTGAAACAGCTTAGTTACTATCCCACTACCATGACCAGTTTCTAATTTGAATTCAGGTTTGTCTGACTCCAAAATCTATACTTTTAAAGCCATGTGACACTGTTTAAAGAGTATTAAGGGACAACTTATATCTCTATTGATATCTGCTATCATGAGCCTTAATATGGCCTGGCATATAATAGTTAACTAATACTTCTAAAAATAAGGAAGTCTCATGCATACTAGAGAAGCACTTTTAATCTTTTTCAATTTCTTAAAATCTATTATGATTTATTCAGCCAGGAAATGGGTAAATTATTTCTGTCTATAAAGCCATAACTAAGTAAATGTCATGGCAGAGAAAAAAATTGGTTAAACGTGTATTTCTTATAAATAAAAGCATTCTGAAGAAATCTATTTTCAATATTAAATGTACATAGATATCTATAATGTAAAGGTAAAATATTATTATTATTGTTATTGAGACAGAGTTTCGTTCTCTTGCCCAGGCTGGAGTGCAGTGGCGTGATCTTAGCTCACTGCAAGCTCCACTTCCCAGGTTCACGCCATTCTCCTGCCTCAGCCTCCCGAGTAGCTGGGACTACAGGCGCCCGCCACCATGCCCGGCTAATTTTTTGTATTTTTAGTAGAGACGGGGTTTCACCGTGTTAGCCAGGATGGTCTCGATCTCCTGACCTTGTGATCTACCCGCCTCGGCCTCCCAAAGTGCTGGGATTATAGGCGTGAGCCACCGCGCCCAGCCATGTAAAGGTAAATTATTAATAAAAATAAATGTATAGATAGATTGGGGAGATAATGATAAATGGAATACAATTGCAATCCTTAGCAAAGAAGTAGAATCTCAAGGGTCTTCCTGCAGAGTAGGTATAGATATTTGTACTGCATCTACCTGGCTAAACAGATGGCTTTTGTCTGTTTAAAGTGAATTTAAAAAATAAATGTACTTATATTTTCAACCTGAGAATTACATTTGCTTTAGAAGTGATTGTTGGAAGTACTCATCTTTTATAGATTTATCCCAAGAGGGTCTTGAAAGTTTTCCCATTGCTGGTTTTCACTACATGCTTCCAATCTTTCACAAAAATCAAAACCTCAACTACACTTAAACTTCCATTTCCACCTTTGCTCAAATTGAACAAAAAGTATAGCTATATTATGAAAATTACTCTGAGAAAGTAGACTGAATATTCAGAATTGTTGTTTTGGGTAGATGGCAAGTAATCCTTTACTGTTTGAAGTTTAGGTCATCTCAATCTCTTGCACAATGCCATGGTCAGAGTAGGTGCTCCAAAAATGTTGCGTTGCATTGAAGCTATGAATGTGGAACCCACAAACAAATAATTTATGGAAAGAAAATCAGACAACTCACGTTCCTATGATAAATCCAGCTAATGAGTCACAACTTAATTTGTGGATGACGGTCTGGAATACTATTAGTACGAATTTCGGTACAGTTCTACCTAAGTCATTTGGACAAAATTAAGTCAATCTAATTCAATGAGTGTAGTTGAATGAATATACTTCAACTTTGAGAAACAAATGTTCCTATATGTAAATATAAGTAAGTATACATACCTATATGAAATGAGAGACACACACTTAGTCATCTAATAGAGCATCTGGGAGAGTTGCAGTATCCTCAGAAATGAAGATTGTTTATAAGCTAAATTGAGCAGCAGGAAGAGACATCTTTTTCACTTGCTGAAACAGCAATATAAAAAGGTATACTCCTGCTTGGGGAGGTCGGGAGGGGGAGCAATTGTTAATCTGAAGTCAAGCGTGGGGCTTTCAGGAGACCCAGACTACAAATCCCCATTCCTGTAAGGGATGAGAATGAGAGAAACTTAACAAGGCTTTCCTCCCTCTGTGTTCCAGATGAATGCCAGCTATGCATCTCTGCCCTGCAATTTTCTTTTCCTAGTTGTCATTGTTTTGTTTTAGAATACAGATGGCCAAAATGAGCTCCATTCAGGGAATAAAGGTATTATAAGAATATGTGAGAGATGATTTCTTTTTGGGGTTGGCTGTGTAGCTCCTGGGGGGCAAGTGATAAAATTAGAAATTTCTGTACTTGATTTTATTCTGAAGGAGTACTTTTGAAACAGGGCTTGGCAGCTATTTTTTTTTTACCTTATAAATGCTTGCACACACACACACACACACACACACACACACGTGGATGATATGTTCTTTTCCCCAATTGTTTCATTATTGACATTTGCAGATATTATTTGTATGACTTTGGTTACAGCTCCAGTTAGGTCTCTATTGCTAGAAGTGACCTTGCTTATTGCAATAGTTTAGGCACTTAAAGCGCACACATATTCTCTAAGTATGCTAAGATCACAATACCCAGGGCATTGACAAAGGAGTATTTAATACCAGCCAAGACTGAAGTAAAATGACTGTTTTCAAATAGGGCTGATTGAATGAAAAGCAAAGATCATTTTCAAGCTAAAGTATGAACTGTGTGACTAGTAACAATCAATTATCTCTTCAAGAACTCATTATAGCTTTATAATTATTCATAATTCATACAGCTCTCATGTAATAGCACTTTTGGTGCCACATACAGATATTAGCATACTTTATGGAGAATACAAAAATTACAGATTTGGTGCAATATATTATAATTTATACGTCTTCTGTTTTTCATGATTTTGTTTAGAAAATGCTAACGTAATTTACTATTGTCTAGTTACTTTAAATGCATTGTTTCATATCATTCTCTAGCCAGTGAAACTGAAGATGAATAATAATTTGTCTTTCAGTCCAGAATGCAAGCCACTGATGGCAGAGACCACAATTAAATCTGCCATAATGCTTTATATAATTTGGTTGCTCAAATGTTTTTATTGAATTGAATATTTGTTTGTCTTGTCCAAATCAGAAAAAAGACACTTTTACTTCAAAAGCATAATTATCTGCAAGTTCATTCACAAAACCTATATTGGAATTAATATATTATAATTGTAATATGTGACTTAGCAATATTTCTATTTATATCTGGAATTCTGCTAATATTTAAGCATAGACATTTAAGTGATAAATTGATTGACATTTAAATAGAAAAAAGTACCTTGCACTGAAAGCAAAGGGGATGTTTAAGTTCAACAGTGTTGCTCTTGTTTAAGCAACAGTCCTTGATTAACTAGTAAAAATATTATTTATGCTAGATTAAAAGAATTGGGGCTATTTTGCTAATTAAGTGCTTAAATTTGTGAAATTTATTCAGCTATAGTTTACAGATATCTTAATTTCAAGGAGCTACACTGTTGGTTAATACCAAATATTTTAATATTTGTTTTGTACATTCTCAATATATGCACTTCATATGACCTCAAAGGCTTTGAGTGTCTGTATCAACTTGCAAATAATCATCCAACAATATTGATACTACATCAAGGAGTGGAAATACTAGTGATAGAGACAGAAGACAGCCAAGGGTCCCCAGCGAAACCCCATCATGGAGCCTAAAACACCCTGAAGGCTGAAAAACCAGACTGCTGGTCTGGATGAAGCCCACCTTTTCCCGATTGACTGTCTCTGAATAATGCCCACTGTGCACTGGGGGAAGGGGGTGGAGCCAGGGGAAGTGCACTCTGTTCGCAGTGGGGAGGAGCCTGGCTCTCTTCAGGTCCTGTGTGGTGGTCTGGGATTCAATCTGTAAGGTGGAGGCCTGCTAGCAGGACTCTCTCTCACTTTGCTGAGAGTTCCTCTTTCCTTTTTAACTTTCCATCCAATTAACCCTGCCCTACTCACCCTACAATGTGTCCGCGTGCCTAAAAACCCGGCCATGTAACGAGAACTCGGTTTTTTCCACATCACTAAGGAGAGGAAAAACTAAATTCTCCAGGGCCTTTATTTCCATCTTATTTTTCTCCTTATAAAGAGAGTCAAGTGACATTTTTATAGAGC
The DNA here is from genome assembly GCF_000001405.40 of Homo sapiens. Taxonomy (NCBI): domain Eukaryota; kingdom Metazoa; phylum Chordata; class Mammalia; order Primates; family Hominidae; genus Homo; species Homo sapiens. Next base: position 106,856,695 of record NC_000005.10, on the reverse strand, counting down.
TAAATACGAATATTCTTTTGGAAGAAATATGTTTTCTATTCCTCTATGTCTTCCAGAGAGAGTAACCAGGATGGTGCTCACCCTTCTGAGAGTGTTGGCTACTCTCACTTTCATACCACATATTGATTTCTATTGAAACATATTCCCTGCTTAGGGAACAGACTCTGATGTCCCATCTCTATACTTTTCTTGATAACAGTGTTTGTGCAGCATGTTGGTAATTAGAATTATTTGCCCTCACAGTCATACTCTTTATTTCTGTAGAGACATTCATTAGGATATTGATGTGAAAAAAATATGAAAGGGACAATACCAACTTCTGAAGAATTCTAGTTCATCTTATGCCAAGTAACAAAGCTTTGAAAACCCATTCAGATACTTATTTAAAAAAATCTTATTTTGAAATTTAATCGATAAAATTAGGTTTTGATCTACTAAATTTAAATAAAATGGATCTAAAATTTTATGCAAATGTGGAAATGATTTTTCAGGCTTGTGATTTTAAATTGGTGTTAATTTGATAAGTTTTAAGGACATTTAGCATAAAGTAATGCCTTTCTAAAAAGTTCTAGGAACATGTGCCTTGGGAACACGTATAATCAGGAAACAAAGTGATCCTGGAAGATTCAGGTAGTATCCATAACAATAATGTGAAACAGACATGCTCCTCAGATGTGTGACCTTGGTCCTCTCCATCAGTCTCTCTGGAGCTTCTTTTCGTTCATCTGTGAAATCAAGGGGTTGAACTAGAAGATTTTAAAGTCACTTCCAACATTCATGGTATGTATTTCCTTTTGTGAATTTTCCACTTATAGAGGCTGACCGAGGTCATACTCAGAAGACAGGCACTTCTATATGTAGTAGATCTCAAAACATGCTCTTCCACCTCTACAACATTTCCTGCAGAGCCCAAAGGAAAAACTAACCGATGGTTGGGTTTTTTTTTCTTTTTTTGATATTTCAACCCATGCATTTAGTTCTGGCATATTGATAGTTAATTGTAATTTATCAAAGACAAATTATTTCACTTGCTGTAACTGAGTCCTGAGTCACACATAAATTGCTCTGGAACATTTAGTTAAAATGTGCTCAGAGAAGCATCATATAAAAGTTATTTAAAGTCAATATTATAATCCAGAAGAGAAAATCAACTTTTTGGAGTATTTGTCTTTAAACCTATATTTACTTTTGGGGAATAAATAAAATTTAATCCACTAGAATTAGGCTAGTTTAGGTTCAATAAGACCAACAAAAAGATTTTCTGAGTGAAAGAGAGGAAAACACACACACACACACACAAATCTATTATGTCTTCACCATTTAACCTGATATACAATATCGATGCAAGATTTTTTGCTCCTTAGCTCAGTTAAATCCGGGTTTTTGTCTCACAACAAGGAAAAATTAGGCACATGGACACATTCAAGGGTGAGGAGGGTAGAATTTATTAAGCGAAAGGAAAGCTCTCAGCAAAGAGAGGGATTCTGCAAGCAGGTTTCCCCCTCACAATAGAGTACCAGGACTTCCATGCATGAGCTGAAGAGGCCCAGCTCCTCCCTTGCATAAGGTGTGAATTCCTGTTGGCTCCACCCTGTCCTTCCAGTGTGCATGTGGGCCCTTAGTCTGAGCCACTCCACATTGATTTATTTCCCTTATTGCACATGTATTAAGAGATGGCAGTTTTCACTATGGGCATGTTTAGGCAAGCCCCCTGTGCACAATGACCTAGGCAGGTCGGAGCTTCTGTGGGGACCCTCCCCTGTTTGCCTAGGAGAGTTCTCTGCCTCCTGCCTCTATCAATATAATTTGATGTACCATATTCCAGTTAGCTTAAATATGGCCTGTTAAATATATTTACATTGGCTTTATAATCTTCAGACAAATAAAAACAACACATGCAAATGTTCGGGTTCTTAGAAACAAATGAGGACATTTCAAAGTTGAAATATTTAAGTTCATTTATATTCAACATTTTTGTGAATGCTCAGAAAAAGATAATAAGCAACACATTTTTATTTGTGGATGGTACTAACTTGGATGATGTTGCATACACAGGGGAGGACAGGGAAATAATTTTAATAAAGAAGCTAGAGGCATTAGAAGTGTGGTAAGGAAATAAAACCAAGATTTAAGTTGTAAAAATGCAAATCATTACACAAGGGGAGGAAATAACCTAATGCAGGTACTCAGAGGGTGGGACAGACACAAGAAAACAGTTTGAGGCAAAATAAATCTCTGGGTGATAGTGCAGAGCAAATGAAATATGAACCAGCAATGTTAATGGGCAGAAAATGTTCCCTTGCACTTTTGAACCACAAAGAGGCATTGTGGCACAGAAAGATGAAGGGCATGACACCTAAACATTGGATTTAGCTTCTGCAACATACCAAAAAAATAAGCATGAATGCACAGTTGGACACACAGCTGTTTGCGGATCCCATTGCTAGGGAGCTGCCACAATAGAGTGAATTTCTGTTACATGTCTATTCTGTGGATTCCTTCTAAATTAATATAGCATAAAGGAATAGAGTAAGAAATGGTGACTGCCTCTAAGAGAAACATCTAAATCCTAGGAATTAAAGAAAAATTCCACACACATTGCAGTTGAGCTTCATTCTTATTAAACACAACTCATCCTTCATAAAAACTCAGGCAACAGAAACAAGCACTTCTAATACACCAACAGAATTTAAAAAATCTAAGCAAGCAAGTTGCTCTTAGGCTTTTAGTCATATAGCACATAGTAACAACTGAGGTTATTTTTGTAGAATAAATGAATTAATTAGTAAATATGAGGTAGGAATTTTTATATCAATTTCACAGGTGAGAAAAATTGAGGAAACACAAAAGTTAATGAACATTCCTAACCATACCCAGACAATAAGTTGTAAAGCCAAAATTTAAACACAAGTATGCCTAGTGCCAAAGTCTATGATTTTCCCATTATTGAACTAGTTCATTGACTCTGTAGCTGACCCAGTGGCTGTGAAGCCTGTAAAGCAAACTTGTGTCTCCTTATCTGCTTGCAGAGACTTTCTTTGGGTTTCTATTTTACAAAGCCTTTCACCTGGCTTTTCAATGGCTTTGATCAGCTACTGTTAAGCATATAATGTAAAGAATATCCAGAATTGTTTCCAAATTCACATACATAATATTTAGAAACCATGGACATAGTAGATTTCACAAGTGAAAACGCTCATGTAAACAAATTACGATGTCAAGACACGCGACTATTATACAAGCATTACTCATAACTTATTTCTAAATGTGGAGCCAGTGATCACAGTGCCATTAAAAAGAATCACTAGTGAAATAAATTTGCAAAGATTGCTTACATTTATCAGGGCCATAGGACCAAAAAATACTCAGTTGTTTAATAAAATTGATTTTGTTCCATTCCCAATTTTTTTATGCTGACAAATAATTTGGTATTTGAGTGTAGTTATTTAGGAGGGCATGATACGACTGTCTGGAGATGTAAAGGTATGTAGGGAATTGAATGAACTTATCTTGCCAAATAGTACAGCATAGATACTTTCATTAGACAGAATGACTGTTAAATGGATGTGATCCAAAATGAGGAATGTTCTATGGACTTACTAATTCTAGAGATCAGTTAACTTAGGGAAGATAAAAATATAAATATGTCGATATTCCAGAAAGGAACTTGCAAATGATTACACATACGGCTGATTGGCTTAAGACTTCATTTTTCACCCTTCGTAATTTGTTCTGTCTGTCAAAAGGTAACACTTTGGAAGATTATCAATTATTTATAATCTGATGGGCTCAATCATATGAAGCCACTTTAACAAACTACGCCAAAATTTTGCCTAATGTAACAAATATGATTATGATTTAAAACATTGATGCCACAAGCAAGAAATAAAAATTAGCCTATGCAAAAGTGATTTTCCAAAGTTGTATTTAGTATTACCTTTCCTTCAGAAAAATGTGAGAGAAAATGTCAAACATATTTATGTAATGCAAGTAATTTTAAAGAATCAGTGAGAAAATCTTCACCTTTGATATGGCAACTTTAAAGAGGTCTATGAAAAATAACAATCTTGGGGCTATGGACCAATGCGATCATGTTTCCACTTTTGATTCCTGATTTTGATGCACAGTTATTTAGAAATTATTGAGATACGGTCACAGAGAGGCTGTTGAATGGCTCACCCTGCTTTTATTGATGATTTTTTTGTGAGAACATATTTAACTCAAGGCAGTTCCTGAACAAGCAGCTGAAGTTGGAGGCAAACGGCAGTCAAGCTAGGGTCCCAGAGGTATCCCTACATTACACCCATCACCAGCAAATCCATTGAAAAGGAAGTCACCTGGAAGATCAGAGTATTGTATCTTGTTAACAAGATTGGCAGAGTGGCAGCCATTTTTCCTTCATTGTCCATTGAATTCCAATATTCTGACTTTGCAGCCTGAGCTTGTGATTCCTAAGTATGCAAGTATAAACTGCATACATATTATAATATGTAATATTATACATATTAACCTATGTATAAGCTGTAAGAAAATATGTTAATATTATTCTTTATATTTCAGAGATGTGGAGTATTAAACATGTATAGGATGGTCAGAAACGGGGAAAGGGTTACAGGAGAAGTGATAAAAGGTGATTCTAATTGTTTGAAAAAGGCTAAGACCTGCTCACTGGGACTCAGGCACAGAGTGAGATAAGCTGGGGGTGCATCTTGATTCTGAATGATAGAAGGTGGAGCTTGAAATCTGCAAGCCACATAAAAAACTAGGGTTTTTGCTATCTAGTGTTAAACATTTTACTAGAGTTATCTAATGTTAAACATTTGCTATCTAATGTTAAACATTTCACTAGAGCCTCAGGGCAAGGCTGTGACTAAACCAAAGAGTGAAGGGCCCTCCCGACACTGAAAAGAGATTGAAGGGCAGAAGAAACACCAGGCAGAACTTGGAAATCTATAAGAAAGTGAAACTTTAGTCCTTAATCTATTAAATACATGCTGGGATCTCTCCTATCCAATTGTATTGCAGCAAACTGTATAGGAGTCAATGGGCAGATACATCTGGAAAGGTGCCAAAGTGCTCACTGCTGAAAAAAGTGCAAAAGGAGCACAGGGATTATCTGGGATGTGAACTTTGAAGTGTTAATACAGTCTGAGGTTGGTGAAAACCTAAACTAAAATGCTGAATCTTTACAAATTGTTAGCTGCATACATAATACATACAAATTGGCAGGAACGAGGTATTAGACTTCCTAAAGTATCTGCAATTATCCTGGGCCTTCAGTATTGCAATTTGTAAACTTTTGAGAGTAGCACAACAATATAAACACATTAAATATTATTGGTATTAATGAAAAATTCAGTTTCCTATAATAAGTAAATGGTTGCACAGCTTTTAAAACAGAAGTCTTGACATTGGAGTCAGTTCAGCAATACATGTGTGTAAGAGTGTGTGTGAGCACACGTGTGTTGTTGTTGCTGTTATTATATTTGTAAGGATAGACTCTTTGCCCTATACTTCTGGAGACTCTGATTCCATAGGGATAAACTGTGACTTAGCCATATGAGGTTTTTAAAAATATATATCTGTAAGTGTTATTGATACAGAGGCAGGTTTTTTAATTACAGCTTAAAAGTAGATCATAAAAGTTAGAAGTTTAACTATGACCTTTAGAGAAAAATTGGTCCAAATTATAATTCTACACATGGTAGCCAATTAGTTAAGTTACTCAGTGTTAGATTCCTTTGTATTAAAATTGGGATGTTGATAGAACCTACTTAATAGGGTGATTGTAAGGATAAATAGAGAAAAGATATGCAAAGTACAACCCACTTGCTGGTGCAACAAGTGCATTTAATAAATATTATAATGGACTGCTAAGGTGTAACTCTTCAAAAAGAATGGCCAATCTCTAATTATTAAATGGGAACTGATGGAAAATAGAAATCATGTAGCATCAATCTTCTAAAGCAAAGTTTATCATTTGTCAATATTTTAGTATTGAAATAAATTTTTCAAAATAACATATTTTAAAATAAAATATACAAAAAAGTAATAAATGATCCAAGTACTCTTGGAACTGTTATGATTGTTAATCTGTTGAAATTCAAATTGAATACAAAAGTTGAAAATGGTATCTAGATGGGGTTCTGCTCTGATGAGCTAGTTACATTTGGGCCAATTAGTATATTACATATGGCCCTGTTTTTATAACCCTCCTATTCAACAAGCACCTGCCGTACTAGCAACAACAACAGTAAAACTGCTTTAGTTTTTGGCTTTTTATCTCCAAAGTTCATTCACTTATTTAGGGGGAGGGTGTGATAAGAAATCATGCTATAATTTTTATCAACATTTCATACGCTTCCGAATTACAGATAATAGTGTGTAAAGTTTGATGTGTATTTATTAACTGCAAAAGTTAGTCCAAATTCTTATTTATGATTACTTTCTTGATCAGTCAGTAATTAAGAATGGTGTGTCAAGATTTCTTATTGCAACGTTTCTATCAATTTCTTCTATTTTTAGTACTATTAAGTACTTTCAAAGCAAGAAAGATGTATGATTATTCGTATTTACAGTTTAGATTTGGTTCTTCATCAATAAATTTACTCTCTGTTCCATGTAATGTTACATCGTTGACAAAATTTGGAAAAATTTCAAACTAATACCATATACTTTAAAATGTTGGTCAAATACAATAAAATTGGGGCAAAATCAGAAAAAGATACTGGAATAAATATTCACAACTCCACCTTTTGAGAGAGTATATTATGTGAAGAAAATATGTAGAAATAATTCTGACAAAATCACCTTAAAAATTTCTCATCCTCCAATTTAGCAAAAATCAGTGGAACTGGAGATACGTGTCATGAGAAATGTGGGAAATCCCTACCAAGCTCAGATGGATGGTCTCATGAAGGGCACCCGGAAAAATTTCCTAGGGGCCATTGCAGATGAATGGTGACAAAAGGCAGCTGGGTGTTCACACCAAACACAAAGCCTGACAATCACAGAATTTCTCACTAACTCATCCTCTCATCAAATTAGCCAAATGACCCTTAAAAAAATGTCATCAACCAATGGGACAATTTACACCACCAATCTACTGACACAACCACAAAAGTGACAGTGGAACTTATTCAGAGAGAAACCTCACAGGAATGATACTTCTTGACGAAGACAGCCCGCGTTTCTAATTTCCTCCCTAGTACTTCAAAAGGTTAATGACTAACTAATGTAAAAGTCAATATTTAATATCCAAGCTCATGTTTTAAGCAGAACATTCAGAGAATGTTATGATAAACAGAAAGAGGAGCCAAGGAGAATCTACTATGATGTTTGTAGAGAAAATAGAAGGCTTAGAGAGAATGTATTTAAAAGTAAACAAGCAATAGTGATAACAAAACCAAACATACAAACTAATTAGATTTAAGTAGTTTGTATTAAAATAAATGATAAGTTAATTATGTCTTCAGAAGACAGATAACTAGCACACATTGGAATAAAATTGATTTTAGATACAGTTCACTCTCAAGGTAATTAAGCAGAATGAGAAAATATTGAGATAATTTACAGATCTATGAAATAAAATTTTGAAAAAATAACTGTGATACTTATAATAATATCATAAATAGTCACACAAATCAATAGAGGAAAGACTTGAGAAAAATACTGTTAACATAGTGGACAATTTATAGGTATAAAAATTACTGTGTGATTTGGGGTCTAAACAATTAAAAGACAACATACAAATTACTGGTTTTTATCAAGAAGAGAACATGGAAATAGAAAGAAATTAAAAGATGAACTAATATCTCCATCTCTGTATCTATCTGTCTGCCTATATATTTTTGGAAATAACTTAAGGTACAAATCTGGGGGATGGAAGGTGAAACATACAGCAAGAATATAAAATAAAAATTGAAAATCAGCTTCCATTCATAATAGTAACAAAAAAGATCACATACTTAAAAGTATATTAAACATAGAACAAAGTAGGCATATATGTCAGTAAAACCTTAAAATACTTCTGAGGACACAAAAGGAAATTTAAATATATGAAAAAGCATACTTTGTTTTTGGAAAAGAAGACCAAGCCAGGAAAGTACAAAATTTTCTCTGAGTCAGTCTAGACATTTAATACAATCCCAATAACTTATTGTGAAAGGTAAAAAAATGAAGAAAATTTGGGGAACATTCTTGAAAAAAATAAAAATTACAAATCAAACTAGTGTTAAAACATTCCATAAAATTAGTCATTTTAACAGTAAACACTGGTATATGAACATAGAAACAGTTTCCTTGAGGAGACTATTAGGGTCTATATGAATTAATTAAGATTTGACACATGACAGAAGTGGCAAGGTAATCATTGAGGGAAAAAGAAGTTATTCAATAAATGATATCGAGACACCTGAAAAGGCAAACATTTAAATCCTAGGAAAAATATTTGGAACTTTTAACATAAAAACAGCTTCCTTTTGTTAACATATAAAATGTTAGTAAAAAATAAGAATAAGGCCGGGCGTGGTGGCTCACACCTGTAATCCCAGCACTTTGGGAAGCCGAGGCAGGTGGATCATCTGACCAAGTCAGGAGTTTGAGACCAGCCTGGCCAACATGGTGAAACTCTGTCGAGAGAAAGAAAGAAAAGAAAGGAAGGAAGGAAGGAAGGAAAGAAGGAAAGAAGGAAAGAAAGAAAAAAATAAACTGATAACCTGTCAGAAAATGGGCAAATTATATGGCAAATATTTCAGAGAAAACAGCAGAGAAGTCATTTAAATACACTACAAGATACCCCACGTATAATCAGAGAAATAAAATACAAATTAAAACTATAATAAAATTCCATTTTCCAATTGTTAATTGGCAAAGATAAATAGGTTGAAAACACTGTGGTGGTAAAATTGTAGACAAACAGGAGGTGTCACATTTGCTGACTAGAACTCTTATTTTTTAAATAAAGCAAAGTTCAGAAATATATTTATAGTGTGCTACCATTTATATTAATTAAAAAACAGTATCTTTGCAAGGCTACGCAGAGTGATTGCTATTGGTAGAAGCAAAGAACCTGTAGAAAATAAAAAATCAAGTCGTCTTTAGACTTGGTAAAATTTAAATGTCAGAATATAAAATTGCCATGTCAATGGAGTTAAAAAGAGAAGGGTAAAAGTTACATACATATTCAAGCAAATGTAATGCATGGATGAAGGGAAATACATGCATCATGGGGAAAGCAATAAAAAGGGAAATAAACAGTAAATCTTGGGAAATATATTTGCAAATGAAATCCAACTAATCAAAAACAAATCTTAAAATATTCCATTAATTATAAAAAATTAGAATTAAAGGCTTAAAAATGGAGAACATTGAAGCTATCCATGTAAATATAAAGTTAAATCTAAATATTTAAGGTAAATGTAAGTTCCAAAATTGAAAATAGAAGTTATCAGTTGTATAATATAAACCATATTTATTGAATTTTCATAAATGTAGAAATTAGTGGACTTAAGTTTTTCATTATTTAGATGTCTATCATTTTTGCTAGTATGTTTTAGGGTTCTGACCCAGTCCTTTTTAGTTAAATTATTGTTACCTTCAGTTAATCTTTATTTTGGTAGTCGTAATGCTTACATTTTGCTTTACTATATTATCTGTCTTAGCTATTTAGAAAAATTTTTGTTTTAATAATTTTCTTATAATGACTTGTGTGCATGCATCATATGTTTCTCTTACTTTACCAGGGCATAAAATCTGGGATTACAATTTTTTTCTTTTAGAAATTGACAACTGCTTTGATGAGGTAGATGAACACTCAGATCACTAGCTAAACTGAAAGATCTAACATTTTAGATCAATGGGATGAGGGAAAAATGAAGTAAATGGTTTCTATTTTCTTTTTCTTTCTCTTTTTTATTTTTTTTGAGACAGAGTCTTCCTCTGTCGTCCCAGGCTGGAGTGCAGTGGTGCAATCCTGGCTCACTGCAACCTCCGCCTCCCAGGTTCAAGTGATTTTCCTGCCTCAGCATCCCGAGTAGCTGAGCCTACAGATGCGCCCCAACACATCTGGCTAATTTATGTATTTTTAGCAGAGATGGGGTTTCTCCATTTTGAGCCAGGCTGGTCTTGAACTCCTGACCTCAAGTGATCCACCTGCCTCAGCCTCCTAAGTGCTGGGATTACAGATGTGAGCCACTGTGCCCGGCCAATGGTTTCTATTTTCTATGACCCTCTTTTACCCCAGGCTTTTCCCATATACAAATAGATCAGTGTTGGTGATATTTCTCTTTTTATTATTTATTTTTGTAGAGACAGGGTCTTGCTATTTTGCCCAGGCTGGTCACAAACTTCTGCCCTCAAGTGATCCTCCTGGGTCAGCCTCCTAAAGGAGGCCTTAATTAAAGTTTGGAAATCAGATGAGGGCAACCATGTATTGGCCTATTATTCAGTATATGTCACCAGAAGTCAGAACATTAAAATTCATCCACAATGGGTATTAGCCAGATTTAAATGGCCCGTTAACCATATTTCAACATAATATTTTACTTATATAGATGGGGAGAACTTTAAAAATCTAGATTTATCTGTAGTGGTTTTTAAATGAATTTTTCTTTAATATGTGCACCATCCTTAAATATAGCTATCCTTAGAAATATACATGCGGCCGGGCGCAGTGGCTCACGCCTGTAATCCCAGCACTTTGGGAGGCCAAGGCGGGCGGATCACAAGGTCAGGAGATCGAGACCATCCTGGCTAACACAGTGAAACCCCGTCTCTACTAAAAATACAAAAAATTAGCCGGGCATGGTGGCAGGCGCCTGTAGTCCCAGCTACTCGGGAGGCTGAGGCAGGAGAATGGCGTGAACCCGGGAGGCGGAGCTTGCAGTGAGCTGAGATCGTGCCACTGCACTCCAGCCTGGGTGACAGCGTGAGACTCTGTCTCAAAAAAAAAAGAAAAAAAAAATATATATGTATGTATATATATATATATATTTATACATGCTCAAATATAACAATACTCAGTGACTTACCACTATATTATAATGTAAACAAAGTAAAATTATTAAGCTGATGTAGTGAAAATCTACACATGAAGAGTCATTATTCTTAAAAAATTCAAAGTATTTAAGGAGGAGGCACAGTTTTTCCATAGTTTAAATGTTTAGTTTTGCTTGAAAACCATAAAACATTTTGTTTTGTAATAAATTATTAATTAGAAGATTATGTTAGCTTTCCAGGCAAAAAGTTGAAGCCTCATTGTTAGCCTCAGCATCTTGATTTGGTAAAAATTGAAAATGAAGAGTCAAAACAATATTAGTGGATTGAGGTCATAAAAAATTAGCAAAAAGCTTTAATTTGTTGATGGAAATCATGCCATTGTTATCCAAATGCGAAAAGCTCCTAATAGCAAATGTAGTATCATTAGTGTTTTTTTTTTTTGGCCTTTTTTTTGGTTTGTTTTTCATCTCTTGGATTCTTGCTGTTCAGTAAGATCCAGTTTGTATTCATTCATTGTCTGCATTTTGGTTTATAGATATACAATTGTTCAGAAAAAGATGTGCTCAAAGTGCCTATAATTCATATCTTTTGCTAAATAGTCAAGAGAAAATCTTTCAATGTTGTTATTTCATTTTATGGTAAACAACAGAGATATCCCCCTTTTTATAATGATCTTACTGTGGATTATTTATATTATTTTGCTTTCTTTTGATAGTAAAATGTAGAACTATTATAAAATAAAGTTTTAATGTTTTTGATCATGCCTATTTGGCAGCAGTTTATAATAGCAAATTGAATATACTTAAAAGTATACTTACATGTACTACATATGGGTAATTTAAAGTATTTTCATGGCAATAGTATCAATGGTGAATTTATAGTTTCCTAATCTATGTAAATAATATTAGTAAATTACCGGAGATAATTACTTGTAAGTGGCTTAAAATATGTTTTTTATGTCAATAATCTATAAATTAAGAACCATAGATTTATTATATTTCTACTAACCTTCCATGAAGATTAATATATGTGACCAGTAGGTTGAATAAACCTGAGTCATGACATGAAATTTTTAATTGGAAGAAAATGTCCCATACCTTTTTATAAAAGCTCTACAGTTTTTCCATGGATTTTCTGCTTATGCTTAGCTAATAGTCTTTGAATTACTTGAGTTGTTTGAACATAGTTATTCAACTCACCAAATAGCATATGCAACCTATAATAACAATGTAAATTTCAATTTGCCCTCTCCTCTCTTATTTCCACCTGGAAGCCTCCAGTAAGATAAAGCAACTACGATTTGACAGTTCTATACATTTTTGTTAGCTCACTTCTTCTCCCACTCCATACTGATGTTATTTCTCCAGGTTTCTGGAGAGAAGAGAGGCTAGAACAACAGGTAACGAAATATAACTACTCTTGCTGAGCTGGCCACAGATGTTTTAAGTGCTGCTTTCATTTTTGGTATACCTTCCTTTCACAGACTCTTCAGAGGTTCCTGCTGGGCCTCCCACTGCTCCAGTGCTTTTGATGAAGCTAGACTATTCCCTGCAGCAGTTCCTTTTCCCATGTTTTGGCCTCTGAGGATCAACAGTACAGCTCTATCTTCTTTTTGATGAGATCTTTAGTCTCTCTTGGTGAGTCAATTTTATAGGACCCGAGATGATCACATGCCAGCTCTCTACAGAGTGGTATACATCTGTTCCAAGAGAAACATGCTGTCATTTAGTGGCTAAATTTGGAATTGCAAGGAGACCTCACTGCAGCAATACTCTCCAGGTTCTGTCAGCTAACCCACACTTTTTTTTTTTTTTTTATCACAGTATCTTATTAAAATGAGACCACAGGCCACGGTACACTCTAGCTTTTACAGATATGAACCAAATCCAATATTTTAGGTCCTTCAATCACAGGGAACATATTGCCTAGTTTTCCCAGTGGTCCTTTTGAACATCTTACTAGGTCTATAGTTAGAAGTTGGCCTCCTGTGTTTGTCCAGTTCCTCTGAGATACTCCAAGAATGGTATCTTATTAGGTCAAAACCTGTGTAGAAGAAATGGGGAGGGCCAGGAAGTCTGGGAAAATCTTCAGACATGATGCCAGACTGACCTTGGGAGAAGGAGAGTGGGAGAGAAGATTGGATATAATGGTCATAGACTGCCATGTAGTCAGATGGAGATTTGGCAAAGCCATGATGGAGTCCTAAAGCCATTGCTTTGAGAGAAGTCCTGTGTCTCCTAAAAAAATGGGGTTTTAATAACATCCTTGCCTCATTAAGTCACTGATTGGGAGCAGCTCATGAGAATTGTAGCCTTCATATATACAAACACAGCACAGCTATTGGGAGTCTTGGCCAATTACACTTCCTATGGTTGGAGGTCTGGGAGACATATCCTCATTGCCACCTGCTATACCTCTCCTTCTCTGCAGAGTGTGAAAGTATGGACTCCTAGTGGGGAAAGAGTTCAGTCCAAATACATCTCTTTATTCGTATACCCCACAAAGCCCTATCTCTATCTCTTACTCCTCCTGTCTCTATCTTTCACTCTGTATATTCTTAAAGTGCATAAAGTGATTCAAGGGTCATAGAACAGTTTTACCCATTCCCTTGGAAAATATCTCTATGGTTATTTGGTCTTGATATGTCATATCAATTTTTTCTGGAGTTCATCATTTTCTACTTTTGACATTTTGCAACATATCTATTCCTGAACCTAGTAAAAATGATGGAACTAAAGGTTGGTTAATTATTTTCTTTAATATTGAATCTGATAATAAAATAATCACTATTAAGATAATTATTTTCATATGAAAACTCACACAAGGCTTCTCTGAGAAGAAATGATGGTTTTTGACATACTTGTTAATTAAACATGTTATTGTGACTCATAAGGGTCACATGAAAGCTTCTGTCTGTTTGGTATATATGGTAGAATATGTCAATCTGTAAGCTGTACTGGAAAAGTAGGCTTACGTATATATAAGAAGTCGTTTTTTGGAGAGTTTTCAGCATGAAGGGGTGTTGAATTTTATTGAAGGCCTTTTCTGCATCTATTGAGATAATCATGTGATTTTGTCATTGGTTATGTTTATGTGATGGATTACGTTTATTGATTTGCATATGGTGAACCAGCCTTGAATCCCAGGGATGAAGCCAACTTGACTGTGGTGGAAAAGCTTTTTGATGTGCTGCTGGATTTGGTTTGCCAGTATTTTACTGAGGACTTTCCCATCGATGTTCATCAAGGATATTGGCCTGAAATTTTCTTTTACTGTTGTGTCTCTGCCAGGATTTAGTATCAGGATGATGCTAGCCTCATAAAATGGGTTAGGGAGGAGTCCCTCTTTTTCTATTGTCTGGAATATTTTCAGAAGGAATGGTACCAGCTCCTCTTTGTACCTCTGGTAGAATTCGGCTGTGAATCCGTCTGGTCCTGGGCTTTTTTTGGTTAGGAGGCTATTAATTACTGCCTCAATTTCAGAACTTATTGGTCTATTCAGGGATTCGACTTCTTCCTGGTTTAGTCTTGGTAGGGTGTATGTGTCCAGGAATTTATCCATTTCGTCTAGATTTTCTAGTTTATCTGGATAGAGGTGTTTATATTATTCTCTGATTGTAGTTTGTATGTCTGTGGGATCAGTGGTGATACCCCTTTCATTATTTTTTACTGTGTCTATTTGATTCTTCTCTCTTTTCTTCTTTATTAGTCTGGCTAGCTGTCTATCAATTTTGTTGATCTTTTCAAGAAACCAGCTCCTGGATTCATTGATTTTTTTGAAAGGTTTTTGTGTCTCTATATCCTTCAGTTCTGCTCTCATCTTAGTTATTTATTGTCTTCTGCTAGCTTTTGAATTTGTTTGCTCTTGCTTCTCTAGTTCTTTTAATTGTGATGTTAGAGTGTTGATTTTAGATCTTTCCTGCTTTCGCCTGTGGGCATTTTGTGCTATAAATTTCCCTCTACACACTGCTTTAGCTGTGTCCCAGAGATTCTGGTGCATTGTGTCCTTGTTCTCATTGGTTTCAAAGAACTTATTTATTTCTGCCTTAATTTTGTTATTTACCCAGTAGTCATTCAGGAGCAAGTTGTTCAGTTTCCATGTGGTTGTGCAGTTTTTGGTGAGTTTCTTAATCCAGATTTCTAATTTGATTGCACTGTGGTCTGAGAGACTGTTTGTTATTATTTCCATTCCTTTGCATTTGCTGAGGAATGTTTTACTTCCAATTATGTGGTGAATTTTATAATAAGTGCAATGTGGTGCTGAGAAGAATGTATATTCTGTTTATTTGGAGTGGAGAATTCTGTAGATGTCAATTAGGTCTGCTTGATCCAGAGGTGAGTTCAAGTCCTGGATATCCTTGTTAATTTTCTGTCTTGTTGATCTGTCTAATATTGACAGTGGGGTGTTAAAGTCTCCCACTATTATTGTGTGGGAGTCTAAGTCTCTTTGTAGGTTTCTAAGAACTTGCTTTATGAATCTGGGTGCTCCTGTATTGGGTGCATATATATTTAGGATAGTTAGCTCTTTGTGTTGCATTGATCCCTTTACCATTATATAATGCCCTTCTTTGTCTTTTTTGATCTTTGTTGGATTAAAGTCCGTTTTAGCAGAGACTAGGATTGCAACCCCTGCCTTTTTTTTCTTTCCATTTTCTTGGTAAATATTCCTCCATCCTTTTATTTTGAGCATATGTGTGTCTTTGAATGTGAGATGGATCTCCTGAATAGAGCATACCAATGGGTTTTGACTCTTTATCCAATTTGCCAGTCTGTGTCTTTTAATTGGGGCAGTTAGCCAGTTTACATTTAAGGTTAATATTGTTACATGTGAATTTGATCCTGTCATTATGATGCTATCTGGTTATTTCACCTGTTATTGATGCAGTTTCTTCATAGTGTCCATGGTCTTTACAATTTGGTAAGTTTTTGCAGTGGCTGGTACAGGATTTTCCTTTCTATATTTAGTGATTCCTTCAGGAGCTCTTGTAAGGCAGGCCTGGTGGTGACAAAATCTGTCAGCATTTGCTTGTCTGTAAAGAATTTTATTTCTCCTTTGCTTATGAAGCTTAGTTTGGCTGGATATGAAATTCTGGGTTGAAAATTCTTTTCTTTAAGAATGTTGAATATTGGCCCCCACTCTCTTCTGGCTTGTAGGGTTTCCGCAGAGAGATTCACTGTTAGTCTGATGGACTTCCCTTTGTGGGTAACCCGACCTTTCCCTGTGGCTGCCCTTAACATTTTTTCCCTCATTTCATCCTCAGTGAATTTGACGATTATGTGTCTTGGGGTTGCTCTTCTCGAGGAGTATCTTTGTGGTGTTCTCTGCATTTCCTGGATTTGAATGTTGGCCTGTCTTGCTAGGTTGGGGAAGTTCTCCTGGATAATATCCTGAAGAGGCTTTTCCGACTTGGTTCCAGTCTCCCCATCACTTTCACGTACACCAATCAAACATAGGTTTGGTCTTTTCACATAGTCCCATATTTTTGGGGGGCTTTGTTTGTTCCTTTTCATTCTTTTTTTTCTCTAATCTTGTCTTCATGCTTTATTTCATTAAGTTGATCTTCAATCTCTGATATTCTTTCTCCTGCTTGATCGACTCGTCTGTTGATACTTATGTATGCTTCATGAAGTTCTCATGCTGTGTTTTTCAGCTCCATCGGGTCATTTATGCTCTTCTCTAAACTATTTGTTCTAGTTAGAAATTCCCTCTAACTGTTTTTTACAAGGTTCTTAGCTTCCTTGCATTGGGGTAGAACATGCTCCTTTAGCTTGGAGGCGTTTGTCATTACCACCTTCTGAATAAACTAGGTATTGACAGACTGTAGGTCAAAATGATAAGACCTATTTATGACAAACCCACAGCCAATATCATACTGAATGGGCAAAAGCTGGAAGCATTCCCTTTGAAAACTGGCACAAGACAAGGATGCCCTCTCTCACCATTCCTATTCAACATAGTACTGGAAGTTCTGGCCAGGGCAATCAGGCAAGAGAAAGAAATAAAGGGTATTCAAATAGGAAGAGAGGAAGTCAAATTGTCTCTGTTTGCAGATGATATGATTGTATATTTAGAAAACTCCATTGTCTCAGCCACAAAACTCCTTAAGCTAATAAGCAACTTTAGCAAAGTCTCAGGATACAAAATCAATGTGCAAAAATCACAAGCATTCCTATACACCAATAATAGACAAAAGAGAGCCAAATCATGAGTGAACTCCCATTCACAATTGCTACAAAGAGCATAAAATACCTAGAAATACAACTTACAAAGGATGTGAAGGACCTCTTCAAGGAGAACTACAAACCACTGCTCAAGGAAATAAGAGAGGACACAAATGGAAAAAGCATTCCATGTTCATGGATAGGAAGAATGAATATCGTGAAAATGGCCATACTGTGCAAAGTAATTTATAGATTCAATGCTATACCCACCAAGCTACCATTGACTTTCTTCACAGAATTAGAAAAAACTACTTTAAAGTTCATATGGAACCAAAAAAGAGCCTGTATAGCCTAGACAATCCTAAGCAAAAAGAACAAAGCTGGAGGCATCACACTGTCTGACTTCAAATTATACTACAAGTCTACAGTAACCCAAACAGCATGGTACTGGTACCAAAACAGATATAAAGATCAATGGAACAGAACAGAGCCCTCAGAAATAATTCCACACATCTACAACCATCTGAACTTTGACAACCCTGACAAAAACAAGCAATGGGGAAAGGATTCCCTATTTAATAAATGGTTTTGGGAAAGCTGGCTAGCCATAGGCAGAAAACTGAAACTGGACCCCTTCCTTACGCCTTATACAAAAATCAAATCAAGATGGGTTAAAGACTTAAATGTAAGACTTAAAACCATAAAAACCCTAGAAGCAATCCTAGGCAATACCATTGAGGACATAGGTATGGGCAAAGACTTTATGACTAAAGCACAAAAAGCAATGACGACAAAAGCCAAAATTGACAAATAGGATCTAATTAAACTAAAGAGGTTCTGCACAGCAAAAGAAACTATCATCAGAGTGAACAGGCAACCTACAGAATGAGAGAAAATTTTTGCAATCTATCCATCTGACAAAGGGCTAATATCCAGAATCTACAAAGAACTTAAACAAATTTACAAGAATAAAACAAACAATCCCATCAAAAAATCGTCGAAGGATATGAACAGACACTTCTCAAAAGAAGACATTTATGTGCCCAACAAACATGAAAAAAAGCTCTTCATCACTGGTCATTAGAGAAATGCAAATCAAAACCACAATGAGATACCATCTCATGCCAGTTATAATGATGATAAATAAAATGTAAGGAAAATACAGATGCTGGAGAGGATGTGGAAAAATAGGAACGCTTTTACACTGTTGGTGGGAGTATAAATTAGTTCAGCCTTTGTGGAAGACGATGTGGTGATCCCTCAAGGATCTAGAACCAGAAATACCATTTGACCCAGCAATCCCATTACTGGCTATATACCCAAAGGATTATAAATCATTCTACTGTAAAGACACATGCACATATATGTTTTCTGCAGCACTGTTCACAATAGCAAAGACGTGGAAGCAACCCAAATGTCCATCAATGATAGACTAGATTAAGAAAAGGTGGCACATATTAACCATGGAATACTATGCAGCCATAGAAAAGGATGAGCTCATGTCCTTTGCAGAGACATGGATGAAGCTAGAAACCATCATTCTCATCAGACTAACACAGGAACTGAAAACTAGACACTGCATGGTCTCACTCATAAGTGGGAGTTGAACAATGAGAATACATGGACACAGGGAGGGGAACATCACACATAGGGGCTTGTTGGGGGTGGGGGACTAGGGGAGGGATAGCATTATGAGATATACTTAATGTAGATGACAGGTTGTTTGGTGCAGCAAACCACCATGGCACATGTATACCTATGTAACATACCTGCACATTCTGCACATGTATCCCAGAACTTAAAGTCTAATAAAAAAAAAAAAGAAGTTATTTGTTTTCATTGTCTTTCCTGCTCTTCCCTGTGAAACATACTGATTTATATGCAGTTTTACAAATGCAGATATATTCCAATCTGAAACTAGTAGATGAGAAAGCAAATGAGAATAACTTATTTTAAATGTTAAGAAGCTAATGTGTAACACATGAGCTCTTTGTAAAGCTAAATCTGAAATAAATTATTAGGTGACTGCTTATTTTGCAAAAAAGTCCATTTTGTTAATTTTCAAAGAAAATAAAACCAAAGAATGTAATATTTAGAATTCTGTCATCTTCATATGTAGGGAGACTTAATACCTCATTACAAAGTTATTGATTTTGGTGCACAGAGCACAGAAGTTATATGTTACTTTTCTAAGGTAATGGCGTGTTTCTTTTGAGCTGAAACTGTACCTAGCCTAAACAGGTTTCTTTGAATGCATAGAACATGAAACAAAGTCCTAAATAACTGAACGAATTATAATAATCCCAAGTTAGAAAACATGGCACTTTTCAGCTAAATGTAAACCTTTACATTTAGGTTGAAGGTAAATTTAGCAGAGTGTTGCTGGATCATTTTTAAGTTCTATTCCCAAAATAGTTGATTGTACAAAAATCAGCATGGCTTAGTACTTCATCAGAATAAATGACAGTTTAGGAACTCATCTAGTTGCTTTTATTTATTGAAAGCATTTCATAAGTATGCTTGCAAAAGCAGACTTATAAGTCAAATATGTAATATTGATATTCAGTATAGCTCCACTTCTAGTAGTTTCAAATAATTAAATATCTTTATCCTTATACATTTAAATATTAATAACAAAAAAATCTAGTTGCAGAAACAAACAAACAGACAATAAGCAAACCTGTGTAAGTTTTCCATTTGACTGGAAAGATAATTTCAGAAATGGAAAATGAAGACAAAAAAGTTTTCTTTTTTTGAATAGGATGAAGTACCTACTTATAAACAAAACTTATTGTGAGAGCAACTAGAAAATTCAATTAAAAATTTTAAAATCACTTATGTGAAGGCACGAGAAAGCTGCTAAAGTAAGAACTAAAAGGTCAAGATTTTGGAAAGCGGAGAATGGAGGTGAGATGTGTCAACTTTCTCCATTTGTCTGGAGTTATTTGTTAATCCTAGGTTTAGAGTATCAGTTGGAGAATTCAGGCTTCGCCTGGACAGAATGCAACTTCTGGGGAACAGGAATATGAGTAGAACTTTTAGTACCCTCTAGCAACGGAGTAGACAAAGTTGGTAATACATAAGGTGCCAAGATTTCAGTGAGAAAGGATGAGTGGAGAACTTAACCTGGCACACAGCCAGTTTCCCCCTCAAATTATTTACCCCATTCTGAAGTTGTTCAAGGTGAGGAACTGAAAATGTAAGCAGAAACATTTTTAAAAGGAGATCAGAGATTTCTGCTGTCTCATTGTCCTGTCCTTAAAATTAGAGTTTGAAACTTACCAGAGAATCCCCAATGAATATACCAGGTTTTTGATTAAAAGTCCTGGAGGTCTTCGCTTTAGGAGTAAGTGCAAACCAGAAGTACTAGAACCTTATGCAAATTACTATCTTACCTCAACTCAGCTCAGACCCTGATTGGATTTTAATCATCAGCCACTACTCTGTCTGTCCAGCAAAGTGAGAAGTAAGCCATTCCTAGAGAAATATAACACTACAAATTTTAAAATACATAATATCCAGTATTTAATTAAAAAATAATCAGAGACGCCAACATCCAAAAGAAAAACAATTAAAAAAAGACACAGTCCAAATGTTGGAGTTAATAAAAATACGTTAAAATAATTATAATTAATAGATCAAAGGAAATAAACAAAGACATAGAAAAGTAGATGACAAGATGGAGAATTTCACCCAGAGATATAGCATCTATAGGTCGGGCGTGGTAGCTCACGCCTATAATCCCAGCACTTTGGGAAGCCGAGGTGGGTGGATCACTTGAGGTCAGGAGTTCGAGACCAGCCTGTCCAACATGGTAAAACCCCGTCTCTACTAAAAATGCAAAAACATGAGCCAGGCATGGTGGCACATGCCCTGTAATCCTAGCTACTCTGGAGGCTAAGTTACGAGAATTGCTTGAACCCAGGAGGCAGAGGTTGCACTGATCTGAGATTGCGCCATTGCACTCCAGTCTGGGTGACAGACCCTGACTCAAAAAAAAGAAAAAAAAAAAGAAAAGAAAAGAAATAGCATCTATAAAAAAGATTTACATATGAATTCTAGATCTGAAAATTGAAATATCTAAAATAAAGAGTTTAATAGAGGGTTTAAGAGCAGGATGGCTTGAGACCAGGAGGTTGAGGCTGCAGTGAACTGTGTTCCCACCGCTGCAATTCAGTCACGGCAACAGAGTGAGACTCTGTCTCAAAAACAAAATAAAACAAAACTAAATAAAAACAAACAAACAAATAAAATACAGCTGAATTAAAGAATTTTTAGACAGAAACAATATTTTGGCAGCAAAACTTCACTAAAAAAGTAGAGAGAAATTTTATGTAGAAAGAAAATGATCCTAGAATATGTAATTATAGGAAAGACTGACTTTCAAAGGAGAAATTCATGTAGATGAATATTGACTAACTTAGATAATAAGAATAATAATTTACGCAGTTGCGTATATATATATATATATATATATATATATATATATATATATGGTTAAAATGCATGAAAACAATAGTGCAAAAGTGAAGGACATATGTGGAAAGAAAGTTTTATTGTAAAGGAAGGACTAAAAGTAATAATTTATATTAGATTTTAATGATTCAAGAATGAATATTATAATCTATAGTACCCATTAAAGAATAGGAAAAGAAGCTATAATTAACAAATTATTAGGGGTAAAAATAGAATGGTTAAAACTGTAAAAGAAAACAAGAAAGAAGATAATGAGAGCTTAAAGCAGGTTGGTCAAAGAGAAAACAAGTAATTAAATGGCAGATATGACAGTAAATATATCTTAAATTTCATTCAATGAAAGTGCACAAAATATTTCTAGAAAAGGATAAGATTAGATTGGTTGAGAAAAAAACCCTCAAGTATATGTTGCTCTTAAGAGGAACACCATAATACAAGAAAATAGAGAGACTGAAATCCAAAAGATGGAATAAAAGATACATCATGTGGATATAAAGCAAAAATATATGTTGCTTTATTAATATCCAAGATGATTTTAAGTTAAAAGCATTGCTGAAGATGAAGAATGACATTTCATAGTGACGAAGGAGTAAATCAACGGGAAAATATGACCTTTCTAAATCTCTGTGCAATCAATACATAGTTTCAAACTACATATAAAGTTACCCTTCACAAAACTTCAAGAGTTGATAATACCTCCAGCTAAAACAAATCAGTAAAGATGTAGAAAATATGAACAACACAATTAACAAAGCTGGCCTAATTCTCATATTGTGTGCACTACATTCAATAATGACAAAATTCAAAGTATTTTCAAGTGGACTGGGAACATCTACAGAAATGACAGGAGATAATCTTTGTAAAATAACATTTTATTATCTTACTAAGGAAGTGTTTCATGTTCAATCTGCTAGGTATTCCTAGCAGAATTTCTATTAAGTTAGAAGTACATCTTATGCAAGGAAAATGAACAAGATTCGATGGCACCTTTCTATCCTATGAGTTAATGTTGCTCATGCAATTAAAGAGGACTGCAACCCTCAAAATGAATGTCTCATGGGCTGCTGTTTTTGCAAGTGCAGATTAATGTCATTAATTTTCTTAAAAAAATTTATTTGCACGGATAGAAAGAAGATGAAAAAATATATTTTCTTTTTAACTTAAAAAATTTACTTCCAAGTATTTATATTGCTAGTCTCTCCTTTTAGTTGTACATATATAATTTATATTACTTCAGACGGAAATTCTCCTTCATGTTGACACTGGAATTAATGTGCCTATCAGGCAGTTAGCCCAACTTGCCATTAATAATGCCAAGGTCATGAGGTCCACTATTCATTGGCCAGTGAGTACTGTATCATGCTATGCCTCTAATAAGCCTCTAAGCTTCGCTGGGCATTTTATAAAATGTGTATTGCTAAAATGGGAAGTAAAATGTAAAACGTAGATGGATCAGCACAACAATTAAAAAAAAACTGCTTAGAGAGCATGCCCTTTGAATCAATAACATCATCTTTGTTTAATAAATGCAGCCCTTTAATTTATCAGAAAAGACTCAGATTCGTCCCTCATTAAGGAAAGACTGTGCTGCAGGCTTTGTTTACTTAGAAAACCAAATTGGAGGAAATGTTGCTAGGTTGCACTTGTATGTGGTCTCCATAATTTGCTGTGAGCAAAATACATTTGCAGCCTTGACAAAACTAGGAATTATTTCATATGAAGTAAATTACTCAAAAATGAAACAAGCACAATTTAAGAAAAAATAATCTGTGATTACTTCTTAAAATAATCATCTCCAAAGTATGGTATTAATATATGAATTAGCTAAAATAGAGTTTAAAGTCCCCTTTATCATTACTCTTTGATTTTCGAGGGGCAAAGTGTCAATAATGAAGATATGTGCAGTACATTGAAATGTAAGATTATACAAAGTTTGAATAAACTGACAAAATGGTAAAATCAGACATGTTAATCTAAATGAAAGTGTATTTGATATACAAGGCTAATAATTAGGCATAATATGTAGGCATAATATGCATTGCTCACAGAATTAATTTCACAGATTTGTCTCTGGAAATGCATGGATTTAACTAAGAACCCATTTTGAATTCTCTGGTTTTGAGTCCATATGTATCTTTGGCTAATGTACAGAGATGTGGGTAAGATTTGACATTTTAGTTTTTAATTAATTACTGCACTAAGTATCTTGCCTGAATGTACCATAGAAAGTGGAAGCAAGTGCTTCTTTGACTAAATGTCATTATTTTTCATAAGTCATTATTTTTCACAAACTATACCAAAGGCCAGCTGAATGGGTTACAGTTTCACAAATAATTAGACTAAATTATAAAATGTCAAAATAAATGAACAAGCATGCCCTATGATGTGTTTTCCTTATTTAAAGCATTATTAATTTGCATATGGGCCAATTAACCAAATTGCCAATATTTAACTGTTCTTTTTATCACTTGTGTGAATCACCTTGTTTCCTCTACTTATGTGTTATTTACAGTTTATATAGTTGCTATTACTAAGGTGAAATCCTGGTAGTTTTTCTTCTGCAGAAGGGAAGTTTGTATTATATGATAATTTCTAAGTGCACAATAAAGACTATGTTTTCTATACAACGTAATTTAAGCAGACATGTCAAAGACAGATCTTAACCAAAATCAGCTCCCTCTGTGGTCTGAATTTTCTCCATTAACGACTAATACTTTAAATGTCAACATGTATTAATATATGTGAAGGTCCATTCCCTGAGTTATGCATTCAAAATAAGTATATGGAAACATGCACTGTTTTGGGCTTATATTTAGTCTTCATAAAGTTATTATCTCAATTAGTTGCAGCCCTTCAATGACCAGCTTCCCGTCGACTCTACTCTTTTTAATTTATCCTTCAAGCCACTGATAGCAGATTTTTGGCCCACTGGCACATAGCCAATGATTTTGCTGAAGTCACCAATGTCCTTTGTCATTAAGTTCCTTAATGACATATGGCATACGACAGTGGCATACAACAACATACATTTATTTTATTCACATTTGTGAGTCAGCTGAGGTTGCTCTGCTGCTCCTGGCTGGGCTTGGGGGCATCTCTATGTGCAAAAGAAATCCAAGTATGCTTCATGAGTCTATTATTTTACTTGGGCTAGTAGGCCGGCCAGGGCATGTTCTTCTCATGATAATGGCAAAAAGCCCCAGAGGGCAAGTGGAAATATGTGAAGCTTCTTAAGGCCTAGCCTTGGAATTGGTCACTCTCACTTCTGTCCATATTTCATCGGCCAAATTAAGTTCCATGGCTGACCCCATGTCAAGGAGTTGGAAAGCACATTCTGTCTTTTGTGTCAGGAACTGTGAAGTTACAAAGCAAAGAATATTAATGCAAGAAATGTTGATGAATTGGGGCCACACAGATAGCACAAAAGATGGTTTCTTCTAGGATGTTGTCCTTCTTTGATCTCTGAAATGCACTGGTTTCCCAATCTCAATTCTACTCTGCTTTCCCTCTACCTGTCATCCTTTTGTCTTGCTTCCCCAGTGTTGGCATTTTATGAGGCTTCTTATCAAAATACAGTTGACCCTTGAAAAACATAGGTTTGAATTGTGTGGGTCCACTTTTACGTGGATTTTTAGAAATAAATATATTGGAAAAATATGTAGAGATTTATGACAAGTTGAAAAAACTTGCAGATAAACCATATAACATAGAAATACTGAAAAAAAAATCCAAGAAAAAATAGATATTCCCTGGGTGTATAAAATATATGTAGATATTAGTCTATTTTATCACTGACGCTCAAACAACAGGAGTTTGAACTATATTGGTTCAGTTCTATGCGGATTGTTTTTTACGACTGCCACCCTTGAGATAGCAAGACCAGCTCCTCCTCCTCCTTCTCAGCCTACTCAACAAGAAGATGAGGAATAAGACCTTTACAATGATCCACTTCTACTTAGTGAATAGTAAATATATTTTTTCTTTTTTTATAATTTTCTTAATAACATTTTATTTTCTCAGGTTTACTTTATCATAAGAATATGATACAAAATATGTGTTAATCAACTGTTTATGCCATTTGTAAATCTCCTGGTCAATAGTATGCCATTAAGAGTTAAATTTAAGGGGAGCCAAAAGTTATATTCAGATTTTTGACTCTATGTGGGGACAGCATCCCCCAACCCCCAGGTTTTTTAGGGGTCAACTATATATTCTTTCCTTGTTCTGCGAATTATCTTTCTGAGTGGTCTCATCTACTTATGGAGCTTTCTATTGTTATTTCTATTCTTAAAGCACTTAAATCTTAATTTTAGATGTTTGATTTGAGTCTCAGGCTCAATTTTTTAGTCTATATTACACTTGTCAACCTAAAAGTATGTTAAGAATTTCAAACTCAGTATGCCCCAAACTAAATTGTTGATATGTATTCCAATTCCAGTTATCAAGACTACTACTTCTATTTTCTTTCAATATCCTAATGGCATCATCTTGTACTTAAACACTGAAGCTTGAATTCTGAAAAACAAATGTAACAACTTCTCCTTCCACCTTCCAGATTTAATCAGCTGCTAAATCCTGTTGAGTCTACCAAATCCCTCTCCTAATATTTCCCCAGCTCTTGCTCTAATTTATTAGACAAATTTTATTATACCAATTGTTGTCAAGATATTCTGCTAAGCCATGTTAAATGCCCGGAAAGAACTTAGTCTCATAGAGGATGTAAATATTAAGATATTGATAAAGTACTAAATAGTGTCCAAAGTATGGAGGGATAATTTTTAACAGGGTAAATCAGGGACAATGTGATGTTCTCTAACTAGCCTTTGAGTTATATTATACAAGATGGGTAGGATTTAGATATATAGAGAATGCAAGATAATAGGGAAAAAGAACATTCTAGAAAGTGAAATTAATGATTAAAATTACAAAAGAAAATTGGAGTATTTAAAAATTAAACCCTAGGAAGGTTTGAATGTAGCAAATACTTGGTTTTCTTCCCATTGTATGGATCCAGTTGTTAAAGAGGAGCAGGCAGGCATTTCCTATTCTTTCTGAGAGGGTAGGCACAGTTTTATACTAGAAGTGTCAGGGTTAACAGTCTATTGGCAGGGCCAATGACTCGTGGGGGTAGTGTTACTAGTGGTGAGAAGATTTTAGTAGTGGTGATGCCAGTGTGTGTAAACTGTAGAGTTACATATTTTATAGCTTGAAATTTCTTATGTTGTTGGATTCCAGACACGTTGCTCCCTATCAGTTTTCTGCAGCAGTTTTAAACTTCCTAGTACTTTCATGAATTGTCCAACGTGCCTCCAATGCATCCTTTTTGCACTTAAGTTAATCAGTGACTGTCTCTGTGTTTTCCAGGTCCGTCATTGGTCAGCTTCTCCAGAAGGTGAGGGTTTCTGTGTGAGAGATTTATTAACGAATAGCTCTCAAGATTTAAAAGATGGGTCAAGTAGAGCAGGGAAAGGAGACAGCAAGCATGAACATGATTTCAGTCCAAGTCTTAAGGAGGGGAAGTTTAGCCTGCTTCCTGAGGGGAACTCTGGATTTTTTATTTTTTTATTTCTATTTTTTTATTATACTTTAAGTTTTAGGGTACATGTGCATAACGTGCAGGTTTGTTACATATATATATATACATGTGCCATGTTGGTGTGCTACACCCATTAACTCATCATTTAACATTAGGTGTATCTCCTAATGCTATCCCTCCCGGCTCCCCCCACCCCACAACAGGCCCCGGTGTGTGTCCATGTGTTCTCATTGTTCAATTCCCACCTATGAGTGAGAACATGTGGTGTTTGGTTTTTTGTCCTTGTGATAGTTTGCTGATAATGATGGTTTCCGGCTTCATCCATGTCCCTACAAAGGACATGAACTCATCCTTTTTTATGGCTGCATAGTATTCCATGGTGTATATGTGCCACATTTTCTTAATCCAGTCTATCATTGTTAGACATGTGGGTTGGTTCCAAGTCTTTGCTATTGTGAATAGTGCCACAATAAACATACGTGTGCATGTGTCTTTATAGCAGCATGTTTTATAGCCCTTTGGGTATATACCCAGTAAAGGGATGGCTGGGTCAAATGGTATTTCTAGTTCTAGATCCCTGAGGAATCGCCACACTGACTTCCACAATGGTTGAACTAGTTTACAGTCCCACCAACAGTGTAAAAGTGTTCTTATTTCTCCACATCCTCTCCAGCACCTGTTGTTTCCTGGCTTTTTAATGATCACCATTCTAACTGGTGTGAGATGGTATCTGATTGTGGTTTTGATTTGCATTTCTCTGACGGCCACTGATGATGAGCATTTTTTCATGTGTCTTTTGGCTGCATAAATGTCTTCTTTTGAGAAGTGTCTGTTCATATCCTTCGCCCACTTTTTGATGGGGTTGTTTGTTTTTTTCTTGTAAATTTGTTTGAGTTCATTGTAGATTCTGGATATTAGCCCTTTGTCAGATGAGTAGATTGCAAAAATTTTCTCCCATTTTGTAGGTTGCCTGTTCACTCTGATGGTAGTTTCTTTTGCTGCGCAGAAGCTCTTTAGTTTAATTAGATCCCATTTGTCAATTTTGGCTTTTGTTGCCACTGCTTTTGGTGTTTTAGACATGAAGTCCTTGCCCATGCCTATGTCCCGAATGGTATTGCCTAGGTTTTCTTCTAGGGTTTTTAAGTTACACCTTAGAGATTGTCCTCTTCAAGGCAATGGTGCTGGGCTTCCTACTTCTGTGTGAATCAGTTATTGAAAAAGGCCCACTTCAGGGGTGTATAAATCTCAAGGGCACTTCTGTATGTCTGCTTATTTAAACAAAACAGTTTCAGCAGTCCAATGGCAATCCTCAGGGAGAAGTGCAGGTGCAGGCTATAGGCAAAAGCACAGAGATTCCAGAGGAGAAAAAGAAGGATGCACAGAAATGACTAGAGACAGAGACGGTTTCTTGATGGAGCAGTGATAGTGCTTGCTATAGACTATACCTGGTTAAAAAAAATTATTGGGGTTTCAGATAATGTGCTTTTATGGAATGATGAATCTTCAGTTGGTTATCTGTCCTACTTGGGGATTAAAATAATAAAAATGCTGTTAGTATCAAGGAATTTTCATATGGAAGACCATGGCTTGCAGGGAGAGGCAGCATAGAATAATAGTTAAAAGCATAGACTGTGAAACCTAACTGCACTGGTCAAATATCATCTCTGTGATTTCTAGAGGGTGACCTTTGTAAATTACATAACAGTATCTCAGTTCCTTCATGAGTGAAATCAGGGTTAATTATTGTACCTACATCAGAGATTTTGTGAATATTGAATCAGTTAATATTTCTTCAAGACTCACAACAGTGTCTGGCTCATAGTAAATATTAAAAAGTATTTAATAAATCAATTCATTGGTGAAGTAGCTGATTTAATTATGATCTACAACTTCCTAACAATTTCTCTGCTATAGAATATTACAAATGGCGTGGGTCCAAGACAGATGTATTTGAATACTGGAAAGTAAAGATTCTGACCATATAATAACATATTATTTCTTGACTACCTAGCATAATTGTTTTTCTCATTGGGGAAAGGGGTTCCTATAGTATAAGTCTTGAAGGGAAGAAGAATCTTGTCTTCCATTTTCTTCTGTTTGATGGCTAAGATGCAGATAGATTAGCCAGGTTCACTAATCACGCACAGGACTTTGAGTCTGGAGAAAGTGACTAACACCACTAGGACAGGGAAGAATATTCCTGGAAGCAGTGGTGATGTTAAGGTTAGGCATGCACTATAGCAGTGTCTGAACACACTAATCCTCCAGAATGTATTAGTTATGTTTTTGGCATCCAGTTTCCCATGACTTCTGCTCATTTTCTGAGCTTGGTTCTCCAGTCTTCCCAATTGATCTGTGATTGCCCAAGATTCTGCCAATAAATTCCTTTGATGGTTCAGTTAGCCAGCCTTGATTCTATTACTGCAACCAAGAACTCATGTGGCTCACAGGCTTTGACTTGGAGAAACATGTGGAGAGGGAAAGAATATGAGATGAAATATAGAGATTCTATTTGACAGAAAGTCTTTTCTTTTTTTCTTCTTTTTTTTTTTTTTTTTTTTTTTGCCAGAGACATGCCTATATGCATTGTTGGAATTAGGTCTTGAAATTTCAAAATTGCTTCTTTGGTCATCAGAGTCATTTTTATAATTTTATTGAATTCTTTTTTTTACAGTTGTCAATGACCAATATAGCTCTTGCAAATATGTATATATTAAATTCATTTTTTCTTGTATCATTACAAAAAGACAAATAGAATATTAACAAAAACATTTTTTCTAATAATCATTTGATTTTATTATTACTGTACTTTGAATCATTGGCATATCAGGTCACAGATTCTTGGACTAGATTGCCTGGATTTAAAATCTTGGTGTACTACTTACTAGTTCATTAATTTCACTAAGCCTCTATTTGCTTATTGGAAAAACTGGAATTCTGTCTGTAAATTCTTCATAGGATTACTGGAAAGTTTAAATGAGTTATTAAATGGAAAGAGCTTAGAAAGAGGCTTAACTCAGTAAAAATTTTAGAAGAGGCTGTTATTATTATTTGCTAGCCAATTTGTACCACTATATAACATTGTCTTAAGTTCATTTTTATAAGTAATTTCACAAAAACTTAGCTTGTCTTATAATCTACAAACCAGATCTCTGGTTAATTTGCTATCTATTTAACATGATCTTTCTTTTTTGGCCTTCATGCATCTTTTTCAATAAATCTTATGCTGTACCTGCAATAGTTAATATCTAGCAAGTATATTCACATAAGTCAGGGTTAAAATTGGCCACAAATATATTCCTCCCATATTTTTATGTACTTAAATCTGAGCCCTTTTCCAGTATGCTTAAAATATTCCTGAAGCGGTTAATGTCTAGGAATTAAGTACAGAAATGATTTCTAAAATTAAATGGGATAATTCATTTTTATTTTAGAAGTACTACACATAGCATTTTAAATTCAATAAAACTTTGAGATTGGCTTTTAAGAAATTTCAATGTGTTCCATTTTATAATACTGAATGTCAGGTTAACAAACATTGTAATGTGATATAGTTAATGTACAGACAATTTTGACTGAGGCTGTGTTATATGAAACAAGATGGAAAACTCCATATGGAATAAACTAAGTACTTTATCCAGTTGCAAGAAAGTGTATAGAAAAACTTCAAGGTCAGAATTTACACTATTTTTCACTTCTAGCTGTCAAGTAGCATTTTAAAAACACACTCAACACATTTTATCCTGGAGGAAACACAAATCCTTAAGAAGAAAATGTGTCCAATTCACAATTCTGTCCCAGCTTCAAGGGTAAAGTAATATAGGTGTTCTGGAAACTTCGGGAGATGCAACAAAGTGAAACAGGAGTAGGCTCTTCAGAATTAAGAACAAGATATTTTCATAAATGTATCTTGTAACTAAAAACCCAAAGAGTATAATTCCTCGTGTATTGAGTCATTGTCATATGAATATGACTTGTTCCATTTTGTTTCCCTGGTGATACTGAGGGGTTGAACTATATAATAAAAACCAAATCAAGGTTAGTTATTTAGTTGCTAATGTGGGCTGAGTGTCAGCAGGGCAAAAGGTTATGAATAACAGTGCAAAGAAACTGAGACACAGTTGCTGTCTCTGACTTATTTTAATATTTTCACATTTAATAAGATAGATAAAATATAAAAAATTAAAATAGGCAGTATTTTAATATTTTCACATTTTAAAACTGTACAAAGAAACTGAACCATGGTTCCTTTCTCTGAAATATTGTAATGTTTTCACATTTTCTTTCAATGCCTCTTTGAAATTTAAGGTACAAGAAGCAACTCAAGGGCCAGATTGAGTTGATGTAGAAGTGTCCTACTCATATGGATGTTGTTAGAAGCATTTTATAAACAATGGTACTGACATTTAAATATTAAATATTACCATGCATATTTTAATTCTGGTGCTTATTATGAAACTAACTTCTATTCAGATTACAATGTCAGTGTGGTGGCAGATGTAATCACTCAGATCTGAGTCCAAGTCTCAGCTCTATTTTTTAGCTGAGTGAATTTGGGCATAGTATTTAAATTTTATAATCTAAGAAGGACTACTGAAATATTGTACTGTCATCAAACAAGTGTATAAAAAACATCTATTGTATTTATTATCCATAAAACATCTATTGTATTATCCATAAATGAGGCACACAGACATTTGTAACTGCTATTACTATCATAATTATTTAGAAAGATTTCTGAAAAACCTATTAGTGTTTTATTAATACATACATCTGGTAGTAGTTTGTCCTGTTAAAAATAGGTGAAATACATTTTATTATTACAAAACTCCAAATTTTAAAAATTATTTCAAGATATAATTTCCTTAGCCTAGGGAAGGAATTTTCAGTAAAGTTTTATTTAATAGTTAGAGAGTAAAAGCATGCCTATTGATATTAGAGGAAAATTAAAATCTCCACTAAAACCCTTAGTATTTAACATTTTCTGAGGCTTCTAGTAAATACATCAAGTCAACAAAGATAGATGAGTTAGAAATATGAGAAAGGAAGAAAGGACAAACAATGTTTTCAGGCAATATTATTTCTGAACATGATATTTAGAAGCCCAAGAGATTTAACTGGCAAGAGTTCCAACTTTAGTACTATCAGTCCTCACAGAGCTTGCTGGTTTTAAAGACCGGAATGAATGACAACTCAATCTATGATCAATTCTGTTTGATATAGGGTAATGAGCAGATGAAACTCACTAGTTCCTCACTGAAGAAATATATTCCCCAAATAATAATAAGATGAAATAAATATTGCTTCATTATAACACCACAAATTACAGACTTCCTAGAAATAACCCTTTAAAAAGGGGTGTGAGATATATTTAAAAATTACAAATTTATTAATGGGATAAAAAGAATCTATATAAATAGGGAGATATACCTTATCCATATAAGGGAGGATACAATATACTCAAGAAGACAATACTTAGTTTGTAAATCAAATTAAGCTCCAATCAAAATTCTAACAAGTTTTTGGTAGAACTTGACCAGATAATCTATCTTAAATCCATATAGAAAAGACTCAATAGCCAAGATTGTCCTAAAAAAGAACCAGGGAGTAGGAATTATCCTATCATTGGTTAAGATTTTATAAAGATATCATTCCTTAAAATCATACAGTATGAGTACAAGAACAAATACTGTACCAATAGAGCAGATGATGTTCATATACAAAATCATGTTATAAAAGTTTATAATAAATATGGTGTCTCAGATCTGTGGAGAAAGTGATTTATTCAATAGATGCATACTTACATAATCATACTGCATTTGTATAATTTACTCCACATAATTAAAAGAAACTCCTATTTCACACCATTCATGAAATAATTTTCAAATGAATTATAAACCTAAACATTAAAAAACCCATAAAGTATTAGAAAGAATTATAGTGTTTATGAATTTGGGAGTAAAGGAAGGCTCTGTTTAAACAAGATATAAAATACAAAAGCCTATGTTAACATAAATAATAAAAGACATAATAACAAAAGAAAATAAATGATACATAGGTCGATATAAAATTTTAAAACATTTATCAGGAATAGTACATAAATGATACCAAAATACAGATGACTTACTGGAAGAAAATATACACAAAAAATAATATCACAATTTAAAAAATTAATTACAAAGAAATGATTAGTACTCGAATAGAAAATAAATAGATGATATAACTGGGTAACTCATAGAAAAGGAAAGAGAAATGGCCAATAAGTATATACAAGGATGTTCAATCTCACTAATAATTAAGAACATACAAACTATAACAAGTGAGATATTAATTTTTTACACGTTAGAATAGCAGAAATGGAAGCTTGATGATAGCAAGATCTGGCAAAGAAATGGTAAAAAGAGTATTCACTGATGGTTATCATGTAAAATTCCACAGTCATATGTAAGGCAATTCATCATTATCTCTTTAAATCCAAAAGTACACACATTCCATGATACAGCAGTTTCACTTCTTAGCATCTATTTTACAGGAATACCCACCAATTTCCACAGGAAGGATGTTCATTGCAGTATTATTTCCACAAGAATGAGGTTCATAACAAAAAAATGAAAACATCTTAAATATATCAATATGGGGATAGCTAAATAATTATACTTTATCCAGTCTGTGGATTGCAATGCACAAACAAAAAAGAATAATGAAAATCCTTGAAAGTCAACATTAACATAATGACTCTTATACAAAACAAGTCAAACAAAAAACACAAAATAATGCTGTATATTTTCTATAGAGAAATGTGTGTGTGTGTGTGTGTGTGTGTGTGTGACTGAATGAAACAGAGTCACCAGAAATTATTCATATTATTTCAATGAAAATCATCATTTATTAATTTTGTCAAAATAAATTTATTTTATAAAGAACACAAACAGTAATATATTACCTCAAAGGGGTCATTTAAAAAATTAAATTAGTCAAAGTAATTATCATAGTTCTGGGTACATAGCAGTGGTTGTCCATTCAATGGCAACTCCTTTCCCACATGTATAAATAAATACATAAAAATTCTTAAATTTCTATTTTTAGGACATTTACCATTTGATAGAAATTCAGACAATAGTGATTATCATGGAGAACATGAATTTAGGAAATATTTCTTTGTCATTAATTGATTTGGATTTGACTCTATTTACCTAGGTCTAAAAATGTAATGTAATTTGAAGAATGGTGATAATTAAAAACAATTGGCTGGGAGAAAAAAAGAAAATCATTTTCAGTATTGGTTATACATTTACAGTGTATCTATATATATATGAATTCACCATGTGTATATGTAAATTTAAATATATATAAATTATTTACTGTACATATATAAAATTATAGAGAATTTGTGTATTATGAACGATCATCAATGAATTGGATGGACACTCAGTTCCTAAGTGTAGGTAACTACAGATGACTAAGCAGTGCAGTTGCAGGTTGTCATTTATCATTATTTGCTCATGGCAATCATTCTCAACCTGGATTGCACATAAAATTATTTGGTGAGTTTTTAACAAAACAGTGATACCAAGAGCCTCCCCCGCCACCCAGATAATCTCACTAATGCCCAGGAAATGGTAATTTGAAAAGATACTAGAAGATTTTATTATGTGGCCATTGTGAAGAATCACGGCTTTGTGGAAAACCTGTGCAGGATTTTAAACAGAGTATAGACTTGGTAACCTAGGGTAGTCTTTCCTTAATCAGAGTACTTTTATTATGTGTAGACAAAGCCTCCATTTTTTTAGTTGATTATCTCTGAATCACCATTAATAATAATGGCATTTGATTTCAAAATGAATTATAACAGGATTTTTGAATGACAACATATTACATAAGAAATTATTTGAAATTTAAAAAATCAGATACAGCTCTAAAAATTATCTGATTACCGAGTACAAATATAATTATAATGCATGCATATCACTAAATACGATGTGAAAAGTTTCTATCTCCTCACCTAGAAATATTATTATTTCATAATCACAAATTGAAAATTCCATCTTAAGATGCAAATATTTTTTATCAGTTGGCTTATAATTATTTTAATTGAATCAATTAAATGGCATTTGCACAAATGATTATGAGGTATTATGCATGCATTACAGCAAATGAACTTTAAGGTAATGTGTAAAATAACTATGGTAGAAATATTAAGTTAGAATATTTTAATGCCATTTTAAGTATAGCAATATACTATAAGCACAAAATGTTGAATACCATCACTATTATTCCTGATTAAAATATAAAGTTAGCTGTAGCCAATAAAATAATACTTAAAGTTTAAAAGGAGATTTGTTCTTATTGTTTTGTTTTTAAAGGGTAGCAGCAATATAGGTGAGATTATAGAAACAGAATGCTGATTTGATTTTTAAGAGAGAGATAATTAGACTTGCTTTATGATGCTCAAAATAATTATCTGAATTAATATATCCTATATAAATACAATTTGAGTTTCCAATGGCAATATCTTTTAAAATCCCTGTGATTTTTATGATCAAATCATTCTTTTTACCACAGGTAAATCTGATATTTGAAACAACAAAATTGTAAAAATGCTTTTTATCTATGTAGAGGTTTTTATTTCATAACAAAACTCGCTGTGGGTTTTGGGTAGACAGAATAATGAGCTACAAAGATATCAGCATCTTAATCTCAGAACCTATGGATATGTTATCTTACATGGCAAAAGGGATTTTACTCCTGTGATAAAGTAAAAGATCTTTAGATGGGAAGCTTATCCTGAAATTTCCAGGTAGGCCCAATGTAACCACAAGAGTTCTTGAAAGAGAAGTTCTTTCAAGGGCTCTTGAAAGGTAAAAGTCAAAGTTAGAGAAAGAAGATGATGATGGAAGTAGAAGATGGAGTGTTACAATTGGAAGATAGAGCAAGGGGCCACGAGCCATGGAATGCAGCTGGCTTATACAGTGGGAAAATTTTTTTTTTTTTTTTCTGTAGAACCTCCATAAGGAATGAAGTACTGCCAGGACCGCCCACACTTTGATTTTAGCTCATAACACTTATTTCAGACTTTTAACTTCCAGAACTGTAAGAGAGTTGTTGTTTTAAGCCACCAAGTTTCTGATAATTTGTTACAGCAGCAATAGGAAACTAAAACAGGTTTCAACATGCATTACATGATTTGTTTCTATTTATTATATTTTTGAGAAATATAATTATTTCTCAAAATAAGAGATCAGGCAATACCAATCCAATAGCAAAGCCTTAATGTTGTCTCCTACATCCTTGTAAAGGATACTGGTTTTGATCTTTGTGTTCAGGTCGGGAGTTCAAGACTAGCCTGGCCAACATGGTGAAACCCCGTCTCTACTAAAAAATACAAAACATAGCCAGGAGTGGTGGCTGGCCCCTGTAATTCCGGCTACTTGGGAGGCTGAGGCAGGAGAATCGCTTGAACCCAGGAGGTCAGGTTGCCATGAACCGATATTGTACCACTGCACTCCAGCCTGGGTGACAGAGTGAGACTCTGTCTCAAAAAAAAAAAAAAAAAAAAAAAAAACAAACTATTTAGCTCTGTTTTTATCTACTATATACTCAAAGTATGTGGATCATATACTTTAGTTTAAATCAATATAAATCCTTGAGAGACAATAAAATTATTTAGGGCCCTCAGAAGCCTGCAGATAACAAAGATCATATGCTTTTTTCCTAAGGAAGCCAAAAACTTAAAAAAAAATTAATGTTCTGAATAGCAAGCAACAGAATCAACAAGCCTGGAATCTCCATGTGATACATATACTTTGAGTATATAATATTGTACATGTTATCAATGTGTGAACATTATATATTAATTTACATATAATTAATGTGCATTTAAACTGACTATTTAAATTTATCATCTGTTACACAGTTGTTATTCCGATTATGTAGATTATTTAGATCAGGAAGTTTAGGATCAGAGGTGTCAAGTAAATTACTCAAAGTGACATGGTTACTAACATAGCAAGCTTGAATTCAAATCCAAGTGCTCTAAATCCAGGTGGTCTATACCCTGGCACTGCTCTGCTTGGAAGCTCCAAAGTGCTGAAATGGGTCTGTGATAACAATGACTCCCTGGCCAGCTTAGACTCTGGACACTCAGTATGAACACAGAGCTTAGTTTGCAGTGGTAGCCAGCTTCCCAGAAGACCTAAGATGATTTCTGTCTCTTGATATTCACACCCTCGTGTAGTCCTCTCCTTCATGGTATCAGGGTTGGTCTGACTGACCAATAGCCTATGGCTGTAGTGATGGGAGGTAACTTCTTTTTTTTTTTTTTTTTTTTTGAGATGGAGTCTCCCTCTGTCACCCAGGCTGGAGTGCAATGGTGCTATCCTGGCTCACTGCAACCTCCAACTACTGGGTTCAAGCAATTCTCCTGCCTCAGCCTGCCAAGTAGCTGGGATTACAGGTGCCCGCAACCACGCCCAGCTAATTTTTTGTGTTTCACCATGTTTGCCAGGCTAGTCTCTAACTTCTGACCTCAAGTGATCCACCCACCTCAGCATCCCAAAGTGCTGGGATTACAGGCGTGAGCCACCGCACCTGGCTGATGGGAGGTAACTTCTAAGTTTAGGTTATAAAGACTGTGCTTCCATCTTGTGTGTTCTCTTTGTCACTTGTGATCACTCTTGGATCATTCACTCTGAGGAGAGCCAGATGTCATGTCACGTGGACACTCAGGCAGAATATGGAGAGCACACATGGTGAAATGGTGGTTTCCAACAATGGCTTGTAAGGAACTGAAATCTGCCAACAACTATAAGAGTAAATAGGGAAGTGAATTATCAGCCCCAATCAAGCCTTGAGGCAACTATAGCCCTGGACAACAGCTCAACTCCAGCCTTATCAGAGAACCCTAGCCAGAACGACCCAGCAATGATGCCCTAAGATTCTTGACCTATAGAAACGATGAGATTAAAAAAAGTATATTGTTTCAAGCTGCTATATTTTGGGGGTAAAGTGTTATGCGGTGATAGATAACTAATAGCTACTCTTGTTGCAGCTTCAGGTGCCTGGATGTTGAGGGGCAAATAGGACTGTTCACTGAAGGAGCTAGAGAATGGAAGAGAAGGTTGTGTCAGGTAAAGAAGGAGGAGGAAGGATAGGTTTTTCTGCCAGTGGTAGCACTTCCATACGTGTCTCCTACTCTATTTGATCTACTTTATGTTTAAGCTAATGAGGTAATATAATTTGTTCCCAAATCCACCTGACGTGTTTGTGTTCATACTGTGCTTTTCCTCAGCTTTTCCCTCTTCTACATTTATGCGTCATAATTCTTTAGCCTTCCTTCTATTTCCTGCTCAGGGACCCACTCATTCTGTGAATCAATGATTCATGTATAATATTCTCCATTTGAAGTAATGTTCTCATTTGTGCTACCAAAGCTCTCTATACATTTACTCTTCTCATATTCAGCTTTTTAAAATCACAACTGGGTGTGGGTTTCTCAATTATATTTTAAGTTTTTGAGAGAAGCATCTATGAATGACTTGTTTGTTTTCTGATTCCCAAGACTTGTAGGGTTGAGTTCAACTAAAAATAAACTCTGGAAAAAATATGTATATATTTACTTGTGCTAAAGTTGTAGTTGTATCATTGTATTTCATTTTGTTCAATTTAATATAAAGAAGAAACCTGAGTCGGGATCAGAAGGAAATAATCTCACTTGGAATGATCAAATGATAATTTGATAGCCTTGGGCTCATTTTTCTTTTTCTTTCCTTTTGTTTAAAAAAACTGCTGGGCCATACACGAGTTAATAGACTCTCCTGAGCAGAATTGCAAATCTTAAGTAATATACATATAAAATCATCTTGTTCAATTCATATATCTTTTAGGGACTCGATGTAAATTATATAACAAAAGATCCGTGTTGTAGTTTAGTTTCAGGAATGTAGATAACAGGATGAATTAACTCCTGGATTTGTCATATTAGAATCTTGTCTGGAGTCTGCATCAAGACAGACAGGTTATTAGCATTTAATTCCTAGGCAAAACAAAATTTAGCACTTATTCATTTTCAAGTAGGTATTGCAGGATAAGAAAATGTCACATTTCACGTGGTATTCACATCCTAAATTGCTAGGGTTTGAGGATAATGGAGCTACTTATTCACAAAGTGGATCTTATAGAAAATGAAAGATAGTGCTTAAATTGGCCACTAAGTTCTGGCTTGTGTCAATTAATTCCTGAGAAGACTTTTTTTTTTCTTTAAACAAAACACCATGAATGCACAGCTGCAGAATAAGTGAAAAACAGTTTTGTAATATACTTTTCAATCAATTAGGCATTTAGAAAATGTACATAGCATTATTTCAGCAAATGGCCTGGACATAAACTTTTAGTGTTTGGATTAATTCCAGTAGTCTCAGAAATTGAAAGAAAATTAACCATATTTGTGGGAATTTGTTTTTACACCCTCTAGTAATTAAGGGTAATCTACCCTATTCTGAGAGTCTTTGGGCCAGTATGGGAAAAGAAAAAAAAAAAAGGGCAGTGTTCTCAGTATCTAAGCAAAAGCCCTTTTAGATACATTAAAATTCACATCTGGGGCAAAATAAATAGTGATAAATGATAATACCTGTTTTTATGAAGTGCTCTACAAGGAGATACAGAGCAAGCTAGGCATCCTTAGAAATACTAATTGTTGATGAATATTCATCTCCTAGAGGAGCTTACATTATGTGGAAATTGAATTCAAAGTATGCTTTTAAGTAGCTAGTCTGCTCAGAAAAAAAAGCAACAAGGTGACATAAATTGTTAGATTGGCAGGATTATTATTTTTGTTTATATTGTTCCTTAAACTATTTCAGCTTTGCCACTTTTGGTCTTTTAAATTAATCTTTTATATTCCTTTCTGAGAATGAAATGCATCTAAAATAAGGAGAACATTTCATGATGTCTGCATTGTAGCCAACTGCCAAATGTAATCTTTGTCTCTGTCCACAGCCCAGAGAGGGAGACCATGTTGTGGGGAAAGCAGTATGCTAGCAGTGACAAATTCTAGTCCCAGCAAAGCTGTTCTAGATTGGGTTCTGCTTCTGGCTCTGGCATTTGGGACTTTCTGACTCTCTGTCTTGTCTTGATATTCACTTATTCTCTCTGAATCTCTTTCCATTCTGTCAACAACAATATTAGAAATATTTATAATGGGGTACCATGTGCCAGGCACTCCACTTATTACCTCAATAAATTTTGAATGGCGTAGGCATAAAGGTGGCCTAATGGGTAAGTGAGACAGTTCACTGGAATCTAAAATGTAACTGTAATTGCAGTAGCATAGCCATGGGAAAATTAAATGCTGCTCTGGGCATACAAAGCTTAACACAGGGGCAGGTGAAAAAGTGGCATGGAGGAAGTGCCGCTTAGGCTGTGACATGAGGGGTGAGATAATACGCGTAAAGCAAAGTACAGACATGGACCATTATTATTATTTGGCAGATTGGCTCTATTTTAGAAGCCAAAAATGACAATTGAATCCATAAGTCTGCTCTTTGGCCCAAACTATTCACATCAGCAGTTAGAGGTGGTTAAATCTGTTTGATTTTACAAGAGATAACTTCACTATTGAATGAAAGAGCGTTTTCCCATCTAGCCAGATGCATAAAGATA
The DNA here is from genome assembly GCF_000001405.40 of Homo sapiens. Lineage (NCBI taxonomy): Eukaryota > Metazoa > Chordata > Mammalia > Primates > Hominidae > Homo > Homo sapiens. The sequence goes on along the minus strand of NC_000005.10, from coordinate 106,815,868 downwards.
GTTTAGAAGCCATTCTTATGTTCTATACAATGGATAAATTTCGTTTATTTTACTAAATAAAGTTTATTGAATTCCATGAGATACTTGAAATTATTTCTAACTGGGCAATTCTTATTTAAAAAAATAATTTTACTGGTATTAATAAAACTTATTTTTTAAAATATTACTTTTTATTGTATCTTTTAACATAGGAAATCTAGTGTTGTTATTCTGGATTGGGGCAGACAGGCATATGCATATTTTAACTTCAAGCAATAACTGCATTGAAAAGCTAACAACTCTTTCACTTTATTTCCCCTCCTCTCCTATACCTTATCCACAGATAGAAATAACAGAAGCTTTCTGAAATGAAAACAGAAATGTTACAACTTGCACCACAGTACTGGACTGAAACGAAGATGTAACACAGCCATAATAATTTAAATTAATAGCAAATAAATAAAGAAAAAAAGAACTTCATTGTGAGGACCATAGTCATGGGATAGCTCTGTCTTTTCGGGGAAAGTGGAGTAGAGGGACAGAGTCACCCCAGGAGAAAAAATGCTTAAATTAAGACTCCCTGAGAGACTGAATAAGAGTATGATTAGTTCAGCCTTGCTTTCATCCTCCACTTCCCCCTCCCACTGTAGACTTCAGTTTTAATAATGATTAAAGAATAATGCCTGAATCCCATCTGAATGGCTTTTGAGATTTAACTCACTGAATCTATTCATAGCTTTGAGCTTGTAAGGGGGACTGAACAGATCTGCACAACTAATCGTGGAATATTACACTGATACTTCATCTCCCACATCAATACCAATTACGCCTGCACAGAGAGCATCACATATTATTTTAATAGGATAGGAATTTTTAATCCAGTCAGGTAGTTCTGGATGAATGTGTTTGTATGTCTGTCATTAAAATTTGGTGGCTCATGCTGCTCAAGACAGACACATTTTGAATGTTTAAAATTTCCACAGATGTTATTTATCCATCAGGATGGAAAATTTCCTGCTCTCCAGTGTATAGATTCTGCCTCATTAACATAAATAAAGAATAAGGCATAACAACAACAATCTTGCTTAATGTGTACACACAGAAATATTGTCATAGGCATCTGGCAATCAGTTGGAGACGGTGAAAACTGCTAAATGAATGAAAGTGGCAGAACTAGCAGAAGTATGAGATCCCATACTGGAGAAAAAGGCTCACTGTTAAAATATTTTGTTTCTTTGTTCTACTCCTTTTTTATTTTCAAGGCATTTTATTCAGCTTGGACCTTCAGATAAAAGGCACCTTTACCTATTATTTGAGCTGTTAACATTATTTAAAAATTCCTTCCCTTAATTGAGAAGTAAAGATAAATTTCTCTCAAAGCTATTTGGTTAAAAAATCATAAAGAAGAATGCTAACTTTTTAACAGCAGCATCTATATGTCACAGGCATGATTTGAGATCGTGATTGTAAAAGAAATACAGCTAATAGCGGTATATCCCTTGTTCCATTCAAGAAAATACCTTTACAGAAGTTTGAATATTACATTTGAAATTCTTTTTACTATTCATTTATAAACTTTGCAAGTTTCTAAAATCTAGGGAATGATAGTAAGACAGTTTTGGTTTTGACTTCAATAAGAGCTTATAAAAATCGAATGGAAAATTTTCATTAATGATACATGCATTTTTCACCGTCTTTCTTTAGACAATGTTGGCCACTTTGCTACTTCATGTTGACTCTTTTCATTTCTATATTCTAAACTAGGCAGAAAGCTTTCTTGAGGGCAAGGATCATGCTTTATTCGTCATACATAATGATGGATTCAGAGGAGACATGTTATGTATTTTCTTTTTCTTCGTGAGCAGATTAAAATGCTATGTTCTTTGCCTGAGGTTATAAATAATTAGATATTTGAATTGACAAGATAAAAACAGATACAAAATCTATTACAAAAGTTATGATTCTAAAAACATATGACACACAAACAGAGTATTTTAGCTATCTGAAAAACTAATTGCCCAAGAAACCAGCACTGAAAAAGCAGAATTTGATATTAAAAACACATTACAATTCACATTAGCATCTCCCAAAGTAAAATACTTATGTATAAATCTAACAAAATATGTATAAGGTCTATGTAAGGAAAACTATAAAACTCTGATATAAGATATCAAATAATAAATAAATTGAGAGATAGCTCATTTTTATGGATAGGAAGACTCAATTTTGTCAAGATGTCAATTCCTCCCAACTTCATCTATAGAACCAAGTCAGTCTGAGTCAAAATCTCATCATGTTATTTCATGGCTATTGACAAACTGATTTTGTCAAAAGACCTGGAAGAGCCAACTCATTGTCGAAGGAGAAGAATGAAGTGGGAGAAGTGACACTACCTGACTATAAGACTTACTTATTATAAAGCTACAGTAAAAAATAATAGTGTGGTATTGACAAAAAACAGACAAATAGATCAATGGAACAGAATATGGAAACCCAGAAGTAGACCCATATAAATACAGTAAACTCATCTTTGACATAAAACAAAGGCAATACAATAAAGCAAAGATAGTTTTTTTTTTCAGCAATGGGTGCTGGAATAAATGAACATTTGTACACACACACACACACACACACACACATATAAATCTAGGTACAGACCTTACACCTTTCACAAAATTTAACTCAAAATGGATTATAGACTCAAATGTAAAATGCAAAACTATAAAACTCCTAGATAATAATCTCTGAGAAAATCTAGGTGACTCTGGATATGATGATGAGTTTTTAGACCTGATACCACAGGCATGATCATAAAAAAAAAATAGTGTTGGAAGTTCTGACCAGGGCAATCAGGCAGGAGAAAGAAATCAAAGGTATTCAATTAGGAAAAGAGGAAGTCAAATTGTCCCTGTTTGCAGATGACATGATTGTATATTTAGAAAACCCCATCGTCTCAGCCCAAAATCTCCTCAAGCTGATAAGCAACTTCAGCAAAGTCTCAAGATACAAAATCAGTGTGCAAAAATCACAAGCATTCCTATATACCAATAACAGACAAACAGAGAGCCAAATCATGAGGGAACTCCCATTCACAATTGCTTCAAAGAGAATAAAATACCTAGGAATCCAACTTACAAGGGATGTGAAGGACCTCTTCAAGGAGAACTACAAACCACTGCTCAAGGAAATAAAAGAGGATACAAATAAATGGAAGAACATTCCATGCTCATGGGTAGGAAGAATCAATATCATGAAAATGGCCATACTGCCCAAGGTAATTTATAGATTCAATGCCATCCCCATCAAGCTACCGATGACTTTCTTCACAGAATTGGAAAAAACTACTTTAAAGTTCATATGGAACCAAAAAAGAGCCTGCATTGCCAAGACAATCCTAAGCCAAAAAAACAAAGCTGGAGGCATCACTCTACCTGACTTCAAACTATACTACAAGACTACAGTAACCAAAACAGCATGGTACTGGTACCAAAACAGAGGTATAGACTGATGGAACAGAACAGAGGCCTCAGAAATAATACCACACATCTACAACCATCTCATCTTTGACAAACCTGACAAAAACAAGAAATGGGGAAAGGATTCCCTATTTAATAAATGATGATGGGAAAACTGGCTAGCCGTATGTAGAAAGCTTAAACTGGATCACTTCCTTACACTTTATACAAAAATTAATTCAAGAAAACCTAGGCAATACCATTCAGGACATAGGCATGGGCAAGGACTTCATGTCTAAAACACTAAAAGCAATGGCAACAAAAGCCAAAATTGACAAATGGGATCTAATTAAAATAAAGAGCTTCTGCACAGCAAAAGAAACTACCGTCAGGGTGAATAGGCAACCTACAGAATGAGAGAAAATTTTTTGCAATCTACCCATCTGACAAACAGCTAATATCCAGAATCTGCAAAGAACTTAAACAAATTTACAAGAAGAAATCAAACAACCCCATCAAAAAGTGGGCGAAGGATATGAACAGACACTTTTCAAAAGAAGACATTTATGCAGCCAAAAGACACATGAAAAAATGCTCATCATCACTAGCCATCAGAGAAATGCAAATCAAAACCACAATGAGATATCATCTCACACCAGTTAGAATGGCAATCATTAAAAAGTCAGGAAACAACAGGTGCTGGAGAGGATGTGGAGAAATAAGAACACTTTTACACTGTTGGTGGGACTGTACACTAGTTCAACCATTGTGGAAGACAGTGTGGCGATTCCTCAAGGATCTAGAACTAGAAATTGCATTTGACCATTACTGGGTGTATACCCAAAGGATTATAAATCACGGCGCTATAAAGACACATGCACACGTATGTTTATTGTGGCACTATTCACAATAGCAAAGACTTGGAACCAACCCAAATGCCCATCAATGATAGACTGGATTAAGAAAATGTGGCACATATACACCATGGAATGCTATGCAGCCATAAAAAAGGATGAGTTCATGTCCTTTGTAGGGATATGGAAGCTGGAAACCATCATTCTCAGCACACTATTGCAAGGACAGAAAACCAAACACCACATGTTCTCACTCATAGGTGAGAATTGAACAATGAGAACACATGGACACAGGAAGGGGAACATCACACACCAGGGCCTGTTGTGGGGTGGGGGGAGGGGGGAGGGATAGTATTAGGAGATATACCTAATGTAAATGACTAGTTAATGGGTGCGGCACACCAACATGGCACATGTACACATATGTAACAAACCTGCATCTTGCGCACATGTACCCTAGAACTTAAAGTATAATAATAAAAAAATTGATAAACTGGATTTTATTAAAAATAAAAACTTCTGCTATGTAAAATGCAAATTCAAGAGGGTGAGAAGACAAACCACAGATGGGGAAAATATTTGCAAAAGACAAATATAGTAAAGAACTGGAATCCGAAAAATGTAAAGATACCTTAAAACTTAACAATAAAAAATGATCAACCAGATTAAAAAATGGGCAAGAGACCTGAGCAGACACCACCCCAAAGAAGATATACAGATGACAGGTCAGCATATGACAATATGTTCTATGTCATATGTCACTAGGGAATTACAAATTCTGTTAAAACAACAAGGAGATACCACTATATACCTGTCAAAATAGCCCAAATCTGAACTGCTAACAACACCAAATGCTGGCTTAGCTATGGAAAAACAGGGACTCTCATTCGTTACTGATTAAAATGCAAATACTACAGCCACTTTAGTAGACAGTCTGGCAAATTTTTAACAAAATGAACTTACTCTTACTATACAATCCAGCAATTGCCTTCCTTGATATGTGTCCAAATGAGTTGAATATTTATTTCCGCACAAAACTATACATGAATGTTTATAATAGCTTTATTCATAATTGCCCAAACTCAGAGGCTGCCAAGATATCCTTAAGTTGGTGAATGGACAAATAAACTGTGGCACATCCAATAGAGTATTCTTAAGTGCTGAAAAGAAAGGAGCTTTCAAACCATGAAAAGACATACAGAAAATGTACATGAATATTACTAAGTAAAGGAAGAGTATCTGAAAAGGTGAATACTGTATTATTCCAACTATATGACATTCTGGAATAGGCAAAACTATGGATAAAATATTAAGATCATTGATTGCCAGGGGTGATGGGGAGGGAGTGTTGAATAGGCACAGTATAGAGGAATTTCAGGGCAGTGAAACTATGATATTATAATAATGAATACATATTATTTAACATTTGTCAAAACCATAGAGTATACAACACCAAGAAGGCACTCTAATGTAATCAATGGACTTTGGGTGATAATGTCCTGTTGATATAGTTTCCCAGATTTTAACAAAGGTACTGCTGTGGTGTGAGATGTGGATAGTGGGGAAGCCTGTGCATGTGTGGGACAGGGGGCATATAAAAACTCTGTACTTTTTGCTCAATTTTTCTGTGAACCTAAATCTTCTCTAAACATAAAGTGTATTAATTTAAAAATCAAATTTTTAAGTGACAAACATAAATGTGAACATTATTCAAGTCCACTCACTCATTTTTACTTTTTCTGATAGTTAAAACTTCAAGTTCCAGTTGGCAAAGAAAGGGCCTTTGGTAAGTATTTCATTTTGTTGTTGTATTGTGGAGGATTAAGTCGGGCATTTTAAATTATTTCTTTACTTTTTACAAGACATAAGGCAGACTTCTTTATTTACATGTAGTCTTAAACAGCCACTACATCATTCAGGGTACTCTTTGCAAGCAACAGAAACCAGCTTTTGGTAGTGTAAGTAGTAAATGAATTTCTTAAAAGGATATTATGAAGCTCACAGAATTTTTGAGAGTTCAAGAAAATGGGACAAGGAAGCTACTCAGCCAGAAGCAGGGCTTCAGATCTCTCTGTGGACCTGATCCTGTGAAAACACCATGGCAACTGCCTCTGGTCACAGACACTGCAGCTTGTATTTCCAACATCACCAACTTTGGGCACACAGTGCCTCTTTTTGAATCAGCAATTGATGCCTCTGAAAATTGAATGAGCCATTATTATTGTCACTTATACCATTCTTGACAGAATTGATGCTGCTCAGCTTCTGCTTCATCTTTTCATCCTTAGTTTTCATTTGAGCTGCTGGAGAATTGAGGCTTCAAGAACTCTGGTTGGTTGAGGCTATGTATGACTTATTTTGTCCTAAATCCAAGAAAGCTCAGGAAAGTGACACTCTCACATTTTTCATTTCTAGGTGAAAAGGTGTTTATACCCTGATCACTCAAAAAGAAAAACACAAATCTCCTACACAATGATATGTATATACCATCAGCTACATAAATGATAATCACATGCATTTTTAACCAGGAAAATATATTGCTATTTACCTGGTGCCCCATTTGTTGCCATGCTGGACCGTGGCTTATGATGATATTGATATTACGGTTTTATCCTGGTTTTGTTTTAATGGGCAAGTGAGTGATGACAATGAGCTTCTGTGTCAGTAGGGTATATTATAAATTGGAGAAATAAGACTGATGGCTGAAGAACAGAATTAGATAACTAGTAGTGAGAATGTATGCAATGTTCCATACATTTGTTTATTTATTTAGGTAGGTAGTTTGTTCAGAACTCCTCTGAGAATTTGTTGAATTCTTGGTCATTGATGCCAGAGAATGTACATACTTATGAAATTATGCAAAACTTGATAGAGGAATAAGCCTGGATCAGAAAAACTTGAAGTTGTCAAATAATTGGATGTGGAAATTGAAAAAACAGGAAAAGCCACTAAATCCTTAAATGTTTCAAACCTGAATGATGACAATAAACAAGAAAATGATGAAGTTTTTATGGTGTGGATAAATATTGACACTTCCCTTTAAATTGGAATCAAAACCAGGCTATTGTAAATGGCTAAGCATCATGTCTTTCATAGTTGTGTGCTGAGTAGTTGGAGGATGCAGAATTTTGGGCAGGACTTTCATTATAGGTTTTGGATAGAACATCTTACAGAGCTGACTTTGGAGGGATGTGGCCATGTGCTCTTAGACTGAAGAGAATAACAGAAAAAGCATGTAGAGAATGCTGATGACTTTGCTCACATATAGTCTTTATTGTATTCAGCCCGAGTTTTAGTAAAGTGGTATTTCTTTGGCACCTTTGAAGTGTTTCAAAATTATTTTCTAATAGTAAATTAAGTACTGTTGAAAATTTGCTTCACTTTTTCTTCCATATAGCAATAACCTCTGTCATTGCTGAAGGAGGGTAAATTTACATAGCTCCAGCCACCATGACTAGATTTTTATTATACTGGGTTATAAAGAAAATAAATGGAATTATCTTGGCTCAAGGTCATTTGCAATAGGATAAGATACCATCAATTTAGACAGTTTAGTTGCCAGTCTCATTATAAGTTGAAAGAGACAAGCTGACCTCTCAAACTACTTCTCAAGATAAATTCATAAGCTTTTATGAGCTATCAATCCCCCAAACTCATTATCCAAGACTGATGTCCTAGTCCTTTTGTTACTATTAGAATATGGTGAAAAGCTAGCCCCTAAACATTATTTTCTCCCTTCTGCTGGGATTAGAATTAGTAGATGATGTAGAGAAATGAAAACTAAATGTCACGATATGTTCACAAAAAAGATGAGATGGCCATTTGATGGATATTTGTACAATTCTACATCTTTAGCTTGATTCATCTTTAGAGCCAAAGAGATTGAATTAATAACACAAATTATGCAATTCATATATTGTATCTCTTTGAGGCAGATAAAGATAATTATTTATAGTTACTTGAAATTCATTTAAAATTTAGTTAGATGTATAATTAAGAAGGATAATATTTTAGAATATGTAGTATGAATACTTGCCAGTTTTATTTAGCATTATTCAGAACCTATTAGTCGATAAAAAATGAGAATTTTTAATGTAATGTTAATTTATTTGTTAATGAAAAATTGACAATTAACTTTGAATAAGTAAATTAAATTGTTTTACAATAATACAATAATATTATTGTATTACACATTACAATATATTACACATATATATGTTTAATCCAATAACACAATGGATTAAACATATATTTTAATTTTATTTAATTTTATTATCCAATAATACAATGGATTAAACATATATATGTGCGCATAGCATCTCTATTATCCATATATGCATATTCATATTATGTTACACTCTCCACATGTTTATATTTAGTCCATTTCAAATAATGTATTTTTTTTTTGTAATTAGAGTGCATTTTGGTAATGCGCTTTCTTAAAAGAAAAATATCAATCAGTGCATTGGGTCATTGAAATTTAGAGCCAGAAGGAATAATAAGAATTATATAATAAAATCATCAAACCTGACTTTTTACAGATGAAAAGTCAAAAGAAATGAAAAGATTTGTCCACTATCATGGGAAGATTTGTCCACTATGATCAGTTTGATCAGAAGGGTCTCAAACTGATTTCCTAGTTCATAGTTCAGTCTGCTTCCCACTATATAAATTAAAACTTCCTATTTTTCTATCTCAAGAAGAGAAGGAAAACCAGCTTTAGCGCACCAAGAAATCTTTTGTAACTTTCCATTTTGGAGTTCTTTAATTAGTAGAGACCATGATGGTAATCTGTATTAGCCCAGTTATATTACAGAGTCTTCATACACGTGGATGTTGGATGCAAACTTCTGTTGTTCTGAACCTTTATTAAATAAATATATTAAAAAATTCAATTTGTTTTTATTTTCTTTCCTTGCTTGAGTTCACTTCAGTTAATAAGTGTCTTCCATTGGGTCAAACCAAGAAGTCTCAGTCTCTGCAGGTTTGAAGTTCTTTAGCCATAGCTTTAGCTAGCCAACGCATTCTCTCTGTAGAGGTTCTCTACTGAGATTTCAAGATTTGACTCTACAAAGACTGATAACAGAGGTTTTCTAGGTGTCCTGTTACCACATAACTAAATGCTAAATGTCTTACTGCCCTCTTGTTTATGTTAAGGTCTCCTTTAATAGTTAATTGCATAATAATGTTTGTGAAATTGCTATAGAATCATTTACTATTAACTATTTAAAGTCTTAAATGCACCCTTGTTCAAATAAATATGTTTCTGAGATGGTTGTTAAAGCAATTTGCTTTTCATAGCTAGTGACTTTTACAGACTTAGTAAGTCTGGATAGGACTATAAAATGATTAAAAGGTATTCATCACTCCGATTTAATTTTATTTAATAGCTGATATTTCTTAAAAATTAAAATGACTATTTTTAAATTAAAAATGGGAAAAATGTTTACTCTAAAAAGTCATTTATTTTTTAAAAGACTGGTCCATTGGTATAAGTACAGATTCTGAAAGAGCTAATGCTTTATCTGAGTCACAGCTACAATTGAAGAGAAAAAGGAAAACAGGAAAAAACAAATTGCAATGAGGGCAGATTGCTATTTGGAAAAATATAATGATTAATCTAATTTAGCTCATAACTGACATGTATTAAAACCTAAGTTATTTTTGAGTCAGTAGAAAGCCAAAGTACAAAAACAAGTGATACAATCCTGCATTACAAAAATGTTTTTTCAATTCATGTATTAACTTTATAAGGGAAATTATTTCAGATTTTTATATGTATTATTTGACAATAAACTACTTATACAATTTTAAATGTTTATTTATTGCAATGTGAAAATTGCAAAACGTTTATAGAATCAAGACAAAGCCCATGCCATTGCTTTTTTCAGCCATTACAATTTTTTTTTTTTAATGTGTTGAGATTTATAATAGTGCATAGTTTTGTTGAGCCAGATAAGAAAGAATCCACTGGTTTTTGTTAACTGGAAAGACTAAATAAAAACAGTTCAAATATTATTTGATTCATTTCCTTATTTCTTTATCTTATACTACCTGCTCTCTCCAACATCTTGATTTAAAAAGTCTCAGATTCTTTGTATTTACATGTTTATGGGGGACAACAAAAATGAAAACAACAATCTATGAAGCTATTGCTCAAATCATGTTTAAATGTATTGAAAGGTTCTGATGTGAAACATTATTTTTTGTATCAAGAAGATAACATAATGATTAATATCCCAGTCCCTGTCGCCAGAATGCTGGGGTTCTAAGCCTTGCTCCACCACTTAAAATTTGAGAGAACTTGAACCAGTTACTAGACTATCAATGCCTGTTTCCTCAGCTACCAAACAGGAATACACATAGACCCTACCTTCTTGGTTTTATGTGCAAGAGTTAAATCTGGTAAAGCATGTTTAGTATGGTGGTCTATACTGACATATAGGAAGCATTCAATAAATATTTGTTTTCTTATAAGGTGAGTTTAGTTCTATTTTTATGAGAGGAAATTCCCCTTGAAAATGCAAATTTCTTGAGATACATATTTTGTTTTACTCATGGGTACTTTAATAATATTGTAATTTCCATATGGAAAGAAATAGAAATTTGCATGAAATAATTTATATTCAACCTTCAGTTTATTTCTGAAGAATCCTTAAAGAATCTACAAGGGTCAGAAATTAATTCTAACCTGAAACAATTGACTCATTTATTAGAGGGTATATCTCCTCTTAAGTGGATGGGATCTTTTGATCTCTATGAGAGCTGTATGTAGAATTGAAGATATAAAAATCTATCAAATATTTCATTATTAACCTCAAATTATAAGTCTGTATCCTGGTGAAATTACCCTTTCACTCTAGATTTCCTGGAAACTCTGTTTCATAGAATAGAGATTTAATTCTCATTCTTCATTTTGAAAGAAAATTAGACCAGAAACCCAGGCTCTTTGGGGTATATCTGCATGTTCACCAAATAACGGCTGCCTGGACAAATAACACATTCTTTGTTGTATCCAGGACCTATAGCAACATCTGTCTTCTTGTCCATCTTTCTCTTTCATGAAATAAAGCAACCACCCCAAGTGGCTAAAAGGCATACAGATCCCAGTTATGCACACTAAACATATGTACGGAAACAGTCTATGGCTAATTTTATGGCCTTTAGATGCAAAACTGGGTGACGCATATCTCCAGGCACCAAAATCAGGATGGAGACAATGCTTCTTTCTTCAGTGCTTCTTTTTTTGCTTTTTTACGTCTTTATATCAATAAAAGAATATCTTCACATTGCTTGAACATACCAGGTGTCAATGAAACTAGAGGAGGTATTTTTATTCATTAATTTTCCAATCTGGAAAGTGTAGACAGTGAGTGTAACATCAGGCATAAGATAAATGAGACTCTGCTTACTCTCACAATTTAGTGCTAAAGTTAAAATGCTAATTCTTTAAGCCACACTTTCCTCTCAAACTCTAGCCACTTTGATAGTTGAAACTGTTGACTGTATGCAGCAAAAATGTTTACAATAAAATATTGAAAAAAATGCAGCTCCTTGCAATATAATTGCACTGATTATCCATAGCTTTCATGTGATTTTTCACCTTCAGAAAATTCGTTAATTCGTGATGAGTGGTGATGACTATTCTTTATATGTACTATAAGGATCTAAAATTCAAATTCCTACACAGTAAAAACAAATGACCCACATCAACATGTAGATCAAGATAGATATCTCTATCTGGGTAATATTCCAATTCTTAGGATTTTCTTTAAAAGACACGCAATGTCTATGAGAGTTTAACATTTCAACACATTTGCCAGTAAAATAAAAATATTCTGGGATTGATCTCCCATTCCAAATGTAGCAATAAAATGTACAGTTCTGTGATTATGTAAAATTTCTCATTAGCCTATTTTTGCATAACCACTTTAAATGAATTAATCAATTTTGACCACATTTTATATACAATTAAGCATATTAGGATCTGCTTGGAGTTGTTCAGGTCCCGCAAGGAAACAAGACAGCACTCTCAGGGATTGAAATGGGTATATTTGGTAAATATTTTGATACAGTTCTCCATATCTAGAAGGGATACCAGATTGCATAGCAATATACTCATTTTATAGATGATGCTTGAAATAAGACCCACTCAATGTCACATGTATAGTTAGTGGCCTAACAGGGATTAAATCCCAAGTCTCTTCTCTGAATTCACTTATCTACTCACCACAAGAAATGCAATGAAAGTTTCTCAGTGAGTAGAGACTCTACATATTTCAGGTGATAATAACTAGGTCTGTAACTGCCAAATTTTTTAAAATACTTTGGTCTATAACTTCTAATTTTTTAAAAATTCCATTAAAATATATATTTCATATACTATAATTGGCAAAAACTACAGTTACTTTTGCACAAAGCTAAACACACACACACAGAAAGAGAGAGAAATAGAAAAATATCCAAGGTAACAATATCTTCTATAAAATGATATCAAAGCTCATAGACAATGATTTTTAAAATTATTCTTCAAATAAAATATTTTGGTTAGCAATTGATCTTTTGACTGAGTGGAAGAAAGTACAACAGTAAGTGACATAGTGTTATTATATACCATTTAGAATCTGTGATGATACTGAATGTCAACTTGATTGGATTGAAGGATACAAAGTATTGATCCTGGGTGTGTCTGTGAGGGTGTTGCCAAAGGGGATTAATATTTGTGTCAGTGGGCTGGGAAACACAGAGCTACCCTTTATCTGGGTGGGCACAACGAAATCAGCTACCAGTACAGCTAGAATATAAGCAGGCAAAAAATGTGAAAAGATAGACTGGCCTAGCCTCCCGGCCTACGTATTTCTCCCGTGCTGGATGCCTTCTGCCCTCGAACATCGGACTCCAAGTTCTTCAGTTTTGGAACTCGGACTGGCTCTCCTTGCTTCTCAGCCTGCAGATGGCCTATTGTGGGACCTTGTGATCGTGTGAGTTAATACTTAATAAATTCCCGTTTATATACATGTACATACACACACATATATATTCCGTTGTTCTGTCCTTCTAGAGAACCCTGACTAATACAGAACCTCTTTGTGTGAAGTCTCCACTGACTCAATTTAGGGAATAGTTTAGAAATATGTTCATTGGCTTTAGTTTCTTACGATATACTTTATTAGTGTTGATTTTGGCATGTTAATTTGTTCTAAGTAAGCACTTAATTTGTTCTAAGTAAGCACTCTTTATTAGTGTTGATTTTGGCATGTTAATTTGTTCTAAGTAAGCACTTAATTTGTTCTAAGTAAGCACTCTGTCCATTATTTAATGTGCCTACTACAATTATTTATAGAAAATTATAATTTCATATGTATGTGAAAAGTCTATCAATTGACCTCATGCAAGGAGTTGGATATGTGCATTTGTAATCATCATACCACAGTTCTTAATTCATCATTTCAGACACCATTGAAGAGTATTGTAGTATTGAGAGGCATTTTGGCAAATAGTAAATGAGAATAAAAGAACCTAGTTCAAACTGAAAATTAAACTGCATTTCTAAATGCTTTAATATAAGAGAGCAAGTTCATTGCTTTTTAAAGTGTCTGGCCATTTCATTTAATGAATAATCTATTTATTGTTTATAATATACTAGATTTCAATTTTTCTGACTTAATGGGAATGAATACATGATGTCAGTGTATCGTCTTGTGTTTTTTCCTTACATTTGAAAGATCTCCTTCAAAATGATAAACTACACCAGGATAGATTTCTGCTATTCTTCTGGTTCTCAGGAAATGTATGAGGTTGAATGTAAATTGAACAGGAAATGGTGAACAGTGTGGTTTTCAGACTGCGCATACTTCCTAAGAATCTAAATTTGGAAAAGAGACGTTGAAGTTTGTATCTCTTGATTCACATTTTGTTGTTTAAATATTAAAATGCAAATGTTAGAGTTTTTTTTTTATTGGAGCAGTCTGATAACTGGTAGGTTCTGATTCTCCTTAAAATAATTATACTAATTAATCCCACTAGTATGATGTTGAAAATCTGGTTAATTTCACAATAAATATGTCTGCTCCTCACTCCTTCAAATACATAGATTCATTAGCTTGTTTGAAAGACTTTATACAAATTTCCTTCTCAGTAAAAATCTGACACAGATTAAACTCTAACATATCGTAGGCAACTCTTCTTATATCTAAAGACAACTGTTTACCACAAACTCCTCAAGTTTTGACTATGAGAATAAGATATTTTAAATAATTTAACTGTACATGTTAAGTTGCAAGACATTTTAATACCCTCTCAAGAGTCATGGCTATTGTGACAAATCCATCAAAATATGGAGTAAGCTGCATTTTCAAAATCTTTTGTGACTGAATATGTTTCTATGTTTATTAAGGAGATGTATCATATTAGGAATTATAGTGTCGCCACTAACAAAATCAGAGTAATTCAAGAACCTTGATGAACTGAGGAGATGGGAGCATTATGAAAGAAGTAAGTTTAATCAAACTGAGAGTAATGTAGTCTTAGAGGTGAGCAGGGAAAAAGAGGAGCTAAATTATTCCTTTTCTTATTCCCTATAAACTTTATTATATTATCTGCTGGTTTGATTTTTAATGGAAAGGGGAGACTGGTTCTTTAAAGGGCTTTGAACCTGTTTCAATAAGAAAAATGGGATAGCTCTCACCTATGTAATATTTTTTGGATAGGGTACCCCAAATAATCAGGGAGAAGCAGACCTTCAAATCTTTTAAAATTATTGCCATTGAGCATGTGAAGTCTTCTTCCTCAGGGCCTACCCAACCCACATGGGCCATGTATTATCATGGCCCTTGCTCATGTATTGTAAATCAGTGTAGTGGGTTGAATAGTGGCCTCCAAAACTATATGCCCCAGATCAAATCTCTGGAATCTGTAAATGTTGCCTTATTTAGAAAAAGAATTGTCATAACTGGAATTAAATTAAGGGTCTTGAAGTGAAGAGATCATCCAGGATTTTTTGAGTAGGCCCCAAATCCAATGGCAAGTGTCCTTGAAAGAGATAAATGGGAGGGATTTGTGAGGCAGAAGCAGAGTAAGTGATACGAAGACAGAGAAAAGATTAGAAGAATGTGGCCACAGTCAAGGAAGCCAAGGAATGACAATGGCTACCAGGCTCTGGAAAAGGTAAGGAGAGATTACCCTACAGCGTTTAGAATTCAGACTTCTGACCTCCAGAACTTTAAAAAAGAATACATTTTTGTTGTTTTAAGCTACCTAGTTTGTGGTGACTTGTTAGGGCAGCCCTAGGAAGCTAGTAGAATCTCTAAGTATTGCAGACAAACTATTTGCACCCATGTTTTCCCTTTCAAATAAAATGGACAAGGGGTTAATAAATGCTGCTATTACAATACTGATGTTTCTTCTCAGATCTAATGAATTAGCTCCAACAGAACTTCCTAATTTTACTAACTCAATCATTTTAGAATCATGTATTTCGTGTTCCTGAAAACATTCTATGATTTTTAAAGTGATCTCTGTCTTATTTAAAAACAATTAAATATTCTCTTCCTGAATAAGATGAGGAAGAGAGGCAAATATGGCATGCCATAAGACACATATTTGGCTTTGGGATTATTTATGGGAATGGCTATTATCAAACAATTTCCTTCACATCCAAATTTGCACAATCTTTTGAAATTCAGACACAAATATAGTAACTGCTAGAAGTTAGAATCATGTCCTCAGTAACCTAGAGGATGAAGTCATTTTGATGTACTCATCATCACATTGATGGTTGCACAGCGAATTCACAAATGTATGTGTGTTTAGTAATATATGTATCCATATATATACACATAAATATAATCCCTGTTACTCAAATCTATCATCTGTCTATCTAATCTGTGCATATATTGTAATTTCTAAGGTCCAAGGACATATTATGAAGCTGATATGATTTCTATTATATTTAGAAGTTTCTGGAAAGTAATACAAAACGGGCAACAAATGCAAATTGTATACATATGGCTTTTTCCTCCTAGACATTATCAACCTTCATGCTCCTTTAGCCTTGAGAAAAAAGTAGCAATAACATTGGTCACCTAGCCACCTCAGTTATATCCTGTCATTCACTGCATCCAGCTCACCTTCCAGTGGTTGTACACTATTACAAAATACCTGTCCTGTTCACTTCCTCCCTGAGCTTGGTGCAGTCTTTGCCTTTGTTGTTCTTGTTTAACAGTGTCCTGGTAGTTTATTAGTAACACCGGAATCCTTTACCATTTCTTTGAGAAATAGTTTGATATCTTGCAATTCTTGAAGCATATATAAAACAGATTTAAACGGTGCCTTCTTTATGGGTGTCTATCCCTGCCTCAATGGAATGCCAATGGTATTTTATCAAACTAAGAAATAAACAGCTTGTTGAGGTCATTTGTTACAAGAGCCCTGTGGAACCAGATCATTGTGATTACCAACACAGTAACATTTCAAACAGATTTTTTTTCTATTTTTAAGTAAAATAGTGAAAATATGTAATATATAAGATAATGGGGAAGTCATATGAAATGGTGGTCGTCTGCAGGTAGACTGGATGGGTTTAAATTCCAGTTGGATTATTTACTAACAGTGTGACCATGAAAACATTGTTTAACTTCTATCAGTCATCTACAAAAAGGTGGCATTTATTGCATAGGATTGGTGTGAAGATTACATGAAATGAAGAACATTGGGTACTAAGGATAATATCACCTAGTAACAGTTCAATAAACCAATATTATAGTCATAAAAGGGAAAGTATCTTTGAATAGATTAAGTGAGATGCAATAGAATATTATAAATGTAGAATAATGTATAAGACTGTGTGACTAAATGTATGTATTTCTAAGTTCTTCAGTGTCTTGCATTCATAAGTAAGCAATTCAAATTTATGTCTTATTTTTTCCAGACAATTAATTTTGGATTTTAAGCCTTTTTTCAACGTTAAAACCCTGTCTTGAAAGTATCTTGAATTCCAAATGAAAGAGGTCTGAAAAGAAGGATTATTGTATATTTTCCATTATGAAGGTTAACAATGGAGAGTATACTATATGTCAACTTATTGTAATTGTATAAAGAATTTTTTTTCAGAATTATTCTCAGTATCCAGTCTCAAGTCTTATAGTTAATCTTGTTTTCTTTTCATTATGTTTTTATTGTGTTCTCCAATTTTATTCTTCTGGAAGGTTTACAGTTTTCTCTCAATAAATGAATGCCTTGGTTCTTTACGGCTGCAATAGGAGAATATGCAGTTGTTCATAACGATTTGCCAGTGGCTAATCTCAAGTTTTTCTTAGTTTGCAACAAGCACTGGATACCTGCAGGGAGGTGCCAGTGGAAACGTGCTGAGATAACAGCTCTGCTTACAGTCCTTTCAGATATACACTAATCCCACTGTGCTGAGGGATTAAGGGAAGAAAAGATGGGTTCATGACTCAGAGAATTTAGGTAAGGTTTTTTTTACCCCTCTGCTTAAAAACAAGTGACAAAGCCCATAAAAATGGCTTATTTGAAACTGTTACTCTCCTATTTCAATTTTAGTCAAATGCATTCCTGAAGCTGGGAGGAAGACAGAGCTCTGATGTGACTTAGCTTGTATGAATCATTTGAACATTTCTGCAAATAATGAGGGCGTTTATAGGTAAGAATAAAAGTAAATCGTTTGGGTTGGTGAGCAGGGTGCAATGACAACAGTAAGAAATAACTAAACAGCCTGAGAATTAGTAAAAGCAAAATAGAGTATGATGAGGAACCAGTGAACAAAGCTAACAGCCACCCTAGGCCATGTAGGGGAATATGACCCATGGTGCCAGGTGAACATCTGTGCCTAAATTTTGTTCTTTAGAAAGGACATTGGAAAGACTAGCTCACAGTTTGTTTAATGGATATTTAATACATTAATGCCAAACAAATACCTAATCCTGGGACTCCTCAGTACCTGCCAACTTCCCTTCGATCGTGGAACATTCAGGGTGTTTTGGATTTGTTTCTCAGCTGTTCATAAAAATGTATCAAGGTAGAAAGAACTAAGAAAGATATTGAGGCAAACAAGGGCATCTCAGGAAAGCAAACCCACTCTAGCACTAATATATCACATGTATTAGATATGCCACCGACCTCTCATTAAAAGGCTAAAAACTAGCACACATGAACTAATGGCTCGATAATTGAGTGTTGGTAAGGATGGCATATTTTCAGCATGCTCTTTAATGAGGAAAAATGCTGTAGCATTAAAGCAAAAATAAGAATAAATACTATCTTCCATTCTTCCATGCTTTTTAAAACTCTCACTCTCTTTCTTTTTTTTTTTTTTTTTTTTTGTTTGAAACAGAATTTTACTCTTATTGTCCAGGCTGGAGTACAGTGGTGCTATCTCGGCTCACTGCAACTTCCGTCTCCTGGGTTCAAGCGATTCTCATGCCTTAGCCTCCCGAGTAGCTGCGATTACAGGCACCTGTCACCATCCCCAGCTAATTTTTGTATTTTTAGTAGAGACGGGGTTTCACCATGTTGACCAGGCTGGTCTTGAACTCCTGACCTTAGGTGATCTGCCCGCTCCGGCATCCCAAAGTGCTGGGATTACAGGCGTGAGCCACTGCACCCAGCCGATCTTCCATGTTATAGTCTATGGGTAGAATTTCACATTCACTGCAGTTTGGAAAAGCCCAGTCTTTTAGGGAGAATTGGAAATACTTTGAAAATTGATGCCTAATGGTTTGAATTTGACATCAGAGAGGAGATAAGTGGGTTCCTACAAAACTTATGTTGCTACCAAACATACGTATTGTGTGCAGGTAAAACACATCTATTTGAAAAAAATATACTTTCCTTATTGTGGCTATGGTTTGGGGAATTTAAAAAGGACAAGTAATACAGGTGGAAGGATAAGATCTGAAAATAAATATTGTTGCCTGGATATTCTAGTTTTGTTAGCTATCACCCAATAGTATTCTTAGGCTCATTCCCATTCCCTTCCTCTATGCCTTGATCCCCTCATTCTTTCGTTCCTCCCTCTCTTCCTTCCTTCTTTTTCATTAGGTCTACATCTTCATTCAGTTATTTGAACTTGGAATGCCTTAATTAAATTTTGAGCTGGGTTCTACTATTGAAGCATCAAGTTGCTCGGTTGCTGTATAAATGATTAAAAGATGACTTGTCCAGAGCAACATGGTTCAGAAGATTGAATCTGAAGAGAATAGCAAATGCTGTGCTTCTCATGTCACTTTCGATCACTGAAGTATGTGCAGTAGATGCTTCATTACTAGCATTCTCTTCTCTTTACCACTGATGAAGTTGAGCAGCATTAGCCAAGCATGACATATTAGCTCTCTTTAAACAAACACATCAATCTTGTGTTTTCACGTTCTCAGTTCATTATTGGAGTGATGGAGTGAAATCACAGCTGCTTTGTGGGGTTAGGATTCAAATGAGATCTAAAATCTGGGTGAATGATGTTTTCTTCCTGAAACTATTTTTGGTGAATATGTACAGATATATAGAGCTAGAGTTTTTATTTAAAGATAAAAATTATTATGCCTATAAACATGATATAAAATAAAATTTCATTAGTTATAAAAACTCTGGACATGGAATTATTATTGTCATTCTCTTCTTCCTTTTCCAAAGTTGTGTTCTTTTCCTAATGTATTTAAATAATAAAAGACACACATCACTTTTGAAAAAGAACAAACTAGAAATTTAGAAAATTCAGAAAGTTTTGAAGAATAAAAATTCCTCATCATTTGATAACATAGAAATAGTCATTGTCACAGTTTTCATTTTTCCTCCTTCTGTATCTCAGTTATGTCATTCTCTCTCTGTCCCCCCCATATATATATGTTTGTGTGTGTGTGTGTGTGTGTGTGTGTGTGTGTGTGTGTGTGTGTCTGTCTATACCTGATTTAGCATTTTCTTATCTTCGGTTTTCATTTGATATCATATTTTTACCATTACTAAAAATTCATAAAACACAATTTAGAAAACAAAAATTATATTACAAAATTCAACATCCTTAAGCATTCACTTAATCCCAATTTCAGCGTTAAAAAAGAATGGTGATAATCATACATAAATATATATTTCTGATTACATCTTTTACACACATACACAAATACACCATTAACTCTCCTATAAGCAGTGTATGTTATATGGCGCATATGCCTGCATTTAAAATTCTCATTAAAATTAGAACAGAAAAGAATAAGAAAAAATACTTTTGCTAATTTGATAAGGCACAATATCAGATTTTATTACACATGTGCTAGTTTGTTTGTTAAACTTTCACTAATCTTCCTTTCAGTTAAATTTACTTCTCTCTTTTGTTATTAGAAGCTGCAATGCCTTAATTAAATTTTGGGCTAGGTTCTACTATTGAAAAATCAAATTTGCAATATATACCCTTACCATGTTGTGTAGTACATACATGCTCACTACACAGAGGATATCATAAAGCTCTAGAAGAACTGTGATAGGAATGCATAAGAGACAAAACCATATTTTGTATTTCATTCTTACGGTCATTATACAAGTCACACAAGAGGCTTGTGTGGGTCAAATATAAAGGCATGTCAAAATTCTTTAATGAGATAGATTCCATTAATTTGGTGCTCCCAGATGTCTAAGTAGTACTTTTTCTGGTAAACTGATTAATTACTCTGAAGACATTTTTAAATATAATTATTGTTATAACAATTTACTGTGAAACTATAAATGGACTCCTAAAGAAATGCTAATTTTGATGGCATCTGTAAAGTGATGTAACCATAACATAAAGTATATATTCAGAAAGTCATGAAAGAAGAATATAAAAGCGGAGATGAAATAATTAAAACAAAGCTTAATCAAGTAAAGTTTGCAGTTATATCTCAGAGATCTCAGAGCCCTGTGAATACATTTAAATAAGATTAGTGAAGCACTGTCTATGGCTTCAGAGGGATATGGGGACTGGGAGAAGTTCCAGAAGATGAGCAATAAACCAAACTGAATAACCAGAAAACGGATTTCACTACTGAAAATCACAGGCTATTGAGCTTGAAGTCAATATGTGAGAAGAGTTTAGAGGATATCGTTCAAAGGATGCTTAGGATAACATAGAAAATGGGTCAGTGATAACTAGTATCCCATATGAATTAGCAAAGAATGAGACATTTTAGACTAACTGCCTCAATAAGTTATACAATTATTAGTTATTTAATTTATATATTATTAGATTAGAACATGGTAAGGAAACAATGTCTCAATGCTAGTCAGGGATTTGTGACTACTTTTTATAAAATGTTTGTAGATAATATGGATAAATAGCAAACAGATGACATAACAATTAGATCACTGTGTATGAGCATGCTCACAACACAGAGGGTATTTTTAAGCAGTATCAGAAATGTGCTAGGAATATCGAGAGGGAAAACCATGTTTTAAATTTTGCCCTCAGAAATATTCAGAAATAAGCTAAGTAAGTGTTAATTTAAAGGAAAATTTATAAGGAGTCTTATAAAAGATGATCATCAATATTAACATTTTTCCAATGTTGTGGACTACAACTTATTATGCAGATAATAAATATTAACTGATTAAAGGAAAAGTAATTGAGATTATGGTCATAAAATATGTACAAATGAAGATAATATTCATTTATTGGTTGAAAAATTATGAACTAGAAGATAATGATAGAATACAGAGATAATTAACCCTAAATTATTATTTTTAAGATTTAATTGTTTCTATTGGTTAAGCAATAAATGTTCGTTACATAGTAGGCCTAGATTGGTTTACTTGGCTTAATTCATTAAACTAATTTTTCTTTCCAAAAACTTACCTTAAACTACTCCTCTGGAAGATTATCTCCCAAAATAAGTCAATCAACTTCTCCACATTACCTTGAGCATCTTATTGGTATAATGGTTTCAGTTTCATTTCATTTGTAAGTTAATTGTGGAGAAATTGACACCATATAATATTTTGCCCAGAGCATGTTATGTTTTTTCATTGATGGAAGTTGTTTTGTGCATAAATAAATGTTTTAGTTCTCTTGATATTGGTATCCGTATTTTACAGTATATTGTTAGGTTAATTATATTTTTCATTGGTATTATGAACAGGTGTTCTTCCACTATGCTTCACAATTTATTTTTACTATAATCTATGCAAATATATTGGGCTTTGGATACTATCTAATTAGCTTATTATCTAATTAGTACAAATACCCTGTAAGTTGATTGTCTTAGATTTTTTAATGGCATAATTCTATATTAAGATGAAATTTAACAATGTTCTACAATAAAATCTAATATAGCAGTTGAAAGAGCTATAGATTGTGTTACAGCAATTATGAAAAAGATTTTATTGCTTTAGTAACTATTTTTTATTGAGTAGTATTATTAATTATTGAGTAATATTAATTTTTATTTATGAGTAAATTATTAAGTGGCTGGCACCATTCTAAGGACTGGAGATACAGCAGTGAATAAACAGACAAAAATTTACACCCTCATGGAGCTTATATTTTAGTGACAGTAGACAATCTAATTCCATATTCAGTGGGGAAAAAAGTCACTGAGCAGATGAGGGATGTGATCTGCCTTTGTTTTGTGAAAGTCCACTTTGACACTTTATCACCATATAGAGAATAGACTGTGATAGGCAAAATTTGAAACAAAGAGACCAGTTAGGAGCTGGTTGTAATGGTCTATGTGACAGATGACTGTGGCTTGAACCAAGATGAGATCTTCAATGCCTCACCATTAAAGCATAGAAACAAATTGCTGTGGATTCTAGAATTATCTGAAGGAAAAACTAATAACATTTATTGATTAGGTAGATATGTATGTCAACACATTTCCTGAAGAGGTTCATATAAATTTGAGAGTCTGATATATGAAAATAAAAAGTGACCACTCTTAGACTGCATTTTAAGACCATCTTCAGTGTGAAGGCAAAAACATCTGTAATATTGCATTTATTTTTGAATATCATAATTTTAAAAGATGGTAGACTAATTGCTCAGAGGAGTGTCTTCATAATAGTGAAAGGCATTGGAATCATATCATATCATATGACACACACTTTTAGGAGCAATTGATGTTTAATCTAATGACTGTAAGAGTCAGTTGAGAGGTAACAGCTTTTCAAGTACATTGTGTCATGCAGAAGAAAGATTGAGCTTTTTAGAAATGGTCCTCAAGGGACAAAAATATTATCTGATGAGTAGAAGTCAGAGGCACACAGACTTTTACTTATTATATATCTAAATTGTTAATGTCAAGCCTGGTCTAAATGTAACCTGTGTCCTGGGACACAGAATTCTTCTTTATTCATGCTATTCAAGTCCAGCATAGAGGACTGTTATTTGGCTGCCTCTCAAGGTTCACACAGAGTTCTAACAATGATCAGGAGAAACATCGGACTAAAACACTACTTATTGACTTCAAGTATTCTATTTGCTTTGCTTTGCCTAGTGTTCCTGTTTGAAACAATATGAGGCTCCAGACTCCAAGCTTCTCTCCCTTGAATTTTTTTTTTTTTTTGATGCTGTTGTTGTTAATAAGCCCTCCTTTGGGGATATAGTAAAGCTAAGACCTATCAACTATTTACATTTGAAGAAGCGATATATCTCCTAACAGAAACTATCCCTAACGGATAAAGATTTCAGTATGTTTAAGGAGAAAAGAAAGCTTAACTATGGGAATGTGTTACTACTGGGGAGAATAGGAACTATGTTTTGTTGAGAACTGGATTCATGAGGCTTGAGGGAGAAAGAGAAGAAGTGAAATGTGAGAAAATGGGGAAGAAATGAGGGAAGTGGGAATTCTGTCTATTTATATGGTGGCTTGATTTATTGTTGGGGCGAAGATTACAGGATCTAATTTAATCTAATCACATTTTGTCCTGGAAGACATAGTGAGCCATCAACTATTACAGAGGCTCTCAGGAAGGACTAAACTATTTCTTAGGGTTACTATGTTGGAAGCACAAAGTCAGAGCAGTGCTTACATGTGATAAGTCGTATCTTCTTATAAAAATATACTGCTTGTTTCCGAGAAACGTTAATTCTCTCCTCCATTTACTTGTTTCTTAAGAAACTTATTGAAAAATTAGCCATTTTTTTCTTGTACTGGAATTTGAAAAGCCTCTCTTCCCTCTTTCATAGAAGTCTGAGGCACTCAAATGTACAAGGCATACACAGGACAAGGACTACAGGAAATGAACAAGGACTACGTGGGAAGGAACTCTTTTTTGTAGGGACATTGGGCTGGCAGATATAAAGCAAAATGTTTAAATAAAAAATAGGGCACTTAAATAAGAAAGACAACATTTATAAATACTACATCTTACTTTCTAAGTCTGTTTTGTAAAATATAAACAAATATTTGTTTGCAATAATGTTACAAAACTCCATTGTTCTGACCTTTCATGCTGTGTTCTTTTGAAATTCACAGCATCCTTATGTTCATAATAGAGGCTTGATCTGTGGAAGACAAGGGAATGTCTTCCTAATTTTCAGCATTTTTGTGTGGGGTTGCTCCATTTTTCTCTGTTGCAGTTTATTTTATGTTTAATTGGCATTTTTACTGGTATAATTGTATATTAAATTAATTGTAAGGAATAATGTAGAGAGACTCTGACTCTGCACTTGGTTTACCCCAATGTTACCTTTTTTTTTTTTTTTTTTTTTTTTTTTTTTGAGATGGAGTCTCGCTCTGTCACCCAGGCTGGAGTGCAGTAGTGCAATCTGGACACTGCAACCACTGCCTCCTGTGTTCAAGTGATCCTCCCATCTAAGCTTCCCAAGTAGCTGGGATTACAAGCATGCACCACTACACCCAGATAATTTTTGTATTTTTAGTAGAGACGGGGTTTCACCACTTTGGCTAGGTTGTTCTCGAACTCCTGACCTCAAGTGATCCACCTGCCTCAGCCTCCCAAAGTGCTGAGATTATGGGTGTGAGCCACCTCACCTGCCCACAATGTTGTCATTTTGTAAAATTGTAGTGCCATATCAAAACCAGGATATTAACATTGACACATCCACCCATGCAATTCACATTTCCTCAGCTTTCCTTGTATTTGTGTGTGTGTATTAATTCTACACAAATGTATCTTATGTCTAGGTTTGTGCATCCACTGCCACAGTCAAGAAACTAAACAGTTTCAGCACCACCAGGATCCTTCCTGCTGCCTTCTTAACAACCACATCCACCTCCCTCCATCCTACCCCATCACTGACTAAACATTGACAACTACTAATACGTTCTCCCTTTCTAATACTTTGTCATTTCAATATGGTATGTAAATGGGATTATATAATATAATCTTTACAGATTTGCTTTTTTTTCACTCAATCCCTGGAGATTCATTGAAGTTTCTGCATGCTACATGTATGAATAGTTTGCTCTTTTTTATTGCTGTACAGTATTCTGTGGTATGGATGTACAAGAGTTTTTAGTTTAACTATTTGTCTGTTGAAGAACTTCTAGTCTGTTTACAGTTTTGTGCTGTTACAAATAAATCTGCTATATATATTCATTTATAGGTTTTTGTGTACACATAAATTTCTATTTCTCAGTGATAAGTGAATGTAATATTTAGGTCATGTGGTAATCACATATTTAATTAAGAAATTACCATATTATTTTTTAGAATGGTTATACCATTTGCATTACCGACAACAATGTAGGAGTGACTCAGTTTCTCTGCATCTTCAATAAAATTTGGTGTTGTCACTATTTTTTATTTGCTTCATTCTGATTAGTTTGTACTATTAATAATTGCCCATTGTGGTTTTAATTTGCATTTCTCTGATGGCTAATTATAATAATAACATTTTCATAGGCTTATTTCCCATCTATATATTCTCTTCAGTAAAATGTATGTTCATGTCTTTTGTCTATTTTCCTATGGATTTTTTTTAACTATTGAATCTTGAGAGTTCTTTATATAATCTAGATACTAGTCACTTGTCAGCTATATGACTGAAATTTACTTTCCAATTTGTAGTTTGTGTTTTCACGTTGTAATAATCATAATCTTTTGCAGAGCAAAATAATTTTGATCAGATTCAATTTGTTAAGTTTTTATTTTATGAATCATGCTTTTTGCTTTTTGTGTTGTGTAAAAATTTTGATGAAAAATTCTGAAGATTTTCTTTTTTTCTAAAAGTTTTATGGTTGTAATTTTTACATTTCAGATCATGATCCGTTTTGAGTTTTTGTAAAGTTGTGAGGTTTAAGTCAAAGGTCAAAGTCCTTTTTTTTTTTTTTTTTTTTTTTGCCCTCCATAGACTCACACAGGGGTGTTTCAGCACCATTATTGAAAAGACAATCTTTTCTTCATTGAAATGATTTTTACTTTTGTAAAAATATCAGTTGAGAATATATTTCTGGGTTTTCAATTATGTTATACAAACTTATGTTTGTTCTTCTTCCAGAAGCACAGTATCTTTATTATTATAGCTACAGAGGAGGCCTTAATTATTAAGGAAAGTAATTGTGTATTTTATTCTTATTTCAAGAATATTAGAGTTATTCTAATATCTTTAATTTTCCATAGAAATTTTATATTTTTCTATGTCTACAGGAACTTCTGTAGGGAGTTTTGTAAGCTTTCATTAAATCAATAAATTCATTTGAGGAGAATCTTTCTTATTGAGTTTCCCAATTCATGAATCTTAGATATTACGAATGTTAGAAAACATGAATCAAAGAAATTTAAATGGAGAGATAACAGATTGGTTATATAACAGGTTTGTTATATCTCTTATTTATGTTTTATTTGATGCAATTCATTAGCATTTTGCGATTTTTTTATACATAGCCTGTACCTAATTCATGAAACGTATACCTATGTTTTTTATTGTGTTTGGAGTAATTGTAAATGGTATTCTGTTTTAAATTGCTGTTTTTCCCATGCTCATTATGAGTATACAGAAATGCATTTGAACTTTGCACATTAATTTTTATATTCTGAAGGCCAGGCATGGTAGCTCACACCTGTAATCCCAGCACTTTGGGAGGCTGAGGGGAGCAGATCACCTGAAGTCAGGAGTTTGAGACCAGCCTGGCTAACATGGTGAAACACTGTCTCTACTAAGAATACAAAAATTAGCTGGGCGTGGTGGCACGTGCCTGTATCCCAGCTACTCAGGAGGCTGAGGCAGGAGAATCGCATGAACCTGGCAGGCTGAAGTTGCAGTGAGCTGATACCACGCCATTGCATTCTAGCCTGCGGGACAAGAGTGAAACTCTGTCTCAAATTAATCATAATAATAATAATTTTATATTCTGTGATCTTGTTCTAGAAGTATTTTCGTAGGTTCCTTGTGGTTTTCTCCATAAACAATCATGGCATCTGTAACAGTATAGTTTTATTCCATTCTTTTGAATTGTTATGCCTTTTATTTCTTTTTTGGCTCTATTTCAGTGACTACGACTTGAGTATTATATTAAAAAAGAGTGTTGAGAGTTGACATCTTTGCCTTGTTCCCAATTTTATTTATTTATTTATTTTTTGAGACGGAGTTTTTCTCTGTCGCCCAGGCTGGAGTGCAGTGACGCGATCTCGGCTCACTGCAAGCTCCGCCCCCCTGGTTCACGCCATTCTCCTGCCTCAGCCTCCCGAGTAGCTGGGACTACAGGCGCCGGCCACCATGCCAGGCTAAGTTTTTGTATTTTTAGTAGAGACGGGGTTTCACCGTGGTAGCCAGAATGGTCTTGATCTCCTGACCTCGTGATCTGCCCGCCTCGGCCTCCCAAAGTGCTGAGATTACAGGAGTGAACCACTGCGCCCGGCCTCCACTTTCACTATTAAGTATGTTTTAATGGTAGGTTTTTAATGTTTTTGTCAGGTTGAGGATTTATCATGAATGTTATATTGGTTGAGAATATTGTACAATATTCTCCACCCTTGCATAAATATTCAATTATCTGATTTTAGCTCCTGAGATTGGGGTCCTATTGGTGGTGAGTGGAGCACCCTTCTTCCTGTCCTGACTACGAAGCTCTGGGAATGTTAGTGTCACTGACTTTTCACTTAAGGTTCATGCCTAGGAATGAAAAGGAAGCTTTGAAAATAGTGAGAGGTTTTGGGACTGTTTTTATGCACCTTTTGGAAAAAATTACTATTTACCAGGAACTTGTCAAATATTTATTTTCATTGCAGTATGCCTCTTCATTTTTGGATAGGAAATAAAACCCTCTCCTATTTCTACCCACTGAAGACTACCCAAATTTGTCAAAAAGAGCTTTGGCTGAAGAGTGACATAGCTTAGGTCAGTTAACATATGACTTTGTAGAGCTGGATCTGTGAATTCCTTGGCTTATGATGCGCCACTGATTTCAATTCTTGTGAAAAGCCAGAGAAAGGGGTCACATCCAAACACAGAAGCAACTGAGAACCAATCGCCGAGCAACATCTATCTATGAGTAAACTGGCAATAACATTTGAAAAGAAGGAAGGTTGTTTGCCACAATAAGGAAGTGCATTTGCAATTCCCCTAGAGCCCTGGTAAGAGGGTTGAACTAGCACTGAAAAGGACTTACATTCTGGATAAGTTTGTGTCTAAATGCGATCTGCAGCAAGTAAATATATATGTAGTCACAGGAAAGACTGAGAGGAAGGAGTATGGGGGACACACAGGTTGAGTGACAGAATGATGCACATTTCCTAATTACAAGTCATGTCCTCGTCCTTCTCCTTCTAGTCTGCCTCCTACTCTCTTGCTCTCAAAAGGGATGTATGGAATCGTAGTGTTTTACTAAGCAAAAGACATTGTGCTTCAGATTAGATCTGTACCTACTTTTGGGTAAACTATCTTAATATCTAGCCTAAGACATTTCTATTTTAAAATAAACTCAACGCTTTTGGTGGAAAACTTTAGTTATTTCACAGGTTTAATGTCTATTCATAAGAAAACTGAAAATAATTGGTTTCATCATTCATCCAACAAATACGTATTAAGTACTTATTATGAGTAAGATTTATGACTGAACAAAATTGAGCTATTAACCAACTTTGTCAATAATGTCTTTAAAAGAAAAACCTCAATTTTGAATGGTGTCTCTTTAAGAAAAAAATTATTGCTAATGAGTGTATTTAAAAAAACAACTTTCTGGTTGAGCATTTTGGAAGTTTGACTAGCTTTTTTCTTTGAGTAAACTTTTTCTATTTACATCACTGTGAATAACTATATGATCTCAGCTTATCCTTGAATTTATCTAGTGTCTTTAAATCCACTGGGATGAACTTGACCAGTGACCATGGTTAAAAAAGAAGTGTGATGCCAATGTCTTAGAATAGAATCATTTACTTAACAACTTCCTTCCACTAATCTATTTCTGTCTGGTCCGTGGCCACATATAGTTCTTGATTTCTTTCTTTAAACTCTTCTTCATCTTGAGTTTTGGAAGAAATGCAGTATATTTATATCTTTCTCAGATTGTCAGCATTATTTTCAACATTTCACTTGATAAAATATTTAGTTTGTGAGTTTTGTGTTTATGTATTTATTTTAACCAATTTTTATATGCTTTTGTAGCCTAAAGATTACAAGGCTCATCAACCAAGAAATACAAATAAGGTCATGTTAATGTTAATATGGAAATTCCGCTGAGCTGTTTTCTCCCACCTGTACAACTTCAGGATTTCAGCCCACTGGAAACTCTCTCTAGGTATTGCTGAGACTCCTCAGAGGGTGTTTCACATTTGTTCAGTACTGATGTTACACATCTAGCTATTGTTGCTTTCCTCCATGTCTCCACTGTTGATTATAACATCAACTTATCTTTAATCACATCTGCTGTATTTGCCATGATTGTGGCATCTCAGTGCAGCCTAAAACAAGCCAGAATGTAAAAGGCATTACTTTTCTTTATATCATTAAAATCACCTTCATGAAGAAAACAGATTCAAAAGGCTAAGTTCTGTATAATTCACATTATATGACATTCTAGAAAAGGCAAAATATAGGGACAAAAACCAGATAAATATTGACCAGGGGCTTGAGGTGAGAAGAGAGTTATGTAAAAAGGGATCACAAAGGACATTTTTAGAGTTACGGAACTGTATTTTTATTGTGGTTGTGCAATTTATGCATTTGCCAAAACTCATAGAACTGTATAAGGGATCTATGCAACTGTATGTAAATTATTTCATTAAAATAGCGTTTATGAAGATGTTTCCTTTAACCTCTACCCACCTCTATAGTAGAGTACAAATAACCACTGTAGCTGAATTGGATATTGAGGGAAAGGCACACATTGTCATCTCTTCCTCATCTTTTTGGCTTCACATGTGTATATTCTTCCTATTGCTTAAGCCAAAACAGACTACTTTATGTAAATTTCTTCATAAAGTAGACTCTTAGGCCTAATGACTTCAATTCTGTATATACATTAAAAACAAATAGTTACATTTTCTTAAATTCAACTAAAAATAACCCTATATTCATTGAAAAGTTGTTCTCTAACAATGTTTAACTTTTGATCAGTGGATTGTATAATAAAAAACACATTTGACTGACTCAATGTATGATTCATTGTAGCAATGATTTTTGCACCGACCATAGTCCAAAACTAAACAAATGCCTATATTCCACAAAATGTATCTGCTATCTTTTTAGAATTAATTTATTTTTATTTTTAATTTTTGTGGATACACAGTAGGCATATATATTTATGGGTTATATATTACACTTTTAAATAGGCATGCAATGCATAATAATCAAATCAGAGAAATGGGGTACCCATCATCTGAAGCATTTATCCTTTGCGTTATATAAACAATTCAATGAACTTTTAGTCATTTTAGAATGTACAATTAAATTATTTTTGACTATAGTCACCCTGTTGTGCTAACAAATACTAGGCCTTATTAATTCTTTCTCTTTTTTGTACCCATTAACCATCCCCACTTCCACCCTCCAACCAACTACCCTTCCCAGACTCTGGTAACCATCCTTTTACTCTCTGTCTCTATGAATTCAATTGTTTTAATTTGAACCTCCCACAAATAAGGGAGAATATGTGAAATTTGTCTTTCTGTACCTGTCTTATTTCACTTTTTAACATAATGACCCCCAGTTTTATTCATGTTGTTACAAATGACAGGATCTCATTCTTTTTTATGGCTGAATAGTACTCCATTGTGTATAAGTGTCACATTTTCTTTATTCATTTATCTGTTGATGGACACAAGTTCCCTCCAAATCATTGGTGTTGAGAAAAATATTATGATAAACATGGGAGTATGGATATCTCTTTGAAATACTGATTAGAATATACTTTATGGTAAATAACTATGAGTTGGATTGCCGGATCATATAGTAACTCTTATTTTTAGTTTTTTGAGGAACCTCCGAACTATTCTTCATAGTGATTGTACTAATTTACATTCCCACCAACAGTGTATGGGGGTTTTCTTTTCTCCGCATCCTTGCCAGCATCTGTTATTGCCTGTCTTTTGGATAAGAGCCATTTTAACTAGGGTAATCTAATAACTTATTGTAGTTTTGACCTGTGTTTCTCTGATGATCAATAACGTATAGCAAACTTTCATATACCTTTTTGCCATTTGTATGCCTTCTTTTTAGAAATGTCTATTCAGATCTTTTGGCCCTTGTTAAATTGGATTATTGGATTTTTTTTTTCTATAGAGTTGTTTGAGCTCTTTATATATTCTGGTTATTAATCCCTTGACAGATTGGTATTTTGCAAATATTTTAATCCATTCTGTGGGTTTTCTTTTCACTTTGTTGATTGTTTCCTTTGTTGTGCAGGATTTTTTTATTTGTATTTATTTTTAACTTGATGTGATCCCATTTGTCCATTTTCATTGCCTGTGCATGTAGGGTATTACTCAAGATATCTTTGCCCACTCCAATATCCTCAAGAGTTTCCTCGATGTTTTCTTTTAGTAGTTTCATAGTTTCTGGTCTTAGATTTAAGTCTTTAATCAGTTTTGAATTGATTTTTGTATATGGCAAGAGATAGAGGTTTAGTTTCATTCTTCTGCATATGGATATCAAATTTTACCAGCACCATTTATTGAAGAGACTGTCTCCAAGGTATGTTCTTGGCACCTTTGTAAAAAATGAGTTCACTGTAGTTGTATAAGTTTATTTCTGCATTTTCTATTTTATTCCACTGGTCTATGTGTCTGTGTTTAAGCCAGTGCCATGCCATTTTTGCTTCTACAGCTCTGTATTATAATTTGAAGTCAGGTTATGTGATTCCTCCAGTTTTGCTCTTTTTGCTTAGGATAGCGTTGGCTATTCTGGGACTTTTGTGTAATGACTTCTATCTAGAAGATCTGCCCAATGCTGAAAGTGGGATCCTGAAGTCTCCAGCTATTATTGTATTGGGGTCTATCTCTTTCATTAGTTCTAACAGTATTTTCTTTATATCTCTGGGTGTTCCAGTATTGGGTTATTACATATTTACAATTGTTAATCCTCTTGCTGAATTGACTCCTTTATCATTACATAATGACCTTTTTTGTGTCTTTTTACTGTTTTTGTCTTGACATCGATTTTATTTGATGTAAGTATAGCTACTGCTGCTCTTTTTTGTTTCAATTGGCAAGAAATATCTTTTTTTCCACTCCTTCATTTTTAGTCTATGTGTGTCTTTATAGGTGAAATGTGTTTTCTGCAGGCAACAGATTATTGGGTCTTGTTTTTTTTTTTTTCTTTTCTTTTTTTTTTTTTTTTTTTTTTTTTTTAGATGGAGTCTCACTCTGTTGCCAGGCTGGAGTGCTGGAGTGCAGTGGCACGATCTCAGCTCACTGCAACCTCTGCCTCCTGGGTTCAAGCAATTCTCCTGCCTCAGCCTCCCAAGCAGCTTGGACTACAGGCATGCACCACCACGCCCAGCTAACCTTTGTATTTTTAGTAGAGACGGGGTTTCACCATGTTGGCCAGGATGGTCTTGATCTCTTGACTTTGTGATCCACCCGCCTCGGCCTCCCAAAGTGCTGGGATTGCAGGCCTGAGCCACTGCGCCCAGCTGGGTCTTGTGTTTTTAATCCATTCAGCCACTCTATGTCTTTTGATTGGAGAGGTTAGTCCATTTCCATTCAATGTTATTATTGATAAGTAAGAACTTACTCCTGCCATTTTGTTATTTTTGTGTGTGGTTGTTTTGCGGTTTTCTCTTCCTTCGTGTCTGTTTTCCTTTTGGAGAACGTAATTTTCTCTGGTGGTATGATTTAGTTTCTTTTTATTTTTTGTCTATCCATTGTATTTTTTTTTTTAATTTGAGATTACCATGAAGCTTGAAAATACTATCTTATAGGCCATTATTTTAAGCTGATAACAACTTAACACTGCTTACATAAACAACCAACCAGAAGGAGAGCTAATAAAAACTCTATACTTTACCCCTCCACTTTTTAATGTTTTGTTATTTCTATTTACATCTTATTGTACTATGTCTTGAACAGTTTTTGTAGTTTTTATTGGTGCATGTTTTAGTCTTTCTACTTAAAATAATATAGTTTACACACCACAGTTACAGTGTTATGATATTCTGTGTTTTTCTGTGTACTTATTATTGCGAGTTTTGTACCTTCAGATGATGTCTTATTACTTACTAACACTCTTTTCTTTCAGACTGAAGAACTCCCTTTAGCACTTTTTGTAGGATAAATCTGGTATTGATTAAATCCCTCAGATTTTTTTTATGTCTTCTTCATGTTTGAAGAATATTTTCACCTGGTATACTATTCTAAGGTAAAGTTTTTTCCTTCAGCACTTTAAATATGTCATGCCACTCTCTCCTAACCTGTAAGAGTTCCACTGAAAAGTCTGTTGCCACGTATTGGAGATATTGAATGCAGTTTGTTTATTTTATCTTGCTGCTTTTAGGATCCTTTCTTTTATATTTGACATTTGGGAGTTTGATTATTAAATGCCTTGCAGTAGTCTTCTTATGGTTAACTCTGCTTGGTATACTATAAGCTCTTTGTACTTGGATATTAATATCTTTCTCTAGGTTTAGGAAGCTCTCTGATATTATCTTTTTGAATATACTTTCTACCGCCATCTCTTTCTCTACTTCCTCTTTAAGGCCAGTGATTCTTAGATTTGCCATTTTGAGGCTATTTTCTAGATATTATAGGCATGCATCTTTCATTTGTGTTCTTTTTTTCTTTTGTCTCTTCTGATGGTGTATTTTCAGGTAGCCTGTCTTCAAGCTCACTAATTCTTTCTTCTAACTGATCAATTCTGCTATTGAGGGACTGAAACATTCTTCGGTATATCAACTGCATTTTTCAACTCCAAGATTTCTGCTTGATTATTTTTAATTATTTCAATATCTTTTCAAATTTATCTTATAGAATTCTGAATTATTGCTCTGTGTTATGAATTACTTTGCATTTCTTCAAAACAGCTATTTTGAATTTACTCTCTGAAAGGTCATATATCTCTGTTTCTCTGGGATTGGTCCCTGGTGCCTTACTTAGTTCATCTGGTGAGATCATGTTTTCCTGCATGATCTTGTTCCTTATGATGTTCACCAGTTTCCGGCACTGAAGAGTTAGGTATTAATTGGAGTCCTGGCAGTCTGGGGTTGTTTGTACCCATCATTCTTGAGAAGGCTTTCTAGGTATTCAAAAGGACTTGGGTGTTGTGATCTAAGCTGCATCTTCATTAGGGGACACCCCGAACCGAGTGGTTCTTGCAGACTTGTAGATGTACCACCGTGAGGGTCTTGGGTAAGATCTGGACAAATTGTCTGGATTACCCGGGAGAGACTTTTATTCTCTGCCCTTACTTCCTCCCAAAGAAATGGAGTCTCTGTCTCTGTGCTGAGCTGCCTTGGGCTCACAGTGGGGTAACACTAGCACCCCTGTGGCCACCAACACTGGGACTCTGCTGGGTCAGATCCAAAGCCAGCACAGCACTGAATCTTGTCCAAGGCCTTCTGTAACAACTATCTGGCTACTGCCTATGTTTGTTCAAGGCCCAACTGCTCTACAATGAGTAGGTGGAGAAGCCAGTCAGACTTGTTTCCTTCTCTTCAGGGTGGCAATTTCCCCTGGGCCCCAGACCTTTTGAGAGATGCTATCTAGGAGCCAGTAACTGGAGTCAAAAACTTTATAAGTCTACCTGGTATTCTAGTTTACTGTGGCTGATCTGGCCTTCGAACCATGAGACACAGTCCTTCCCATTCTTCCCTTCTTTTACCACAGACAGAAGAGCCTCCAAGCGTGGCTACCACCACCATCACAGGCCCACAGGGAGTACATCTAGGCTACCACTGATATTCACTTAAGGCCTAAAGCCTCTTCAGTCACCTGTGGTAAATGCTGCCAATGCTGAAAGTCACCCTTAAGGGCAGTGGGCTCCCCCTTGGCCCAGGGAAGTTCCAGAAATTCCATCCAAGAGCCAACGCCTGGAATTGGGGGCCTCAAGAGCCTGCTTGCTACTTTACTGCACTGTCATTCAGCTGGTACCTAAGAAAAAGTCCTCTTTAATTTTTCCTTTGCTTTTCTCAAGCAGAGGAGTTTCTCACCAGTCACCATACCTGGGAATGGGCTGGGGTTTCACCTGCAGCCAACATGTCTAGGAGTCTCACCCAAAGCTCACAGTGTACTATCTGGGTATTGCTGCTGGTTATTCAGGGCACAAGGCTCTTCAATCAGCTGGTAATGTATCTTGCTAGGACTGGTTTTTTTCCTTCAAGGCAGAGGGTTCTCTTCCTGCCCACCATGTGTCTGGAAATGTTACCTGGGAGGTAAGGACTGAAATAGGGACCTCACAACTCTGACCAGTGTGCTATGCTACTGTGGCTGAGCTGGTTCCAAGATGCAAGAAAAAGTCCTCCTTACTCTTCCCTCTTCTCCCCACAAGTGGAAGAAAGGGGTTTCTTTTGCAGCCATGAGTTGTGCTACATTTGGGGGATGGGTAGTGCAAGCACCCTCCTTAGCTGCCTCACTTGTCCCCCAAGTCCATTGGCTCTGAGTCCAGCACAACACTAGGACTTGTCTAGGAGTTGCAGTCTTTGTGGCCCAGACTACCTTTCAAGTTCATTTAGGGCCCCAGAGAAATTCAGCCTGCAGTGGCCAGACTTGCTGGAATTCAAGTTCTGTCGACTGGGATGTGTGATTTCCCTCTAGTTAGGAGTGGTTTAAATGGTCTCTCTGTGGGCGTCAGCTGAATTCAGAGGGTTTGCTTTTTGTTGTAACAGGGCAGCACTGAGTGTAATGCAAAGTCTCACAATCACTGTGCTATCCTTTTCCCAAATGCACAGATTTCCCTGTATCACTTGGCTATTGCAGGGGTAGTGTGGAGGAGTGGTGTCCACAATTTATAACTGTTTCTTCTGCCCTCTTCAGTGCCTCTTTCAGTGATATAAAATTAAAACTGGATATTGTGAGTGCTCACCTGATTTTTGGTTCTTATGTAGGTGCTTTTTTTGTGTATAGATAGTTGTTAAATTTGGTGTTGCTGTGGAGGGAAGAACCATCGGAGCCTTCTGTTCTGCCATCTTGTTCCACATCATCCATTTCTGCTATCTTGATTTTATAGTCTCTTCTTTGAACTCCTCTCAAAAGGTTCTGTTTCCACCTTTATGGAGTTATCAACATTAAAATGATCTTTATAGACAACAGAAATGTCTCTTATTTAAACCCACTCACTCTGGTTTACCTTTTTTTTTAGAGTTCTTATCTCTATCCGTAAGAAAACCTGTGAAACAACTAAGATGTCTTTCCCGAGTCTTTTCTCCTTCATCCTACTACCATCACAGGATATGATATTTGATTTCCTATAGAACTTGATCCTCTTTTCTGATTTGCTTTATTATTATTGGCATTATTGGTATTCATTGTATTTATTTGTCTTTCATGTTTTTTTTTTTTTAATTAGTGCCTAGAACTGAACACAGTTCTTCAGGAGATCTGGTGAAGAGATCAGAAATATCACAGATTTCATTTAGATATTATGCTTCTATTCATGTCACCTGAGTCCAGGTTAACTTTTTTGACATGTATGTGGCTTAATTTTCTGTAGATTCTGGTTTTATTTTTCTCTTTTATTCCAGCATCATATCATTCATAAATGTTATCAATATGCATTAAATATCCCCATTTCAATCATGGATAAAATGTTTTTTTAAGGCACAGGACAAAACTAATACCCCTCCAGATTGGTATGGCCCATTAATTCGAAACATTTGAGTATAGTTTTTTATATCAGATATAAATTCATTTAAGTGTGTAATTATTCAACTCATATTTCTTCACCTCATTCATAAGGATATCATGAGAGACTTTTAAGTATCGTACTGAAATCTGGATATTTGATATCTGCTGCATTTTTCTGATTTTCTAGTCTAGTAAACATGTCAGAAAAGACAATGAGTTTATTCTAACAAGGCTTATTCATAGTCAACCCACAGTATTGATTACTCCTTTCTTTTCTAGTTGCTTGCGATACATCATTGTAAGTATCAGCTCTGAATTCTTGCCTGAGATTGATGTGAAACCCTCTGATTTTCAAAATATAAATATTTTTTCCTTTCCAAAAGTCAAAATTACAATTTTTCCAGCTTCAGTCTTATTCAGCATTTTTTGTTTTCAATGAATCCTGAGATTTTTTTCTTCAAAAAAAAATTCCACAAATGAAAAGAATTTTAATAAGGAAATAAAAATATTTTTACTATAGTCCCAGCTACTTGGGAGGCTGAGGCAGGAGAATGGCGTGAACCTGGGAGGCGGAGCTTGCAGTGAGCCAAGATTGTGCCACTGCAGTCCGACCTGGGTGAAAGAGCAAGACTATCTCAGGAAAAAAAAATATACATATATATATATTTTTTTTCCTAGTCTATTAAAGTCTTATTAAATAATTCATAAATATCAATAAGAAGGTGACAAATGCCCGGGGAAAAATGAAAAGAATGTGAATATTTTCTGAATAAAATCAAAATAAATGTTTTTAATTCATATAAAATTATACTCCAACAAGTTATTGTTTCTATATAGTTGCCAAAAATTCATTCAATTCTTTCATTTATCAAAAAAGTTTTAAATTGTATAATTTTATACCAGGTTCTGTTCTAGAGACTGGGGATTTAGTGCATGAAATACAGATATTTTCTTGCCTTCCAGCCATTCAAATTATAATTCAAAACTGAGGGAAGCAAACAAAAACATAGACTTTCTAAATTAGATTATTTATAATAGTGATGTGAACTAACTTGGAGAATTATCTTTAATGTACATTCTTAAATATTTAACATGTGAACATAAATCCTTTTTAGCCTTCTAAGCTGAGTATTCATTAAACATAAAGAATCATTTTCACAAATTATCATGTAGGGAGTTATCACTCAGAAGGGAAAAATAGCATAAATATGAAAGTTAGTTATTGGAAATATAGAGGAAGTAATTCACTAAGCAAAAGAAAATTGAATAATTTTATGCAAAGATTAAGTAAAATAAACCATGTTTTAAAGCACTGTAATATGTAAAACTATTGATTTCTCAATTTATTTTCATTGGTAACATAGTAAAAGAAAAACTGCAAAGAAATTACTTACATTTATCAGAAATATTAATTAGCAGGTTTAAATATTATTAGTTTGAATCCACTAATTCTCATTCTAGGACCCCAAACTAAAAATATAATAAATAAATATAATAAATAAAATAATAAATGCTTTCTGACAGGCATTATTTTTTATAGTAAAAAAATGAACTATTTCCCACCCTAATACTGCGCTTTTCCTATGGGCTTAAAAAACAGCACACCAGGAGATTATAACCCGCACCTGGCTGGGAGGGTCCTATACCCACGGAGTCTCACTGATTGCTAGCACAGCAGTCTGAGATCAAACTGCAAGGCAGCAGC
Organism: Homo sapiens; assembly: GCF_000001405.40. Lineage (NCBI taxonomy): Eukaryota > Metazoa > Chordata > Mammalia > Primates > Hominidae > Homo > Homo sapiens. Next base: position 106,776,719 of record NC_000005.10, on the reverse strand, counting down.
CAGGATGGGGGAGGGGCGCCCGCCATTGCCCAGGCTTGATTAGGTAAACAAAGCAGCTGGGAAGCTCGAACTGGGTGGAGCCCACCACAGCTCAAGGAGGCCTTCCTGCCTCTGTAGGCTCCACCTCTGGGAGCAGGGCACAGACAAACAAAAAGACAGCAGTAACCTCTGCAGACTTAAATGTCCCTGTCTGACAGCTTTGAAGAGAGTAGTGGTTCTCCCAGCACGCAGCTGGAGATCTGAGAACAGGCAGACTGCCTCCTCAAGTGGGTCCCTGACCCCTGAGCAGCCTAACTGGGAGGCACCCCCCAGTAGGGGCAGACTGACACCTCACACAGCCGGGTACTCCTCCGAGACAAAACTTCCAGAGGAACGATCAGGCAGCAGCATTTGCTGTTCACCAATATCCGCTGTTCTACAGCCACCACTGTTCTGCAGCCACTGCTGCTGATACCCAGGCAAACAGGGTCTGGAGTGGACCTCTAGCAAATTCCAACAGACCTGCAGCTGAGGGTCCTGTCTCTTAGAAGGAAAACTAACAAACAGAAAGGACATCCACACCAAAAACCCATTTGTCCGTCACCATCATCCAAGACCAAAAGTAGATAAAACCACAAAGATGGGGAAAAAACAGAACAGAAAAACTGGAAACTCTGAAAACCAGATCGTCTCTCCTCCTCCAAAGGAACACAGCTCCTCACCAGCAATGGAACAAAGCTGGACAGAGAATGATTTTGATGAGTTGAGAGAAGAAGGCTTCAGATGGTCAAACTACTCTGAGCTACAGGAGGAAATTCAAACCAATGGCAAAGAAGTTAAAAACTTTGAAAAAAACTTAAACGAATGGATACCTAGAATAACCGATGCAGAGAAGTCCTTAAAGGAGCCGATGGAGCTGAAAGCCAAGGCTCGAGAACTACGTGAAGAATGCAGAAGCCTCAGGAGCAGATGTGATCAACTGGAAGAAAGGGTATCAGTGATGGAAGACGAAATGAATGAAATGAAGTGAGAAGGGAAGTTTAGAGAAAAAAGAATAAAAAGAAACGAACAAAGCCTGCAAGAAATATGGGACTCTGTGAAAAGACCAAATCTACGTCTGATTGGTGTACCTCAAAGTGAAGGGGAGAATGGAACCAAGTTGGAAAACACTCTGCGGGATATTATCCAGGAGAACTTCCCCAATCTAGCAAGGCAGGCCAACATTCAGATTCAGGAAATACAGAGAACGCCACAAAGATACTCCTCTAGAACAGCAACTCCAAGACACATAATTGTCAGATTCACCAAAGTTGAAATGAAGGAAAAAATGTTAAGGGCAGCCAGAGAGAAAGAACAGGTTACCCACAAAGGGAAGCCCATCAGACTAACAGCGGATCTCTTGGCAGAAACTCTACAAGCCAGAAGACAGTGGGGGCCAATATTCAACATTCTTAAAGAAAAGAATTTTCAACCCAGAATTTCATATCCAGCCAAACTAAGCTTCATAAGTGAAGGAGAAATAAAATCCTTTACAGACAAGCAAATGCTGAGAGATTTTGTCACCACCAGGCCTGCCCTAAAAGAGCTCCTGAAGGAAGCACTAAACATGGAAAGGCACAACTGGTACCAGCTGCTGCAAAAACATGCCAAAATGTAAAGACCATCGAGGCTAGGAAGAAACTGCATCAACTAACAAGCAAAAGAACCAGCTAACATCATAATGACAGGACCAAATTCACACATAACAGTATTAATTTTAAATGTAAATGGGATAAATGCTCCAATTAAAAGACACAGACTGGCAAATTGGATAGAGTCAAGACCCATCACTGTGCTGTATTCAGGAAACCCATCCCATGTGCAGAGACACACATAGGCTCAAAATAAAGGGATGGAGGAAGATCTACCAAGCAAATGGAAAACAAAAAAAGGCAGGGATTGCAATCCTAGTCTCTGATAAAGCAGACTTTAAACCAACAAAGATCAAAAGAGACAAAGAAGGCCATTACATAATGGTAAAGGGATCAATTCAACAAGAAGAGCTAACTATCCTAAATATATATGCACCCAATACAGGAGCACCCAGATTCATAAAGCAAGTCCTGAGTGACCTACAAAGAGACTTAGACTCACACACATTAATAATGGGAGACTTTAACACCCCACTGTCAACATTAGACAGATCAACGAGACAGAAAGTTAACATGGATACCCAGGAATTGAACTCAGCTCTGCACCAAGCGGACCTAATAGGCATCTACAGAACTCTCCACCCCGAATCAACAGAATATACATTTTTTTCAACACCACACCACACCTATTCCAAAATTGACCACATAGTTGGAAGTAAAGCTCTCCTCAGCAAATGTAAAAGAACAGAAATTATACCAAACTGTCTCTCAGACCACAGTGAAATCAAACTAGAACTCAGGATTAAGAAATTCACTCAAAACCACTCAACTACATGGAAACTGAACAACCTGCTCCTGAATGACTACTGGGTACATAACGAAATGAAGGCAGAAATAAAGATGTTCTTTGAAACCAATGAGAACAAAGACACAACATACCAGAATCTCTGGGACACATTCAAAGCAGTATGTAGAGGGAAATTTATAGCACTAAATGCCCACAAGAGAAAGCAGGAAAGATCTAAAATTGACACCCTAACATCACAACTAAAAGAACTAGAAAAGCAAGAGCAAACACATTCAAAAGCTAGCAGAAGGCAAGAAATAACTAAAATCAGAGCAGAACTGAAGGAAATAGAGACACAAAAAACCCTCCAAAAAATTAATGTATCCAGGAGCTGGTTTTTTGAAAAGATCAACAAAACTGATAGACCGCTAGCAAGACTAATAAAGAAGAAAAGAGAGAAGAATCAAATAGATGCAATAAAAAATGATAAAGGGGATATCACCACCGATCTCACAGAAATACAAACTACCATCAGAGAATACTACAAACACCTCTATGCAAATAAACTAGAAAATCTAGAAGAAATGGATAAATTCCTCGACACATACACCCTCCCAAGACTAAACCAGGAAGTAGTTGAATCTCTGAATAGACCAATAACAGGATCTGAAATTGTGGCAATAATCAATAGCTTACCAACCAAAAAAAGTCCAGAACCAGATGGATTCACAGCCAAATTCTACCAGAGGTACAAGGAGGAAGTGTTACCATTCCTTCTGAAACTATTCCAATCAATAGAAAAAGAGGGAATCCTCCCTAACTCATTTTATGAGGCTAGCATCACCCTGATACCAAAGCCTGGCAGAGATACAACCAAAAAAGAGAATTTTAGACCAATATCCTTGATGAACATTGATGCAAAAATCCTCAATAAAATACTGGCAAACCGAATCCAGCAGCACATCAAAAAGCTTATCCAACATGATCAAGTGGGCTTCATCCCTGGGATGCAAGGCTGGTTCAACATATGCAAATCAATAAATGTAATCCAGCATATAAACAGAACCAAAGACAAAAACCACATGATTATCTCAATAGATGCAGAAAAGGCCTTTGACAAAATTCAACAACCCTTCATGCTAAAAACTCTCAATAAATTAGGTATTGATGGGACATATCTCAAAATAATAAGAGCTATCTATGACAAACCCACAGCCAATATCATACTGAATGGGCGAAAACTGGAAGCATTCCCTTTGAAAACTGGCACAAGACAGGGATGCCCTCTCTCACCACTCCTATTCAACATAGTGTTGGAAGTGCTGGCCAGGGCAATTAGGCAGGAGAAGGAAATAAAAGGTATTCAATTAGGAAAAGAGGAAGTCAAATTGTCCCTGTTTGCAGATGACATGATTGTATATCTAGAAAACCCCATCATCTCAGCCCAAAATCTCCTTAAGCTGATAAGCAACTTCAGCAAAGTCTCAGGATACAAAATCAATGTGCAAAAATCGTAAGCATTCTTATACACCAATAACAGACAGAGAGCCAAATCATGAGTGAACACCCATTCACAATCGCTTCAAAAAGAATAAAATAGCTAGGAATCCAACTTACAAGGGATGTGAAGGACATCTTCAAGGAGAACTACAAACCACTACTCAATGAAATAAAAGAGGATACAAACAAGTGGAAGAACATTCCATGCTCATGGGTAGGAAGAATCAATATCGTGAAAATGGCCATGCTGCCCAAGGTAATTTACAGATTCAATGCCATCCCCATCAAGCTACCAATGACTTTCTTCACAGAATTGGAAAAAACTACTTTAAAGTTCATAAGGAACCAAAAAAGAGCCCGCATCGCCAAGTCAATCCTAAGCCAAAAGAACAAAGCTGGAGGCATCACGCTACCTGACTTCAAACTATACTACAAGGCTACAGTAACCAAAACAGCATGGTACTGGTACCAAAACAGAGATATATATCAATGGAACAGAACAGAGCCCTCAGAAATAATGCTGCATATCTACAACTATCTGATCTTTGACAAACCTGAGAAAAACAAGCAATGGGGAAAGGATTCCCTATTTAATAAATGGTGCTGGGAAAACTGGCTAGCCATATGTAGAAAGTTGAAACTGGATCCCTTCCTTACACCTTATACAAAAATTAATTCAAGATGGATTAAAGACTTACATGTCAGACCTAAAACGATAAAAACCCTAGAAGAAAACCTAGGCAATACCATTCAGGACATAGGCATGGGCAAGGACTTCATGTCTAAAACACCAAAAGCAATGGCAACAAAAGCCAAAATTGACAAATGGGATCTCATTAAACTAAAGAGCTTCTGCACAGCAAAAGAAACTACCATCAGAGTGAACAGGCAACCTACAAAATGGGAGAAAATTTTCACAACCTACTCATCTGACAAAGGGCTAATATGCAGAATCTACAATGAACTCAAACAAATTTACAAGAAAAAAACAAACAACCCCATGAAAATGTGGGCAAAGGATATGAACAGACGCTTCTCAAAAGAATACATTTATGCAGCCAAAAGACACATGAAAAAATGCTCATCATCACTGGCCATCAGAGAAATGCAAATCAAAACCACAATGAGATACCATCTCACACCAGTTAGAATGGTGATCATTAAAAAGTCAGGAAACAACAGGTGCTGGAGAGGATGTGGAGAAATAGGAACACTTTTACACTGTTGGTGGGACTGTAAACTAGTTCAACCATTGTGGAAGTCAGTGTGGCGATTCCTCAGGGATCTAGAACTAGAAATACCATTTGACCCAGCCATCCCATTACTGGGTATATACCCAAAGGATTATAAATCATGCTGCTATAAAGACACATGCACATGTATGTTTAATGCGGCACTATTCACAATAGCAAAGACTTGGAAGCAACCCAAATGTCCAAGAATGATAGACTGGATTAAGAAAATGTGGCACATATACACCATGGAATACTATGCAGCCATAAAAAATGATGAATTCATGTCCTTTGTAGGGACACGGATGAAACTGGAAATCATCATTCTCAGCAAACTATCGCAAGGACAAAAAACCGAACACCGCATGTTCTCACTCATAAGTGGGAATTGAACAATGAGAACACATGGACACAGGAAGGGGAACATCACGCACCGGGGCCTGTTGTGGGGTGGGGGGAGGGGGGAGGGATAGCATTAGGAGATATACCTAATGCTAAATGATGAGTTAATGGGTGCAGCACACCAACATGGCCCATGTATACAGAAGTAACAAACCTGCACATTGTGCACATGTACCCTAAAACTTAAAGTATAATAAAAAAAAAACAAAAAACAAATCATAGTCCTAATCCTAAGTAGCAAAAACATGTTGTAAATAATACCTAATGTAAGATTTCAACTTTTTATAAAAAGTCTGGCCAAATGAAAACATATAATACACAAAATATTTATAACAAATAAGATTTACAGGTTGGAGAAAACCATCAGCATAATAAAATAAATGAACAAAGGCATACAGAAACATCTTCAAAATAGAACTTCAAATGAAAACTAAAGAAAACCCTGCTTCCTTTAACTTTCAAGGTGAAAGTAGAGTAAATGTGATAGAACCTTTTTCATTACATTGTGAAAAATTCAAAAGTGCTTGTGGGAAAGTAGAGAGAGGGATCCTCTCATACATTGTTGCAGGGAATGAAAAAATAATCAGGGAGTATTTTGTAATATGTTTTCAATGCACTTACACTTTGATCTAGCCATTTCACTTCTGGGAATAAACACTATGGAAATGAATGTGTCAGCATGTCTGCATTGTTTATTACAGCATTATCTGGTTGGTCATAAATTAGGCAGGATAAAATACATAGGTATATACATATAGACTATAATATTCTGCAGCTATTGAAAGTAATATTAGAGATGTATGTATCAGTATAGTTGGAGCAGTGTAATATAGTTTTACAAAAAAGCAAATTGCATTACATGTATGCTTCTGTGTGTATAATTTTTACTTAAAAATATGAAAAATTAGAAGGGTAATGTATACCAGACTATTAATATTGATTTCATTGGAAGAGGAGAAAGGAGGCAGGGTATAGAAAGATAAAGACAAAGACAAGCAAAACAAATGGAATAAATACCCATAGCGTAATTTCCGTCAGAAATGTAGAAGATAAACTTCTAATGGTAATCATATTTTAAATATGTAAGAATTGAATATGCTTACAGACCATGTAACAGACATAAAATAAACTACCAATATGAGAGTCCAGAAAATTTTGGTTTTTATTTATTAATATTTTAATTTAATTTTGAGACAAATTTACATTTCTATTAAATATGTAGGGAAAAAGAAAGAAGGAAAGAAGAAAGTGGCTGGTTTATTGGAAGTTCCAGTGCTTTTAATTTTCTATGGAATTGATATTGTAAAATATATGTACATATATACACACATACACACACATACATACATATTCTCTAAGCATTTTGTAATTATCATGTTTTATAGTTATAAATACACTAAGTTTGATAAGATGAAAACTTTATGTTAAAAATTGTGAATAATACAGAAATAATTTAGTGATGAGACTTCAGGTTGAATGTTTTCCATTCAATGAATGGAAACGAATACTATGCATTTAAAAATTATCCCAAGAAAGAAAAAAAAGAATGTATTGAGATTACATGTTTAAAATGTGAAAAGAGAAAAATATCCAAGCATGAGATTTAAAAATTATGGGTACCCTCCCTATACAGATTCAGGGGGTCCAAGTGTTACTGCTTCCTCTTCCCCTCCTTCTCTCAGAACCCCCAGATAATCAAATAGGGAAAAATCTGAGTGAGTGCTGGAGATGAAGCAAAATTGTCTACACTTATATGCCCTGAACTTCCTTATCTTCAACTATAAGACTAGAGTGAAGGATGACAAGGATGTTAGCACAGGTTTTTGTCAATTGAGAAATCTCAGTATCTCAGTTATCACTCGACTTGCAATTTATAATTTAGGAAGAAGACCTTTGGATGTGGTCTGTCTAGAGGAGAGATGGAGGATAGATGGTAGATTGAGATCACATAGCATTAAACCTTTGTTGTTGTTTTTTTGTTTTGCATCTAAAAAGCAACATGCTTACAAAAAATTAAATTGAAAGTCCATGTTTGAGCCGAGGTTACCACAAATAGAAAGCTGAGAGTTAGACAGTGCTTCTCCTTCACATTGTGAGTTATGCCAGACTTAGAGAAAGTAACTAACATTGTTGGAAAACAAAGGTAAAACCTGAGATGATTAGGTCAAGTTATAAGCAGCAGAGGCAACTGCACCCAGGCTAAAGTGTTAAGTATGGACAACAGTTAATGCAATTCACAGTAGTGGCCAGGTTGCTTGCAAATTTCAAAAGCCTTAATTTTTAGAAGACCAGCTATTGGTCCACGTTATCCACAGTGGACCTCATTCATAATCACTGCTGGTATAATTCATAGACAGGTCACTTGAGAATCTCCATATCCCATAGAAGATCCTACTACCAAGAATCACTAAGCATTTGTATTAAAACAATTCTAAACACAGCACATTATAAAACCAAGACCAAAGGGATTCGAGTTGATATTGCAAAGAGAAAATAAAAAACTTTACATACAATAAAATTAATACCTCAGAATAATGAGAGAACATTTTTTATGAAATAAAAATATGCTGCTACACAAAAGGTTACACAATAGGCTATTGCACAACACACGAAAAACAAAAACAAAAACTAAAAGATATAGCATATTGATTCAACGTTTCCTAATCCTCCTAAATTATTACCTCCCCAGTTTACTCAGTTGGTCAGCATAAATCCTAGAAATCAGGGCTTCATTCTGCTGTATACTTCAGAATCCACATCCAGTCCATCAAAAAAGAGCTGTTGGCTCTACTTCGAAAACATATCCAGATATAGCATCTCCAGTGCTAGCACAATAAACTAAGACAAAATTACCTGCTTTGATCACTACAAGAGCCTCCTACCATTTTTCTGTTTCCACGCTTGACCACTACAGTATGTTCTCAACGTAGCCGTGACGTGTTTTTCCCAGAGCAAGTCAAATCATAACCCTCCCCAGCTTTTTACAGTCCAATTGCATGCTTCTATTCTTCACTATTATAGTGACCTTACAAGATGGCCATGGTCTACCTCTTTGAATTTGTCCCTAGCCTTCTCTCCAGCAGCCACTGTACACCAGTCACCTCAGTCTTTCTTGCTGTCCCTTGTCTCAAAGGCTTTAAACTATTTCCCTCTGAAGTACTATTCTTCCCCCGAATGTCCATGTGTTTGCCTCCTTCACATCACTGGGATCTTAGCTGAATTATGCACTTCTCAGGAAGGCCAGACTAAGAGAGCTAAACTTGCCATCTCAGTCTTTCATCAGGGAACCTGTATTCAGGGTTCTCTCTCTCTGAAGGGCCTTTTTATTAGCACTCGATAAAATAGCCTTCACTCTCCAATCTTCTCTATTTGCTTTTTATTTATTTGTGTACTATATTTCAGATCATAAAAGTTGTTTTGTGTTAACTTGCTTATTTTGATTTCCAGCACTAAGCTATCTGCACCATGGAACAGAGACTTTGATGTGTTTATTGTTGTATTTTCAACACCAACAATCTTTTTGGTAATTACAGGTGTTCAACAAATATTTGCCTAATTAGTGAATTAACCATTTCTTTGATTTTTTTCTCAAGCACTTATTATTTCCAAGTAAATATTACTCTTACTTATTTTAATGTAAGTTACTATAATATTGACAGAGAGACTGTGAAGACTGTAAACATTTTTTGTTGTTGTTCTTGTGCTTCTGGGCATTAACAGTTCTTTAATCCAAAATCAAAACAATTGGAAAAATAAGCAACTTACTCTGGGGGAGAGATAGATTTCCTTTTGAGTGCTGATACTTTAATGATTAATGAATAAAAGGAAAGAAAGAAAAGTTTCCATTTTCATTGCTTTGTGATCTTGTTGAGCAGTTGTCTTAGTCTGGACAAACACATACTATGTGATACTGTGGCATCGCCATGTCAAGATGATTGTAATTGTCAAACAGGGAGACTCTAAAGGCAATTTCCATGTTTTTTAAAAGGTTTCTAAAAGATTCTAGACCATGCATAAACCCACAAGCTACAATCTGTTATTCATTATATACAGTCTTAAGAGCTGCTCAGAGTTGCGATTGGTTGGCATGCTGGCATTTAATGTTCTGCATGAGCCACAAGGCACAGCTAGAAATGCTGTTTAATGTTTTGAATCACTACTTTTATTACCCAAACTTAAAAAAATGCCTACACAATAAGTGTTTTTGATTTATATTAAAATGCAAAAGGAATCTAATATAAAATAATCATAGCTTCATAATATTGTATTTCTAGACAGTCACTCCCTCGCACTGAAATATTTTATGGTTTATGTAATATACATATGTAACATTTATTATTTTGTGTGAATACTCTCATGCTTTCTAATTATTGATGGGCAGATAATTTATTACTGCCTTCTGGTTGAATTTATTCTGTTTTTCTTCACTTCAGTTGTCTAATCTATCTATCAGGTATCTGTCTACCTATCTACATTTACTATCAAAATTAGGAAGGAGTAGGTGTAGCCATACATTAGAATAATGTAACTAATATTTTAATCACCAAAGTATTCTTTAATTGAATGGCTGAATGTCTTAAATTCATAGATTAGATACCCAAGGAATTCAGCTATTCTGCATTCATTCAAATTAAACTCATTTTATATCAACATTAGCCAGGATCATATCATATTAGTTGTCAGTGACAAACATAGCCTTGAATTATAATATGGCAAAATAAAAACAAGTGTAAGAGTGATAATTCAAAGATGCTGCCATTAGAGATGTGCGGCAAATTTGTATTTCTAGCTTTCAAGCAACAAATGTACGGACAAAAGCATAGTTCCAAAATTTATGGTGTCTGAATTAAGTTTTTCATCCCTTTGTTGAGCTTTAGAGGTCTACTTCATTACTTGTGTTTCCCAAAAGAAGACAATCACTATTTAAAAAGCAAAACAAAACAAGAAAAAATCCTAAGAGAATAGCTAACATATTGCAAAAGGAAGTGTGTGTGTGTGTGTGTGTGTGTGTGTGTGTGTGTGTTTGTGTGAAATGCATGGAAAGCTGTCTTAAAACTTATCAAAATGCTTAGAAGAGAAAGGAAAATATGTGTAGACTCTCATGTTTGTGCAATGTTTTTACTGAATTACTTTGGTTTGCTGAATAGCTTATAAATGCTAAAAAATTCCAGCTCTCCTCTTGGACTAACTGCAATCCTGTATTGTTACGTAGAAAATTTGTCAACTATGCTAACCCAAATTTTACTTAACTTTCAGGGATTGTTAAAATCAATGTATGCCATAAATTGATAGATTCAGAAGAATATCTAGTTGATCTTTCTTTTTTAAAGTGATGTGTGATGGAACAAGCTAAATAAATATATCTTTTTTATCTGGGGGCAGATATTATATAACTCTTCTCAGCAAAATAATTCTTAGTAGCTTGGTAAAAAATTCTCTCTTTGAGCCAACCTAAATCTCAGTACAATTTAAGCTTATTACCACTTGTTTAGGGTTTTACCAGTTTTCTGGGCATATGGAAAAGCTTTTCAGCGTTGCAGGACTTCTGTTGCCTTTATGGTATAGTGCTCCTAAGTTATTATTACTGCATTGCAATTGTAAGTTTAGTGATTAAATATAGTTTTGAAAATGTAAAATTGTTCTAACTTTTTATTTCTCCATGTTAAGATTAAAAACCATCTAGAACATTTTCTAAATTTATATATTTATTTTGGTAAGTTTATATTACAATTTCCATGAAAAATTGGTAGTTTTGTCTATGAGAAATAGGTAAAACAAAAAAAAAGACATTATTTTATAACCTGTTGTAAACTGGGAAAGTTATAATGCTCTTGTGACTACAATTCTGAATGCAAAAAATTGTTTTAACAAAATCACTTTTGTGTCTTTCCAGTTTCAAACACATAATATTTATATATTTATATGCTATATTTTATTGTTGATGGGATAGGAAAGATTTAAACTTGATCCAGCTATTTTGATCCTTTCAGTTTCAGACACATAATATTTTTATATTTGTGTGGCTATTGTAGATAGAATAGAGAAGCTTTAGACTTGATGCAGCTATTGTAAAATAATTGCAGGCAACTTCCAACGCTGTCTTTAGGAGTCTGTCCATCTATTATTAATTTCTGAAAATTATTGGCATGCATCTAGTTAATTGTGGGTGTGCAACAATAACAAAACAACAAAACAAATTAGATCACTTTTCAGTTATTGATCCGTATCTCAGCATTTGGCTATAATAATCTGTGAAAAAAGCTGAATGAAACTGAAATGGTAAATTTCACAGCACCTTGGAGATATGAGTTTTTTTTTTTTTATTATACTTTAAGTTCTAGGGTACTGTACATCTTACAAGAATAGAAAATACTAGTGTCTTGTGGGTTAAAATGCATTAATTCTACATAGAGCGCTCTACAAAAGGAAAGGATATTTGATTTGTATAGCTTTAATGTTTTAACAGATGAGTCTATCCCTATGAGACCACAGACCATTTACCATCACTAGATTGATTTCTTTCAATGCTAAAGGCTTGATGGTACTTTTCAGCACAGTTCATTGCAAGTAGAATGATACTTCAAATACACATTAACTAAAGAGTCTTCAGAGGCCGTATTGAGATGAAACTCTGAGTGTCAAAGGGGGTAGTAGCATTTAATAAGAAACAAAATTCTTGATGAGCTTTATGTATATAAATAAAAGTGCTATAATAATTTGTTTCTTTATAGGCATCAAAATAATCTAATAGCATTGTGGTTAGTTCAGTACTAAATTATTTTAAGAAAAAGTGTTTGTAGTAATTTTAGTGTTTTTGTCAACTTATTAAACGTGTGTTCCATAATTTTTTTCTGAAGTTATTTTGTTTGTAAGATGAATATGTTTGCAAGATGGATCAAATGACAACTAATTTGAGTGAAAGAAACCTGCATTAAGAAGTTGAAATTTAATTTCTATTAAAGGAAATTTTACTTCCTAAACCTTCAGTTAAATTTTAAGTGGCATAGGAAAATCAGAAGAGACAATAATGCAAGATTAAGATGCAAAATGCAACACAATAGTTATCTTTAAATGTGAGAATTTTAGATAATTTAATTTTCTTTTTTAAAGCTTTTTAATATTTTCCACGTTTCGACTTTTGACATCTGAAAAATATTTTTTAAAAAATGATCATTTTAAGGAAGATAACCAGTTAGGGAAGTCATCTACCAGAAGGTCTACCTAAATTAAATGATGACTGGGCTGAAATGTCATAGTCTTCAAGCCATTTTAGGAGAAGGGCTGAAGGCAATGACATTTCTTTTGAACAGAAACAAATGATGCAAAAGAATGTGGGTGTTAAATTAATTTTTATGATAACTATTCTCAAATGTGTTCATAACAATTAGGTAATTTGTGACTCAAAAATTAATTTAAACTTTAATAATAATTATGTTCATTACACTTCGTTATCAAAATTAGATAATTTTCCATGTCACTTTGTCACTTTGGGTTGTAAAGTGAGAAAGAAAAGAAACTTTTATCTGAGAAACGTGAGCCTCTTCTAAATTATCAGGCTCAGAAAGGTATAGAAATGGCACAGCAATCATGTCCCATTTTCCCCTAAGTAATCATATTTTAAAGCTGTTTGCACCAGAAGTAGCTATAAATTCACCTAAAAATGCTGCACACCAGACACCATAACCCATATCAAGTATGGTCAATTACTAACCAGTATTATTTCTGTAAACAAATGAGAATTCTAGACAAACAGCTTTGTATCAACCCACTCCTTGTCTTTTTTCTTTTTTTTTTTCTGCCTTAAAAAGTCTGCTTGTAACAATGGCCAAACAGGAGTTTGACACAATGTTACTCAAGTCTGAGTCTTCCAGGCAGATGTTCTCATTTTGGCTCAAGTAAAGTCTTTAAAATAACATTTTGTGCCTCAGTTTCTTTCTTTAGGTCAATAAATGTGTGAATTGTGTGTGTGTGTGTGTGTGTGTGTGTGAGTGTGTAATTAGTCCCGGACTAGGGTGGAGCTAAACTTCTCACCCTTGAATTTGTTTTCCATTTCCTGGCTACCTTATTCATTAAGAGCTCTTAATATTGATTTTGTCCTCTTCTCAGCTTCTTCAGTGCTTATGGTCTGCCCTGCCCAAGTGAGTAATTTTTGTGTAGAGTCCATGTCCCAGCATATGGTAGTTTTGTCTTTGCAAAGACATAAATTCTTTAAAGTTCTGATATGCTTTTTGCCTCCAGTCTTTCTACCATGGTAGACACTCAGACAATATTTATTGATATATTGACTTGAAAGAATGTTTTAATGTCATGTTGATTTATTATGATAATGTGCATAATGGGCCACTCTTCAGTGCAAAGGTAAAATCTTTTTCAATTTCCCATGAACATTCATTGAGTCACTGTGAGAGTCCTGTAAAAACACTCATCATATTATGGAATTAAACATTTTGATTTTTAAAGTCTGATCTAGTTTATTCTGGCTTAAAATACTGAGTAAGTCTTACCTTATTTTAAATTATCAATAAAATCCATACATGAAAGAAAGCGAAATAAAAACAAACAACTTGAACATAAATTCTTTGGCTAAGAATTAAGAATTTAAGTCCTCCTAAATAAGGAGTTAGCTCTAATTATTAAATCAATAGCATTATTTTATATCAAAAAAACAAGCAAACATACCAATAAACAAATAAACCCAAACTAGATCTCACCTTTATGACCCCTGGGCTTTGCCTATGCACACCCTTCCTATTTTATTCCCTGCTCCAGTGTTTTCCCATTATTTTAAAGACCTAGTTCCTTTCCATAAAAAGTTAGCTGCAAATGCTGCTTTTTGGAGTGACTGGGAAATTGATCTCTTTCAATCAATGGCTTTGTATGTCTCCTGAGAAGTTTGAACTCCTGGAAAGCAGAAGGATAGAAAGGTGAAGGAAGAGCCACTTGGTAGCAATGCATGCCGGGGAGTATAATTTTGCTTTATTGCTCTGCTTTACTGAGTCAGAGACGCTATACTGGGGAGGTAGTTGTAGGACTAGCACCCTGTAAGGACAGCTGAGCTACACCTATTGAATCCATGCTAGGAATGGGACCATGCCTGGGACTGTGAAAATCAGCCTCCCCTTCAGTTTCAAAGTTGAGCAGAGAATATGGTCTCACTTGAATGGTGAGTGAGGAAAGCTAAGGCATTTCCACAATGCCTGTATTCCTATAGAGCAGGGATACACAACTCCTGGGCCGTGGCTCTGGTCTATGGCCCGTAGGAACCGGGCTGCACAGTAGGAGGTGAGTGGCGGGTGAGTGAACAAAGCTTCATCTGTATTTACAGCCTCCCCATCACTTGCATTACCGCCTAAGCTCCACCTCCTATCAAATCTATGGTGGCATTAGATTCTCATAAGAGCACAAACCCAATTGGGAACTGTGTGTGCAAGTGATCTAGGTTGCTCATTCTTTAGGCGAATCTAATGCCTGATACTCTGTCACTGTCTCTCATCACCCCTATCCTGTCTAGTTACAGGATAACCAGCTTGGGGCTCCCATTGATTCTACATTATTGTGAGTTGTATAATTATTTACTTATATATCACAGTGTAATAATAATAATAGAAATAAAGTGCTCAGTAAATGTAATTTGCTTAAATCATTCCAAAACCATCCCCCACCTCTGGTCCACGGAAAAATTGTCTTCCATGAAAGCGGACCCTGGTGTCAAAAAGGTGGGGGACAGCTGCTATAGCATGTATGGAGATCTTGCCTGCTTACAGAGTGAGTAAAATGGGGAAAATAAACTAATTTAGAGCCTATAAAAACACATCACAGATGATTTAGAGGAAATTCACAATTTTCAAATTCATTATATCTGGTCCAGTTTATTAGGTAAGAAAATATATTCTTAACAAAATATAAGAAGAATGTACTTCTAAGGAGAAAAGAAGTAAAAGAGGAACCTAAAGGCAAGGAGAAGATATAAAAGATTTTCAGTGTATCCAAAATTTAATAGAAAAAATTAAAATGTATGCTGGATGAAGGCAATAATGTGATTGTTTCCAATAGACAAAATCTCAAAAAATGTAACACAGAACTTCAAAATTACAGTGAATTTAAAAGAAAAATTGATGTAAATAACTCAAGAATGAAAAAGAAAAATACCATGAACTATAATTTAAAATAATTTCCGAAATACTGGGAGAGAATTATGGAACATGGGTGTGTATGTGTTGGGGAGCAAGGTAGGTGGGGAGTGTGATAAAACTGGCCTACATTATAGGAGTAATCATTAAAGAACTTCTATTTGTTTTTTGTTGAAATGAAATACAGATTCAATCATATTTATTAGTAACTCAACATATTAAGAAAATAGAAATCAATAGAGAATAAAACAAAGAAAATTTAAAAAACGAGAACCTTCAGGGAAGTATCAAATAAATTACAAAGATTTTAGGATAAATCATGTTATGGACCGAATGCTTATGTTCTCCCAAAATTAATATGTTCATGGTTTGGGTTCTTTGGGATGTAATTGGAATCTAAGATCAGCCCATGAAAGAGGAGCACTCTTGAATGAGATCACTGTCTTTGTAAGAGTCAGGAGAGAATTTGTTTCCTTTCTCCACCATGAGAGAACTTCTACAACAAGAAATCGGAAGTCTACAATACAAAAGAAGACCCTCACCAGATCCCGACTGTGTCGGCAAACTGATCTTGGACTTTCAGCTTCCAGAACTGTGAGAAATAAAAATTTTCTGTTGTGGATAATCCAGTGGTTCTACAGTATTTGTAATAGTAGCCTGAAGGGATTAAGACAGGTCAACGCAAAACCAATATATATTCTATTTAGGAGAAATAAACTTAAAACAAAATGACAAAAGAGATGAAATAGAATAGAATCAGTAATTGTGTGCCAGGTATATGTAAACAAAAACCAAAACATGGATGGGTAGTGTAAGCAGATTTTCAGTCATAAGTGGGAAATGAAGCACAGTTATATATTGATAAAAGAGGTAATTATTTTGGGGTAGAATTAATCAAGATAAATGATAATTCTTTTTATTACATAGTGTAGAAGACTAAATTCTAAGATGACATTCCCCCACCAGCCATTACCACTAACCTCATGTAATCTCTTCTTGAGTGTGGCCAGAATCTGTGAATACTATGAGGAATCACGTCCATGATTATGCTAGATTATATGGCAAAAGTAAAGACATTCTTATGGTTCCAAATCAGTTGATTTTAAGATAGGGAGATTATTTTGAGTGACTCTGACCCGATTAGATATGTCCTTAAAAGAACTGATCTCCTTCTGGGGAGAGAGATTCAAGTCTCCAGAGGAGTTTGGAACCAGTGAGATTCTCTATTGCTGACCACATGGTAGAGCATGCAGGAAGCAACTAGGGTTATTAGCAGCTCCTGGCTGACGGCCAGTAAGGAACCAGCTACCTCAGTCCTAAAACTGCAAGGAACTGAGTGCAGTCAACTTAAGTGAGTGTGAAAGTGGATTTTTTTGCAGCTTCCAGAAAGAAGTACAGCTCAGTTAACACCCTGATTTCAGCCTTATAAGACCCTGAGTAGAGCGCCCAGACACATCATGCCTAGAATTCTCACTTACGAGTCTGTGAGCTAATAAATGGGTGGTTTGGAAAAAAAAAAATCATTAAGTTTGTGATAATTTGTTACACAACAGTAGAAAACTGATATACAAGGAATAAAGCATGTTAAATCATTGAATTCAGGGGAACTGTACAAAGTAAGCAAAGTATTGTACAAAAACAAATAAGATAAAGAGAGGAATTCTGAGTGCTAGCACTACAAAATAATGAGCCAAGATCTCAGCTGAAACACCAAAGCTAGAACTTCAAACTAGGAAGAAACTTAACTGGTCAAGAGCTCTCCTGGTTGATTAGTCATGTTATTCTTCTTCAAACGAATGGTACTATAAACAGAAAAGTATCAAACTAGAGTAGCCTATGGTCTGGCATTTTGGGTATAGGTTCTGGAAGTGTTTTGGAGAGATTTTCACTAAAAAACAAAAAAGGATGAGATTATAAGGTGATGGTTTTTGGTATCTTAGGATACACAAATATTTTATATCTCCTATAAATTGGTCATAGAATCTATCAAAGTAAGTATATATTTGTGGTTTCATATTTATTGCCTCTCCTTCTTATGTGGTACCATGTCTCATGAAATGAAATCCTAGAAGCAGCAATGATTAATACTGCATTGAAGTACCTGCTGAAAAATTCTCTTAGGAAAAAATTCAAAGCTACACTCACAGCCACAGACTTTAGAATACATTTTGTTTTTCAATTGTTGATAGACCACACAAAAAGACATATGATGTAGAAGATTAGTTTAGTAAGCAGGTCTTTATTAATAAATAATCCATAAAAAGAATAATCTACAAGCCTATAGCAAAGACAAGAAATCATCTTAGAATATTAAAGGATATTTAGAAATATCAAAGCCACTCTGGACCATTAAGAACACCTCAAACAATTTCAGCTATAAGGACTTTTATAGAATGTTTCCTATCATCAGCTCACAGAAATGAGGGGTAAACCCCACAACCATCTGAAGCTCAAAAAACTTGCCTATGGATAAGGAAAATTATTAAAAAAGAATATTATAACTTATTTAGAATTTAATTTTACCTAATTGCTGTAACTTAAAATTTTATGAAATGTGACAAGACAATATTTGGATTAAAATAAATATATTTAATTTTATTTTATCATGTATATTATCATTATTTATGAAAATAAACTTAAAATAAGCATGAAAAAAGTTAGAAAAATAACTACAAATATGCCTAAGAAAATAGAAAAAATACTAAAAGTTTAAACATTATAAATGTTAAAAAAGGAGAAATAGAAGATAAGATGGGTATAACTGACAAACCTATTTTCTTTCAACATTCAAAAATTGAAAACCCATGATAAATCAATAAATTAAAAAAAACACATGGAAATACAGAAATGAGCATAATTTAAAACAAGATGCAAACTCTTAACATTGTGAGAATACACTAATCTCATATTTCTATGATAATTATCCTGATAAATATTTTATGTTAGTAGATGAGTATTATATAAAAATTATTTATGCTCATTTGATGAAATGGGCAAACTGTCAGGACTCTTAATTGCAAGTAACAAACAACTGTGCAAAATAGTTTAGTTTCAACAACGTGGAATATATTTTTTCACATAATTTATATGTTCAGGGACAGGACTAACTGAAGGCTCCCTTGCTGCAGGGTTTTTATTTCACCGGGTTCTCTCCCTGGAGGTCTTGGTTTCACTTCTTCTAGGCTAGCTGCTTTCATTGAAAGAGTTTTTCCTTGTAGCTTTGCTATAGCGGTATATATAGTTTCATATTCACTCATCTAGGTAATAGTTTCCCTATATTTCACATTTAACAATTATAATGTAGACATTTGACAATGTATATTTAATAATGGTTGTAAAATCAATAGAATTACTGGTAAACCAGAAAAAAATATTGTTTCTTTGCTATAAAATATACTGCAAATAATCAGTTAAAAAAGCTTAAATATATGAGATTTATCAGCTTGAAGTGTCTAGACCTCCTATGAATCATCATATATATGCACAATGAATTATACATGTGAAGGAATAATAACTTGACAGAACCTATGATTGTAATATGTTAAATTGTGCTTAACTTTCCTTTAAGTATGTTTTTAAGTTTTTCAGGTAAAATTTTCTATAGTTCCAATTTATGTGTTATAAAAGGTTATTATTTTCATGTATCTTTTATAAATTTATAATTATTAAGATATGAATTTGCTTAGCTTATTTTAAAGCAACTATTTATCTTTCATTTCTAGTATAGAAAAAGAGTTGGTGTGTTGTAAATGAAAAAAAATTGCAAAATACCAACTCTTTCTTCCCTAAGTTTTGCATGCCATTCCATTTAGTAATTTTTATGTTTTAGATTTCTCTTAGAAAATGATATCTGAAATAAACATAGTACTTAGGGGAAATGCAGAGAATATCTTTGCTGTAAGATTTTATGAAAGTGTAATAACATTTTTGCTTCAGAATGTGATTGTCTATATTATCACACATGTAATACTTTCAATTTAATAAATTACATTGAGACAAATTAAAATTCTTCATGCTGTGCTAAAGATGCCCAAACATCAGAGTTACCTAAATAGTAAGTTAATATATTCATTCGTGGACTTCATTTCTAGAAATTTAGATTACATAGGTCTGGGGTAAGGTTTGGGTTTTTTAAAAGTTACCAAAAAATCCTCCGAGGCTGCTCGAGGGCCAGTTTGGAGTTTGAGGGACAGATGCAGAGCAGACAACAGAAGGGCATTCTTTCATCTTTCCCCTCCTGCACTTGAAACAGAACATCCTTGCTTTCATATCATTTGTGTATTAGGAATACACATAAAGTTTCATCTGATGAAAGAGATGCGTGAGTAAAAAATGTTTGAATTTTACTACATTATTTCATCATAGAAAGAGAAAAATAAGATTATTTCTATAGAGAAGCCTGAAATATGATCATACTTGCTCAAAAATGAAGGCTGCAGCTAAATGATAGATAAGTGCATAGTTTATTATATGCATTTCTAGAACACCAGTAGTATTGTGAACAAAAATTTTGACCAAGACTTGAGGAAGCATAAAGTACTAAATAATAGGCAAATCGTTTTTGGTCTCCTTTCTTATTAGGAAAGCACCAAGAAAATTTAAATTGTTAATTTAAAAAATTTAGAATTCTTTTTCTGATTAGTATGTAGAAAGCAGCAAGAAAATGTCACTCACCTCCTAACAGCAAGAAAAGAAATATAGATAATTAGCAAAAATCATTATTTCTTCTGAAACCGTTAGAGAGCTACAGTTGTAAGGTAACTAAGCAAACTGAGTCAGAAAGAGGGACAGCACGTCTAAGGAACAATGAGACATAGCATTTGTTTTACTCTGGTCACTGGAGGAAGTGGTGGTCATCATATAATCGGGTAAGAAGAAATCAGCTAAAATGTTCATAAATTCTTAAAGCCCTGGTATAGGCTAACATGAAGCTGTTAAAATTGAGAACACAAGATGCAGGAGAGTCTGAGTTTCTTACAAACTCTAATTCCCAGCCCTTTACCAGGTACTAATAAAGATTTGTGGCAAGGCAGGAAGCTGCTGAGGGTCCCCCTAGGGAGCTGGTAGGCAGGGGTTGATCAGCTGGCACGAGAGTGGGTGCAGTAACTGATCACCACCTGTTTCTCTTTTTTTTTTTTTTTTTGAGACTGAGTCACTCTGTCACCCAGGCTGGAGTGCCATGGCGTGATTTCTGCTCACTGCAACCTCTGCCTCCCGGGTTCTCGTGCCTTAGTCTCCTAAGTAGCTGGAACTACAGGCACCTGCCACCATGCCCGGCTAAGTTTTGTATTTTTAGTAGACACGGGGTTGGCCAGGCTGGTCTTGAACTCCTGAGCTCAAGTGATCCTCTCCCCTCTGCCTCCCCAAGTGGTGGAATTACAAGCATGAGCCACCATGCCATGGTCACCATCTGTTTCTCTACCTGCTCTGATATGAAGCAAAAGTTTAAGGTAATTGGGGGAGGGGCGGCCAATACTCACCTCCAGGATTAAGGTTAAAATTCATTGCTTTTGGGGCAGGGGGAAAAGCAAAAACCCTCTACATCTGAAAAGTATCGATAAACCCTTCTTTTATGGATGAGAAGCAGAGGCCTGTTCCTTCTGGGAGAAGGTCAGGAAACTTCTACCCAAAACACCACAGACACAAGATAGAAATTGCTGGCCATTAGGAGAAGAGCAAGAGTGAGAAAGCACCACCCCTGAGGCTCAGATGAACAGGTCTTTTAAGAAGACTGAAGCTGTGCCAGGAGAACAAAAGCCCTACCGTTCCCTCTCCCCCACCCCCAACAAGAAAAGCAGTCTCCCATTGGGAGAGAGTTCCAACGGTGGGGAGAGAGCTGTGCAGAGACTGCTAAAAGCTGAAGGTGGAGCAGGAACACTGAGAAAATTCACTCAGAAGCCCAAGCAACCTTGTGAGCACAAGGTAACAGCAGGTCTCCCCTGAAGAAACTGAAGCTTTTAGTGCACTAATGGAAAGGGTAGCAATGACAAAATGGAAATCCAGCTCAACTTCTAACCACTATTTTAACTCTACCCACTGCAAGAATGGCCTGACAGGAGATGAAGCTGCTTAATTCCAGGGATAGATAATACTGACCTTGGTCTTCTCTGTTCTTCTGTATACAATGCCACTGTCCAATCAAAAATTATGAGACACACACACACACCAATATGAAGAAACAGAGCATTCAAAACAATCAGATTTAGAGAAACCCAAGACCCAAATATTAAAACCATCAGGTAGAGACTTTAACGAAGATAAATGTGTAAAAGGATTCAAGGAAAAGGTGGTCAATATGAAGGGACTGAGTCAAAAGCAAGCAAACAAACAAAAACTATGAATAAAAAATGAATACCTCAAGTGTTGATTTAAAAAGCCATTTAAAGAAAAACCCTTTTAAAACAGGATATGGCAAAACATTATTAGAAAGTTTTTGTGTGTATGCAGATATGTTATGAAATGTTGTTTCCTATTAAGCTTGTCGTGTGTATACATATCTCTGTATACAGATGTCAGTATAAATCTGATATATGTATTTCTTTATGTAGAGATTATTTTCCTCTCTTTAAATTTTGTTCTGCCTCTGATTTGATAATATATCTTAGTACTCTGGTCCTCATTATTCCTCTCCTCTTATATATGTCCTTGAGAAATTTTGTATGTGCCACACAATTTGTCATTTAATTATGTATATTCTGGTAATTTAAATATTAGTATTCATCCCCCAGATTCTGTCTAGATATGTAGCAAGGATCCTAGGAATATAGAAAAGACTGCCTTGCTTAATTGGAAGGGAATTTTTCAAAAAGTCATTCAAGTTCAAAGTAGCACTGACCCCCCACTTCTATCAGAGTACCCTCGATATTCTTTTGCATTAACTTTGTTCATTTGTTTGTCTACACTTACTAGATTTAATCCTTTGAGGGTGAGAAGCATTGTTTTATTCATCTTTGTATCTGGGATAATGTTTAGCTTATACTGGATACATGATAAATTTGTGCTGAATGAATGCATGAGTGAATAGAGGAATGAAAACTTTGTCTGTGGCCCAGCTGGATCCTCTAGCATTATCCTCTCATGTTTTCATTTTGCCTCAGTACAACTTAACTACCTGATGCTAAGCTGGATAATCATCCAACCAGCTGGGAAGCAGGTAATGCCTGAATCTTCATCTTTCTACATTCTAGAAGTACTAGCAGGGGCCGCTTCTTTAAATACAACAACAATCCATACTGTTATGTTTGTAATTGTTTTGTTCTTTCTTTCCAACACTATGATACTAAACTCAGATTTGCTTAGATGCCATTTACTCTAATGTTGATGAAGATTCTCTTTATAACTCGTTCTTTTTATTATTCTTATTATGTGTTGTAGGTTTTTATGGTGGCACTTTATTATTTGGTTGCAAAATGACTATTTTTTCTTTCTATATCTAATACACAATTTATCCTATTAATCTAAGATTTCTGCTCTGAAGTAAAGTTCCTTTCTATTTTCCTTTAAGGAGAGAATATTCTGAAGAAATTTATACTCAGAATGATGAACATGTAATGAAAATATGGAGTATTGAATTTTAATGAAAGGGTGCTACAGTATTAAAGTGTAGAATGTCTTCTAGTTCAATTATGTTGGAATTTCTAATTAGAGTACTAGAGGTAGGCATGAATTTCACTGTAGTTAAACATTTGCTGACAAGCCAGTCTTTCAATTTGGCTTTGTACATTAAATAGAGAAATATGATCTCGGTCAGCTTTCTATTAGAGAATGTTTTCCCATTAGGTCTACTTGCCTAGGAAGCTTTATACTTGACAAGGTATGATTCTTTTGCCTACCCATTTTTAGGTGTACAAACACCTCCTTTGAGGTAAATATTCAAATAAGTAAATTAATTATATTGATCACTGGGAAAAAAAAGTAAACCAAACTATTATAGGAAGTTGCTTAAGATAATACAAAACAAATGTGAATATTTTCAAATGAGCTTTGTATTGTAGTAATATTTAATTGAATCTCAGTAGCATAATATTGCAGCAAGTTTTATTTTTATAGAATTCATGAAATATTTTTATATATAGATATTAAATATTTGAACACACATCAGTTGAACCATCAATGTTTTTAATATGAATTTGTTTTGTATAAAATAATCAAAGCTGAAGGCATTCTTTCGGTTCTCCTTTTATTGTGGAGTTGTCTTATGCACATTTGTGTAAGATTAAAATAGCAGGTTTTTTTCCTAGTTAAAACATCAAATATTGTTTTATATTCTTTGTCTCTAAAAGAAATACTTAGAAATTTATATTTAATGAGTAATCCAACTTGAAGATTGGTAATTGATTTTTTTCTAAAATTTCAAAGACATTTAAAGTATATAGCAATTATTTCAACCTAATAGTTTTTCTCTACAGACTATCAGTGGAGATATCAATAACTTATTTTTAAAAATAGAAACTTTAGAAATTGTTATTTAGAAAAATACCAAAACAAAGCCTGAACCTATAATGTTAGACATCATGTAAAGGTTTAGACATCATGTAAAAAGGAAATACTGCTCATTATTAATAATTTATATCCTTTCTTATTTAGGCTCAAAAATACTGAATACTCACTGTATACTTTGCTACATTTTCATAATTGTGTATATTTGATGACATTCTGTGTTTTATGGGGCAATATTGTTGAGCATTTATTCAATCTCCCAGGATAGTCTATGAGAAATTTTGAAATTACATTTAACAGGGTAAATAATATTGCTAAATACCTGCTCTAATTCAAGCTGTGTTACTACAAGGCAAATGATTTATGGATTTACCACGTTGCTTTTCAGAAAACATTTCTCCCCCATACCAAATAACAACAATGCTCTCCATTACTGTCTCAATTATATACACTAATCTGTAATACTATCGTCTACCCAGCTTCTTCACTCCTAAATGTAGTCTAGATTTTTCTATGTCATTATATAGACAAATTCTATAGTTTTACATAGAAATACTATATTTCAGTTTATAATCACAATATTTATGTAAAGATAAAGTAATCATTCGGTAATAAAGAATATCTTTGGCATAAAAACACAAAAAAAGCTTTTTAAAAATGTCTTGTGATACATGTTCATTGAAGGTTTCTTTTGGGCTTTGCTATCTGTCTTCCTGTCTATTGGATCCAGACTGACCAAGCAGCAACCATCGATAGCCTTGCTGACTGTGAGAGATGGTATGGTAAAACATCTTTTGGTGCTTAAGATCTCAGTCTGGAAGTGACCCAGGTAACTTACACTCACATTTATGGTTTTGCTAAACATCATGGGTCCTGGGAAGTTCAGTCCTACCAATGTGCGCCTAGACAGAGAAGACCCAGAAATAGACAAACTGTGCTAATACCGTAATTTATTTTGTAAATGTCATACTAATATTTATTTCTCTTTCTTTTGTTTGTCTTTATTGTCCTCTTTCCTTTCTTTCATCTTTTTTTCTGCCATAAAGTATGCTTCTGTACAAATGTTACAAATTTAAGTACTTGTCACCCATCTCCATGATATTTAGATTTAATTATGTTTCTGACACATTGTGTCTGCAGAAAAGAATTTATATTGAAACATATTATAGCATTTCTGAAATAGCGAACACCCCAAGGTGGTGCTATTGATACTTTAAGGTAACTAAATTTACATTGTATGATGTACCATTTCAACATATTTTTCTGTAAATGTTCACTAATTTACAGCATAATTAAACACTACTGTATTATAAATATGAGAACCAATAGTAACAATACAATAATGGATGCTTGTAAATACATGTTTTCTTCTAACATATTTTATTAAACAATATTATAGAGACTATTTGTAAGGTGATCAATGCAGTATACTATACAATGCAGTATAGTAATGTAAAAAGAACAGCTTATATATCACTCTGTTTATAGAAATTGTATTACAAACGTTTCCTTTGGAACAGACTACAATTCCTTTTTTTACTTCTAAAACTGTTTTGAAATTATTTAAAGAGTTAGAAAATAACTGTTTACTCATTAATGTAAGAGAAAATTCACTTTTTCATGACTTAGAAATATTCCCAGTTCTGCTCCTATTTCTTTGCCACATTAGCAGTCAAAAGCCCAGAAATATCATGGAGATTTTCTTCAGACACATCTTTATTGAAAATTGCCACAGA
Organism: Homo sapiens; assembly: GCF_000001405.40. Lineage (NCBI taxonomy): Eukaryota > Metazoa > Chordata > Mammalia > Primates > Hominidae > Homo > Homo sapiens. The sequence goes on along the minus strand of NC_000005.10, from coordinate 106,750,883 downwards.
AATAGCTGCTAATTGTGTTGTGATTGATATAGATTCTGCTGTTATAGGTTGTGTGAACTTAGTCACGTTGTTTAATCTTGTTGGTCAGTTTTCTTGTTGGTAAAATAGGGACAATAATGTAACATATTTTAATAGATGTGGTGAATATTATAGAATTTAATATGTAAAGTGCTTAAAGTTTTATCTCCCATATAACTATCATCACAATCTTCATCATTATCACAACCATCATCATCGTCATCCTGGAACTATAGGATAGATAATTTCTGAAGTCCTATTAGATATGGCTCATGTTATATTGCTTACCTTTTTTTATGATATACAAATTTTAGTGTTGTTCTTTCTGTTGTGTTGAAATGTTTAATTATTTTGTCTAATTTGGTTTAATGTGTCTTTATTTATCCCACCTTCAGCACTCTGTTTCTTTGTACAGATTAAACTTTCTGTTTAGCATCATATTCCTTCTGCTTAAAACGTTTCTTGTAAACGTGAGTCTGCTGGTAATGAATTTGCTGAGATTTTATTGGGATTAAAAGGTCTTTATATTTTTTTAGTTTTGAAAGATTTTCACAGGTTGTAGAAGTTTTAGTGGACAGTTTTTTCCCTTCTAACACTCTAAATCTGTCACACTATCATCTTTTAAGTTATATACTTTTTGAAAATTCTTTCATTCTTTGCTCCCCTGTAAGCAATGCATCCTTTCTCTCTGGCTGCCTTCAGGATGGTGTCTTCATTCATGATTTTTACTAGTTTGAATATGATATGTCTATGGTGTTTCCTTCCTTCCTTCCTTCCTTCCTTCCTTCCTTCCTTCCTTCCTTCTGTCTTTTTATCTTTCTTTCTGCATTGATTAATCATGGTTTTCTGAGCTTCTTGGATCTGTATTTTGGTATCTATTGCTCTTCTTGGAAAATTTACAGCCATTTTTTTCCCAAATATTTCATCTGCCCCATTCTCATTTCTCCTTCTGGAATTCTAATAACATGTATTTTGGAGCATTTATATTATATTGTGTCTCATTGATGCTCTGATTCTTTCCCTTTTTTCTTTTACTAGTTTGTCTCTTTGTGTAGGAGTTTGCATAATTTCTAATGACATAGTTAAGTTCACTGATTCTTTGCTTGGATATGTTGAGATTGTGATAATTTCATCACAAATATTTTAGTATCTCTATTGATTGTCTTTATATTTTTATTTCCTTGATACCATCCCTCATTTATTCATACATATTTCCCATCTTACTCATTTAAGTCTTTAATATATTAATTATTATTATTTAAAATTTCCTGCCTTGTGGTTTCAACATGTGGGGAATGTTACATCTTCTTTTTGTTGCTTTGGCTTACTCTAATAAAAGTGTTGTTATTTCTTCTGCTTATTGTTGTTGTTTTCTGGGTGTTTCTGATGATTTTTGGTTAAAGCTCTATATAGAGTATAGAACAGTAGAGACTGATGAAATAGTATTTATAGCTTAAAATAGGCATAACTCTTGTTAGCTAGGCCACTGATTGTAGGGTATCAAGTCAAACTAGATGAGGATTGAGATAAAATTGGTTTGGTTTCCTGGCTTCAAATCCTCAACCTTTTAGCTTAAGGTGGGGTATGTGGACTGCAGGAAGGTTCTTTACACTCACTATTCTTATCCCACCTTCAGCTTCTGCTGTCCCTGCGAGGGAGGCTGCATTTCAGATGTGCTTTCTCTCTATGATTTTGCCTTCTTCCCAGATTTAGACTGCTGTTACTTGTTATTCAATGCCTTTTTAGTGGTCCTGGACACATGTGGGCATTTTCTTTTGCCCAGTTTCCACCACAGTCTTAGGCCAGCCTTAAAGTTCTGCCTCTCCTAGGTGGGCCTTTCTCAAAGCTTCTGCTCCTCCACCAGCAGCAGGAGACTTTCTCTGGGCCTAGAATCATTTTTCTACCTGATGCAAAGATAAAGGGTTTTGTTTTGTTTGTTGTTTTTGTTTTTTTTTCCTCCCACCTATAACCACAGTGTTTCTGCCCCATTATCTGAGGATAGCAGGGCAATCTCTTTGCCCAGTAGCTTAAGAACAGTTTTCTATAGGGGAGAAAGATTCTAGTGTTTCCTCGTGTCTTTCCCACAGTATCTGCCATATGCTTTCTCCCTCAGGCCTTGACCATGATGGATGCATTCTCTGGCTCCCTTTCTAGCCCTCCAGCTTTCTCCTGGGTTTAAGGAAAAGAGCCATAGGTGAGTGCAGTTTTTTTTGCATCTGCATTATCAGCGGCTTTATGCTGTCATACTATCCTTTAGCGAGTTGTTAAGCATTTTAGCTGAATTCTTCCTGGCTTATTTCTCACCTTGGAAGCTTGTGCTCATTTCCAGTTTCTCCTTAGAGAAGTCCAACTTTTCTTAGATCTCAGGATGATTGGTTGTCCTATGACCTTAATTCTGTAATGGGTTAAGAAAGTATGACTTTTGTGGATTATCTGAGGTTCTTTCCACCCCCTAATGGAAGCTGGAAATTCCGTAATGACTGTTTGAAGTAGTAAATTTGATGAGTATTATTATATAATCTGTAAATTGATGCCAGGATAATTTACTTTCAGTTCTTACTATTCATTATAATAATTGTTTCATTTGATTATGATTTATATAAAAACACTCAATTCTAAGACTTTAAAAAAGAAAAAGATGAAATTTATTAAATTATATATCTAAAAAGTGAAATGGCCAAGTACAGTGGCTCATGCCTGTTATCCCAGCAATTTAGGAGGCTGAGGCAGGAGGATCACTTGATCCCAGGAGTTCAAGACTAGCCTGGACCACATAGTGAGACTTCGTCTCTACAAAAAAATTAAAAAAAAATTAGCCAGGCATGAAGGCAAATACTATAGTCCCAGCTACTCAGGAGGCTGAGGGGCAAGGATTGCTTGAGCTGGGAGCTTGAGCCTGTAGTGAGCTGAGATAGCACCAAAGCATTCCAGCCTGGGTGACAGAGTGAGACCCTATGTGAAACAAATAAAATAAAAAGTTACATATATATTCCACTCAGGCACTAGATTTAGCCATTCATATGGTAAAGATATGACATTAAGTCTCTACTTTATGCTCCACGTTTTCTGTGTTGGTTGCATTTCCAAAGAGATGGTTACCTTGTACTAGCATAAAGACTTTCAACTAAAAAGGCTAAATTCCACATAAATTTATGTTCAGCAGCTAAGATGGTGCAGCTTTTTATAATTATTTCAGTAAACTTCCTGGGCCTCATAGTCATTGGATTCTGGGCCTCATAGTTATTGGATCATATGCCAACTTCCAGTACACTTAGGGTGGCCACGGAACAGAATGCTCCTGAGAATTGATGCACATATCACACAGTTTTCCAGATAAACATCAACTGAGAACGAGGAAAGGGTGGATTCCCAAATGTTAGCTGAATCTATAAATACCTCGTGGTCAATAACTGAAAATGTTAGCCACATGCTTCTTAGGTTTTATGTGGTATTTCTGTGAAAATGATATACTCAGGCTAACAATTGCCTTATAAAATATATGATAATCTTTTTGCTTATGATATTTTGTAAGTAACAACAGATAATACTGTACCGCAGAGTTCTTTTCCAGATTAACCTTAATTTAATAAATGTTGAAACTTTAGAATTACTAGTCTATGACACACTGCATTATTAGACTTGCATTGCAGTAGAATTTTTTAAATACCCTATTAAAATCTTTTCTTTTTCTTTTCAGTACTGTAATTAACCTTTAATAATATAATTCCACTTAGCCTTTTTTCTGGTTATTTATATGGCTGGTATCTTTCTTGCCATCTTAATTTTGTTGTTATTCTTTATACTTTATCATATCCTCTAAACTTTTACCTGAATTGTCTTTTTTAACCGTTCTTAAAGTGAACAAAAGTGGTATCCAAACTTAAGCTTTCAATTCTAATTTATTTATTTTTCATCTGGAAGATTACTAAATAGAGAAGCTTTTAAAGAAGTATGAAATAATTTTTTAATGTGAATGTTTAAAAATGCCTTTAATTTTGCCTTCACTTGTATTTATTTGTTTGACAGTGTATACATTCCTTTATCTTTTAACTTTGCAAATATTTCAATAATATTTCTCATAATTTTTGGTTACAGCTGAGAAATCTGATGCTATTCTTCTTATATTGATTTTTTCCAATAATTTGGTTGCATTTGTATGATTGACTTATCAGTTTATTCTGGGAGTATGACATTTTACCTTGCTAAGTTTAGCTGCTATGTTCACCTAATTCTCTGTACTACTTTCAGTTCTGACATCTTCCTTTTAAATTTTTATTTGAAAATAGTCCTGAGATTGACTTCCAGGATATTCTAGCAGCAAAGAAAAAGATAAAGATACATTTATAGCTCTGCTTGCTTTTCATTACAAACTATCTGGACAAATGTTAAAAATCTCCATTATCCTGCGGTATCCAATAAATACTAAAAACACTATTAAGAAAAATAAATTGGCATACTGGAAGGTCAACATATAATCTGAGTGATATCGCCCCTGGTAGCAAGCCTCCAAAATGCTCCCTTCTCCCAATCCTTACTTTTTCATATTCACACTCATGTAATTTCCTCCAAACTGTGTCAGGCTGAATCCTGTACAAAATTGTACCAATGTGGCTGCCCTATTTCTTAGACTTTTCTCTTGGGAATAGCCAGTGACTATATCTTGAGGCCCCTTTGGCACCCTGCAGAGATGCACACGTGGGGATTCACTAAAGTCCCATGATTAAACCAACTTGCCAGCCCTATGATTGAGCCAACATGAAAGCAATTTCTGTATCAACCATGGAACCTTCAGGTGATGCCACCCGATTTTACAGCTTGATTGCAACTTATTTAAAAGTCCTGGGCCAGAACTGCCCAGCTATTCTGCACCTGAATTCCTGAATCATAGAAATTATAAGAGATAATAGATACCTAATATAATTTTAAATCATTAGGTTTTAGAGGGTGGGGTACGGTGGCTCACGCCTGTAATCCCAGCACTTTGGGAGACTGAGGAGGGCGGATCACGAGGTCAGGAAATCGAGACCATTCTGGCTAACACGGTGAAACCCCGTCTCTACTAAAAATACAAAAAATTAGCCAGGCGTGGTGGCGGGCGCCTGTGGTCCCAGCTACTTGGGAGGCTGAGGCAGGAGAATGGCGTGAACCCCAGAGGCGGAGCTCGCAGTGAGCCGAGATCGCACCACTGCACTCCAGCCTGGGCGACAGAGCAAGACTCCGTCTCAAAAGAAAAAAAAGAAAAAAAGAATTAGGTTTCAGAAACAATTCGTACGAATAGATAACTAATACACTTCTGTCAAGAACTGCCCACAGTGTAAGATTTTTATCCCGCCTGCAAGCTAATGAGTTAGTCTGCCACAGTTTCTTTGATGATGGTAGAAGACATAAGTCTCCTGGGTCAGACATAAGATACTTTATCACTTATGGCATAGAAAGAATCACACAAGCTTTATGCTTGCATTGTCCCTCGTTGCTCCCAAAGTCCCGTGGGGATGATGCCGCAGTTGGCCCAGATAAATGCTGTGTACCCAGTGATTTCATGTCACAGCTGAGGAGTACCAAGTTTAGGAAACTCCAAATCTTATAAGGGATCTACTAGCAAACCTGCCCAAATTTGCACCAGAGGAAAACATTATCTTTATAGTTCTGGTATGGAAACAAATTTTCCTTTGCTCAAGAGGAAGACACTAGCTCTATCTTCCAAGGATGTTTGTATAGCAAAGGTAGTCAGGACAGAAATGGTCACAAGACATGTAGAAACACCATGAAAACTATCTCACAACATTACATTAAAAAGTTTACTGCCTAAAAGGATAAACATACATACCAATTTCACAGTGCCAGTACTGCAATTGGGAATCTAAAGCCCATGAACATAGTTTAGTGAATGTAACTAAAATTTAACCCACAGCATGTTATTCCTAATTAAATCAATAAATATTCCTACTTTAAACTCTATTAACTTAAATAAAATACATTTTAAAAATGCGTTTAACGATACAACACATCAAATAAAGACAATATTTTACCTTTATCTTAGGTTCGTGGTACATTGGCAGGTTTGTTACGTAGGTAAACTCATGTCATTGGGGTGTGTTGTGCAGATTATTTCGCTACCTAGGTATTAATCCTGGAACCAATAGTCATTTTTTCTGCTCCTCTTTTTCCCACCCCTCACTCTGAAGTAGGCCCCAGTGTCTGTGGTTGCCCTCTTTGTGTGCATGTGTTTTCATCATTTATCTCCCACTTATAAGTGAAAACGTGGTATTTGGTTTTCTGTGCCTGCATGAGTTTGCTAAGGATGATGGCCTCCAGCTCCATCCATGTCCTATAGAAGACATGAACTCATTCCTTTTTATGGCTACATAATATTCCATGATGTATATGTGTCACATTTTCTTTATCCAGCCTACCACTGATGGGCATTAGGTTGATTCCATGTCTTTGTTATTATGAATAGTGATGCAGTGAATATACACATGTATGTGTCTTTATGATAGAATGATTTATATTTCTTTAGGTTTATACCCACTAATGGGTTGCTCTGTTGAATGGTATTTCTGTTTTTAGCTCTTTGAGGAATTGTCACACTGTTTTCCACTATGGTTGAACTAATTTACACTCCTGCCAACAATGTATAAGTGTTCCCTTTTCTCCACAACCTCACCAGAATCCATTATTTTTTGACTTTTTAATAATCATTCTGACCAGTGTGGGACGGTATCTCATTATGGTTTTGATTTGCATTTTGCTAGTAATCAGTGATATTGAGCATTTTTTCTTTTATCTTCCCAGTAATAACTCATTGATAATAAAAATAAACCTTCTTTCACATAGTAAAAGTAGCTTTTCATCTTCCTTATTTTGAGAGTGCTTAGGATGAGAAAATGTTTACTTCACATAATATCTAGTTGAGTAAATAAATTTTTAACAAGCATCAAACTGCCATTTACTACATTGAATATGGATAAAAATATTTTCAGATTTTCAGCAATGGTTACTAGAATTTATGCCAAATTTACACATCAATTTTGTTAAGTCTTTCACAATAAAGAGACTATTCAGTCTGAATTTCTATATGTATGCAATTTTATTAAGCAAGTGCTAATACAGTACAAATATTGTTTCTTTACTAATGCTAGAACAATCAAAAACCACACATTACTCTACAGTACTCTTAAGATTTTGGTTAATCATTAAGTCTATTTCTCAACCCTCAAGGGATAAATATGGTGTCAAATATTATCAAGAATGCACAGAACAATATGGAGCTCAATTTCCCATCTGAATTGACTCTCTTATTTTCTTCATATTATTAACAAAAAAGGCATATTATATTACTAAATGATACATACTAGGGCTTTAAAAAATATATTCACTTTAAGGGTTTCTTTAATTCTATAAAAACCATAAAAACCCTAGAAGAAAACCTAGGCAATACCATTCAGGACATATGTATGGGCAGAGACTTCATGACTAAAACACCAAAAGCAATTGCAACAAAAGCCAAAATTGACAAATGGGTTCTAATTAAACTAAAGAGCTTCTGCACAACAAAAGAAACTATCACCAGAGTGAACAGGCAACCTACAGAATTGGACAAAATTTTTGCTATCTATCCACCTGACAAAGGGCTAATATCTGGAATCTACAAAGAACTTAAACAAATTTACAAGAAAAAAACAAACAACCCCATCAAAAACTGGGCAAAGGATATGAACAGACACTTCTCAAAATAAGACATTTATGCAGCCAACAGACATATGAAAAAATGCTCATCATCACTGGTCATTATGGAAATGCAAATCAAAACCACAATGAAATACCATCTCATGCCAGTTAGAATGGCGATCATTAAAAATCAAGAAACAGCAGATGCTGGAGAGGATGTGGAGAAATAGGAATGCTTTTACACTGATGTTGGGAGCGTAAATTAGTTGAACCATTGTGAAAGACAGTGTGGTGATTCCTCAAGGATCTAGAACTAGAAATACTGTTTGACCCAGCAATCCCATTACTAGGTATACACCCGTAGGATTATAAATCATGCTACTATAAAGACGGATGCACACGTATGTTTATTGCGGCACTATTCACAATAGCAAAGACTTGGAACCAACCCAAATATCCAACAATAATAGAATGGATAAAGAAAATGTGGCACACCATGGAATACTATGCAGCCATAAGAAATGATGAGTTCATGTCTCTTGACATGATGGATGAAGCTGGAAACCATCACTCTTAGCAAAATATCACAAGGACACAAAACCAAACATCGCATGTTCTCACTTGTAAGTGGGAGTTGAAAAATGAGAACACATGGACACAGGGAGGGGAACATCACACACCGGGGCCTGTGGGGGGGTGGGGGTCTGGGGGAGGGATAGTGTTAGGAGAAATACCTAATGTAAACGACAAGCTGATGGGTGCAGCAAACCAACATGGCACATGTACGCCTATGAAATAAACCTACCTGCACATTATGCACATGTACCCTAGACTTAAAATATAATTAAAAAAAAAACTGTTAACACTTGAATATTTTATTAAATTTAGACATTTACATATTTAAGTCAACAGGCAAAAAAAGTGCAAATGATATAGAAATAAAATTCAGACCAGATATTTTTACACTCTGTAAAACAATTTTTCACCAATGACATTTTGCTCAGGTGACATTTCTCTGAAATAATGTCATATTTTAAGATAGAATATGATACTTTAAATGTTTCTTAAATGTTTCTTGTGTATTTGGTAGTTTTATGTGTGAAAGCAAAATTCACTATCCAAATAACTAAATACATAACTAAAATAACTAAATTATTTTATTGACAAAAGTCATTATAAATTAAAATTTTAGCTATTTTTTCCTCTGTTCACTTCATTAGATTAAAGTAAACTGATACGCCTCCCTTTCATACTTAACAAGTGGCTTTATGACAGCCATAAATAATCCAAGCCCATAGATATGCTTTTTGATAGAATGCTGATTGTAATTAAGTGTATATTATAGCTAAATGGCAATATGGGATTTGCTTGGTTTGATTCTTTGTTTTATAATTATTGTTTGAAAATTCATAAAATACTAAAACAAGTAAATCTAATAATAACACAAAGAATTGATGCTCTTTTTGTTATATCCTCTGTGTATAGATTGTGGAAGAATGCAACTGTGTTGATTCAATATTAAATAACTACTTACAAAGTTAATCTCAAATCCACCCACCGAACAACAGATAAGTTACTCAACAGAAAAAACTCAATTGTTTTAACTCTTGTTTATACATTTGATTACCTTAAAAAATATACTAATCTATATGGTGCCATAATTCAATTTTCACAAGAAAATAATTACTTCTCTAGAACATAATCAGTTAATAGAATTATTGACTAAACAATTTTACCAATATATGAAATAATAAATTCTATTTTAGCTTTATGATATAAGATTGCTGATTTTTGTATATTTAAAAATATTTACAGATTATGTCTTATGGGAGAAATTTTGAATTACCAGATTGTCAATATTAGTCTTAACAGATTAATAAACTGTAAAATAATAAAAGTCTTTATTATATCATGGATTTTATCATAGTAAAATAGCATAGTTCTCCTGGATTCAATATACAATTTATTCAGAGAGTAGAAGATTCAATTTTTGTCCCTTAACAAGATTAATATTATTTTAATAAAAATTTATAAATATTTTCTTCTCTAAGAATCTATATTTAACTTCAGACACCTGTTTTATGAAGGATCACATTAACTATATAATTTTAATGATACTGTTATTTTATTATCTATATACAAGTTATATCAATCTAGTTTCTTGATTTGTATCTTATTTTTGTGCTTTTGTTTTCTCACAACACTGTCGGCTTATTATATTTCTCTTAAGTTTAAGCCTAACAATTTCCTCTGGGAATATTATTTACATCTGTTTAAGTTGTGTGAGGCTTGTCTTTTATCTGTGACCCAATGCTTGCTTGGGTATATTTCCATGATTAATATCTAGTAGTCTAAAGGTTTTGGATATCTAAGGATTACACATGAATATCTCTTTGCATCTGAAATCAAATGGGATGTTTCAATGGTTTTTCACAGTCCCTGCAGAAAAAATTTATTTTCCACCCAAATTCAATTATAGAATTACGTATGAAGATTAAAGCACTCTTCTCTACCTTTTCTTCTCATCATAGGACATAACACCTTCACAGGAAACAGAAATGAAAGGGCCAGCCATGTGCAAATCTGGGAAAATTAAGAACTCCAGCTGATAATAAGAAAACCTAGAAATTATAAACTTTCTTAGAAACCGTATCCAAGACTGTGTTTTAAGAAAAAAAAATGCAGTTGATAAGAAAATGATGAAATTATGTATAATCAGAAGCAAGTAAGTACATGAAAACCACTTGCTCCATTGCAGATGTCACTTACAAATAATGAGCACAGGATAAGCAGAAGAATATCAGCAAAACTTTGGCAATGTCAGAGAAATCAAATAAATATGAGCATGAATTATAATCTAACTCTGGGCTAAAAGAAATGGAAAAGTCTTGTTTCTATTAGCCATAATTTATCTTTTAGGCTTAAACATAAATTCATAAGAACCCTTCTTCATTGATTTTGCTTTCTAGTAGTGAAAAAGGAAAACAAGCAAAATATTTGTAAACAATCAAGTAAAGTGAAAAGATAACTTCAGATTGTGGTAAGTTCTATGAGTTAAATAAATTGGGTTGTGTTTTAGAATGTAGTGTGTATACGTGTTGACAGCTTCTCTAGATTTGGTAATGAATAAAAGAGATGAAATTTATGTTTATATTCATGTCTGATGGTTCTCTGAGTAGCTTCTATTAAGAACTGTGAAAAGTGGGAGATTTTACTATACTTGCTGTCTAACAAGTTAGTCCACCACACTTTCATGAAGAGTTGCAGGTGACATGAGAGTCCTGGATGAGAGACAAAGGACTTTATTACTTAGAGCATATAGTAGCCAAAGTATCATCACTTATATAAGCTCATTGAACCCCAGTCCCCACAGGCTGACATGACAAAAGACACATTAATGCCTGTGCATATAGTATCTTTCAGTAAAGTGGTAGAACCTGGACCATAAAAAAAAAACTCAATCTTTTAAAGGAGTTGCAAGCAAACCTATCTAAACTTTATCTCCAAGGTAGACATTGTCTTTATTATTCTGGATAACAATATCCTGCCTTTGTGTCTGGAGGCACACAGTAGCTCTATCTACCACGTATGTATGCTATACAAACATTCTATAAAAAATAGTCTGGAACAAAAGACTGTCAGTAACTATGCTTACAAGATATGCAAAAATTCAAGATACCTATGGAGAAATGTCTCCCAAGAGTCCTGCTGGTTTCAGATAATAAAAAATAAATACATGATTCACAAATATATGTTTATTTCATAAAATTATTATTTGTGTCTTAATTTCCACAAAATGTTATTGTAAACAAACATTTCTCATAGTTTATGTTTTATTGAAAATACTGAAAAGTTATACCTTTTACTGAGTCATCATATTTCTTAGATTATGTTCTATCAATATTAATTTGGAAAACAATACTTTTCTGGGGAAGTTGGAATGAAATTGGCATTAAAATTTTTAAAGCAATTCTTAAATTCAAAAACAAAATCGAATTTTGGATTAGAGATCAAACTTTGTATTAGGGATACACGTAAGGTATTATCATCATAAAATACAAAGATTCTAATTTAATCACATAAATCACTACTCTTAAAATTGAAATCTTAACAGTTTTTAACATGTAAATAATTATGATCACATGTTTAATTTAGACATATATGTATATATGAATTGTTTAACATTGGACACCATAACTCAGCTGTCATGATTTGTGAATTACAAAATCATTATTTTGGGGGTTTTTTTTAGAACCATTAATTGGAGCACAAAGAAAAGCAATAAAAATTCTTGGCATTGATATTTCTTCATGCAAAAATCTATAATATTCATGTAATCTATTATGAAGGCCCTATCTTCAAGCTCACTTGTCTTTTTTTCTGCAATATGTAATCTACTGATATTTCTATTCAGTGAATTGTATATTTGCCACTAAAAATTCCTTTTTTTCTCCTTATAGCATCTATTTTTATTTTTATGCCTTCCTTAAAATTATTAAACACATTTATAATTTATAACATATGCTATAAAATTTTCATCTGTCAATTCCAGACATAGATTTATGGATTCATTTCTCCTGATTATTCTCAGATCACATTTTTCTTCTTCATTTAATGAGTATTTTTTTACTAAGTGTTGGACATTGTAAATATTATGTTTTGAATGTCTGAAATTTATTGCTTTTCTCTAAAAATGTTAAGATTTTTTCTGTCAGGAAGTTATTTGTGGGTTAGCTTGATCCTTTGAAAGCTTGCTGTATGCATTGTTAGAAGAGGTCTAAAATAGTCTTTACTTAAGTAATGGTTTATCACTACTAAAATATGTGTATCTCTTTTCTGGATCTCTACTTAAAGCCTTAAGGGTTCAATAATATACCTATATGCTTTCTTTTCTGAATTCAAATGTTTTCTACTCTGTATGAGTTTTGATAGTTGTTTAGTTTACAAATTCAAGCTAGTTTTGCATTGTTCAGTCTTGTGGAATATAATTCTATACATTTGCATCTTAGTCTTTAGCTGAAGACTAAAAGGAAGTCATTGTGGGTTTCCAAAGCTCTTTCTCTGTATAACACTCTATGTGATGTTTTGCTCCATATATTCCAGCTGTCTCTACATCCATGAACTCTGAGCTTTATCTCCTTAACATAGACAGAATGTTTCTTCTAATTGATTTCCTCCTCACTATAGTCAAGAAAGTGCCTCCAGACATTCAGCAAACTGGGGCAATTATAAAATTAATCTTGTTGGTGTCTCTTCTATCAGGATTACAGCCCTGTAGTCTCTTGTTCAAAATCTAAAAGCATTTTCTGTTTGATTATAGCAGGAGGGCTAGTCTAGTAACATTTACTCCATTATAACTAGAAGCAAACTAATTTAGTTCTTTTTTATAACTTTCATTTCTGTGTTGTGATTTTTCACCTTTTGCTTAATCATGCCTATACTTTTAAAGTCTCTGAACTTAAATATAACAGCTCTTTACACTTTCTGGTTTGCTAATTTCAGTGACATCTCTGCATGCCTCTTCACTTCTTTTTCCTTTTAGCTATAGATCAGTTCCCTTCTTCTGTGTGGGGGTATTTGTGATTGCATGCTGGCCCTGTGGATGTAACATGGTTGAAAGTCTGGATTCTGTGGGATCACTATTTTTAATGATGAGTTTTGGATCTTACAGGCAGTTAATTTACCATTCCTCTTAGTCTTGGTTTTAGGATTTATTAGGGAAGTTCTGAAGTAGCACTTACTCTAGCATGAGTGTAGTCCTGTTTCTAAGGGAAAATTTCCTATCATTTCAATTGAATCAAGTCTCATATCCTGTTTTGTAAATTTTAGCTGCTTCAGAAGTTTCATATTTCAATTACTGTTTCCTCTTCAACAAGTGATTGTTTATGTCTTTTGGGGCTCCTCTTCCTTCTATTGTCATTCAGAAAGATTCCCCAGGTGGAACTCTTACACAACGTCATGTCCACCTAATGTATTTCCCTTCTCTGATAGATAATAGCCTTGTGCTTTATGTTTTTCAGTGTCTGAAAAAAGCTTCTTCTTATAGTGTTTCTAGTTTTAAAGCTGTTTATGGTGATAGGACAAGTCTGACAACTGTTATTTCACTTTTAAGGATATTTCTTCTGAGTACAGAATTGTATATTGAAAACTTTTCTAGTGCTTAAATATGTCATTAAACTGCCATCTGGCTTTGATTGTTTTTGTTGAAAAGTCACCAATCTTATTGTTCCTTGGAAGGTAATACATCTTTTGTTTCTCTGGCTACTGTCAACGTTTTCTCTTCATCTTTCATTTTCAATAATTTCACTGTGATGCGACTGGATATAATTTTATTTACATTTATCCTGCATATAATTCAATGAAATATTTTCATCTCCATGGGATTCACTGAGGATTTCTCAGCAGTTTTAAATAATTATTTGCTGTTACTTCTTTGTGTATTGATTCTGTTTCATTCTCTTTCTCTTCATTACTTGAGACTCAAGTTCATGTAGGTTAGAACTTTTGATAATGTCTCATATATCCTCTTGAATTTCATGTTCTTTTATTTTTCCCATTCCTGTTTCTTCCAGTGTTCAGATTATACATATTCTACTTCTAGTTTCTTCTCTTCTGCGTCCTATTGTGAAATATTCTATTTCTGGTCTAATTCTATGTCTATTGTGTCTAATCTCATCCAATGTGCTCTTATTTCAGATATTACATGTTTTCTATCCAGTTTACCATTGATGGTTTTATTTATTTAATTTATTTATTTATTTATTTTTTATTATTATACTTTAAGTTTTAGGGTACATGAGCACATTCTCAGTCATAGGTGGGAATTGAACAATGAGATCACATGGACACAGGAAGGGGAATATCACCATTGATGGGTTTCTATCCAGTCTATCATTTAGGTTGATTCCTTGTCTTTCGTATTGGGAAGAGTGCTGCAATGAACATACACATGCATGTGTTTTTGTGACAGAATGATTTATATTTGTTTGGGCATATAACCAGTAATGGGATTGCTGGGTAAAATGGAAGTTCTGTTTTTAGGGCTTTGAGGAATTGGCACACTGTTTTCCACATTGGTTGAACTAATTTACTGTCCCACCAGCAGTCTATAAGTGTTCTCTTTTCTCTACAACCTTGCCAGCATCTTGTTTTTGACTTTTTAGTAATAGCCATTCTGACCAGTGTGGGATGGTATCTCATTGTGGTTTTGAAATGAATTTTTCTAATGATCAGCGTTACTGAGCTTTTTTCTCATGGGATTTTTGGCCACATGTATGTCTTCTTTTAAAAAGTGTCTGTTCATGTCCTCTGCCCGCTTTTTAACGGGGTTGGTTTTTTGGAAATTTGTTTAAGTTTTTTATAGATGTTGAATATTAGAGCTTTGTCAGATGTGTAGTATGCAAATATTTCTCTCATACTGTAACTTGTCTGTTTACTCTGTTGATAGTTTCTTTTGTTGTGCAGAAGCTCTTCAGTTTAATTAGATCTCGTGTCAATTTTTGCTTTTTTTGCCATTGCTTTTGGTGTCTTCATTCAAAATCTTTTGCCAGTTGCTATGCTCACAATGATATTGCCTAGATTTTCTTCCAGGGTTTTTACAGTTGGGGAGTAAGTCTTTAATCCATCTTGAATTGATTTTTGTATATGATGTAAGGAAGGGGTCCAGTTTCAATATCCTGCATATGGCTAGCCAGTTCTCCCAGTACCATTTATTGAATAGTGAGTCCTTTCCCCATTGCTTGTTTTTGTCAGCTTTATTGAAGATCAGATGGCTGTTGGTGTGTTGCCATATTTCTGGGCTCTCTATTCTGTTCCATTTGTCTATGTGTCTATTTTTTCTTTTTGCCAGTACCATGCTGTTTTGGTTACTGTATTTCTGTAGTATAATTTAAAGTCAAGTAGCATGATGCCTCCTGCTTTGTGCTTATTGCTTAGGATTGCCTTGTCTTTTTGGGCTCTTTTTTTTGGTTCCGTATGAATTTTCTAGTTCTGTGAAGAATGTCAATGGTAGTTTGATACGGATAGCATTAAACCTATAAATTGCTGTGAACAGTATGGCCATTTTACCAATGTTGATTCTTCCTATCTGTGAGCATGGAATGTTTTTCCATTTTTTTTTTTTTTGGTGTTATCTCTGATTACTTTGAACAGCGTTTAATAATTCTCATTGTAGAGATCTTTCATCTCTCTGGTTAGCTGAATTTCTAGGTATTTTCTTCTTTTTTGGCAATCACAAATGGGATTGCATCTCCAATTTTGCTCTTGGTATGGCTGTTGTTGGTGTATAGGAATACTAGTGATTTTTGTACATTGATTTTGTATCCTGACACTTTGTTGAAGTTGCTTATCAGGTTGTGGAGCTTTTGGGTCAAGACTATGGGGTTTTTTAGCTATAAAATAATGTTATCCGTGAACAGGGATAGTTTTACTTCCTCTATTCCTAATTGAATGCCCTTTATTTCTTTATCTTGCCTGATCACTCTGGCCAGAACTTCCAATACTATCTTAAATAGGAGACATGAAAGAGGTGTCCTTGTCTTGTGCTGGTTTTCAAGGGGAATGCTTCCAGCTTCTGACCATTCAGTATGATGTTGGCTGTGGGTCTGAAATAGATGGCTTTTATTATTTTGAGGTATGTACCTTCAATACTTAGTTTGTTGAGAGTTTGTAACATGAAGGGATGCAAAAGCCTTTCTGCATCTATTGAGATAATTATCTGGTTTTGGTCTTATTTCTGTTTATGTGATGAATCAACATTTATTGATTTGCATATATTGAAACAACCTTGCACTCAAGGGATAAAGTCTACTTGATCATAGTGGATTCATTTTTTGATGTGCTGTTGAATTTGGTTTGCTAGTAATTTGTATCAATGTTCATCAAGGATACTGGCCTGAAGTTTTCTTTTCTTATTGTATCTCTACCACTTTTTGGTATCAGGATGATGGTGGACTCATAGAATTAGTTGGGGAGGAGTCCCTCCCCTTCAATTTTTTGGAACAGTTTCAATGAAAATGGTACTAGCTCTTTGTACATCTCTTAAAATTCAACTGTGAATCTGTCTGGTCCTTGCCTTTGGTTGGTAGGCTATTTCTTACTTATTCAATACTGGAGCTCATTATTGGTCTGTTTAGGGATTCAATTTCTTCCTGGCTCAGTCTTGGGAGGGTGTATGTATCCAGGAATTTACACATTTCTTCCAGATTTTCTAGTTTGCATAGAGGTGTTCATAGTAGTTTCTGATGGTTATTTGTGTTTCTTTGGGGTCACTGGTAATATTCTTTGTCATTTCTAAATACATTTATTTGGATATTCTCACTTTTCTTCATTAGTCCAGTGGTCTATATATCTTAACAATTTTCTCAAAAAACTCCATCTCTTGTATCTGTTGATCTCATGATTTTTGAATGGTTCTTAATTTTCAGTCTCTTCAGCTCTGATTTTGGTTATTTCTTGTCCTTTGCTAACTTTGGGGTTGGTTTGCTCTTGATTCCCTGGTTTTCCAGTTGTATGTTAGGCTTTTAATTTGAGATCTTTCTTACTTTTTGATGTGGGCACTTAGTGCTATAAATTTCCCTCTTAATGGTGCCTTAGCTGTGCCTCCAATATTCTGGTTGTTGTATCTTATTTCTCATTAGTTTTAAAGAACTTATTGATTTCTGCTTTAGTTTCATTATTTGCTCAAAATTAATTCAGGAGCTGGTTGTTTTATTTCCTTGTAATTGTATTGTTTTGAGCGATTTTCTGAGTATTGATTTCCATTTTTATTGGACTTTGACCTGAGAGAGTTTTTGGTACAATTTGGTTCTTTTGTATTTATTGAAGATTGTTCTATGTCCAATTGTGTGTTCTATTTTAGAGTATGTACGACGTGGCAATAAGAAGAATGTATATACTGTTGTTTTGGGTGAAGAGTTCTGTAGATGTCTATCATGTCCATTTGGTTCAATATTGAGTTCAGGTCCTGGATATCTTTGTCAATTTTTTGCCTCAATTATCTGTCTAATACTGTTAGTGAAATGTTGCATACTCCCACTATTATTGTTTGGGAGTTTAAGTCTATTTGAATGTCTCTAAGAACTTGCTTTATGAATATGGGTGTTCCTGTGTTTGTGGCATATATATTCAGGATACTTAGGTCTTCTTGTTGAATTGAACCCTTTATGATTATGTTATGCCCTTCTTCATCATTTTTTATCTTTGTTGGTTTAAAGACCATTTTGTCTGAAATTAGAATTGCAACCTCTGCTTTATTCAGTTTTCCATTTTCTTGGTAAATTTTTCTCTATCCCTTTATTTTGAGCCTATGGGTGTCACTGCATGTGAACTGGGTCTCTTGAAGACAGCATACCATTGGGTCTTACTTCTTTATCCAGCTTGCCACTCTCTGTCTTTTAACTGGTCATTTAGTCATTTACATTTAAGGTTAGTATTGATATGTGTAGATTTAAATCTGTTGTCATGTTGTTAGGTAGTTATGCAGACTTGTTCTGGTTGCTTTATTTTGTCACTGGTCTGTGTACTTATGTGTGTTTTTGTAGTGGCTGGTAATGATCTTTCTTTTCCATATTTACTGCTTTCTTCAGGAACTATTGTAAGGCAGGTCTGGGGGTAACAATTTCCCTCAGCAATTGCTTTTCTGAAAATAATCTAATTTTTCCTTTGCTTATGCTTAGTTTGGCTTGATAGGAAATTCTGGGTTGGAATTTCTTTTCTTTAAGAATGTTGAATGTAGGCCCTCAATCTCTTCTCACTTGTTGGGTTTCTACTCAGAGGTCTGCTTTTAGTGTGATGGGCTTCCCTTTGTAGGTGACTTGTCCTTTCTATCTGCCTTTAATAAATTTTCTTGCATTTTGACCTTTGGAAAATCTGGTGGTTACATGCTTGGGGATGATCTTCTTGTGAAGTATCTTATGGGAGTTCTCTGCATTTTCTGAATTTAAATGTTGGCCTCTCTAGCTAGGTTGAGGACATTTGCATGAATGATACTGTGAAATATGTTTTCCCAGTTGATTTTATTCTCCCCATATCTTTCGGGGATGCCAGTGAGTTGTAGAGATTGTCTACATAATCCCATATTTCTTGGAGGTTTTGTTCATTTCTTTCCATTATTTTTTCTTTATTCTTGTCTGACTGTCTTATTTTAGAAAGCCAGTCTTCAAAAATGAGATTATCTCCCATCTTGATCTGTTTTGCTGTTATACTTGAGATTGCATCATGAAATTCATGTAGCATGTTTTTCAGCTCTGTCTGGTCTGTTATTTCTTTTCTGTATTGGCTATGTTTTCTGTCAGCTCTGGTATCATTTTATTGGGATTCTTAGCTTTCTTAGATTGGGTTTTAATGTTCTCTTGAATGTCACTGACCTTCATTCTTATCCATATTCTGAATTCTATTTCTGTCATTTCAGGCATCTCAGCCCAGCTTAGAACCCTTACTGGAGAACTAGTCTGGTAGTCTGAAGGAAAGAAGACACTCTAGCTTTTTGAATTGTCAGAATTCTTGTGCTTGGCCTTTCTCATCTTTGTGGGCTGATGGTCCTTCAATCTTTGATGTTGTTCTCCTTTCAATGGGTTTTGTTTTTCTTTTATCCTATTTGATGATCTTGGAGGTTTCATTGTGGTATAAGGTGGGTTTAGTCAACTGGCTTCGTTTCTGAGAGATTTTTGGAAGCCAAGGTTCAGCTCAGGACTCCTGGACTACATGCTTTAATTCTGGGGACTGGTATCAGGCCCTGGCTTTGTTTTCTGGCTCCTTGAGTTGGGGAACCTGCTGCACTGGAGAGGCCAAGGTGCTCCTGGACAGCTGGTTATAACACTCTGATGGGTGGAGCCAGCCAAAACTCTTTGTAGGGCTGTGGCAGTGGGATCTGTTTTCATTTGCATACACCAGCAGCAGTGGCAGCATGGCAAGGTGCATGCCTGTTGGCTGTGGCAGGGTGCTAGTGGGTGCCAGGGTGCTGGCCACTGTGTGGACATTCACAACTGCGGTGACAGCATAGCTCAGTGGGGGAGAGGAGGCCCTGCTGGGAAGTATACATGCACTGATGCTGGTGATGGTGTTAGCATGGGAGCAGGTCACTGGTGCATCCTCTGTGCATGTTCACACAGGCAGTGGAGGCTGCTCAGGGAAGGGATGAGTCAGCTCTTCTGTCTAGTTTTGAGCTGGTGGAAGTGTTCATGTGCAGGGGCATGTTACTGACAGGGGTGGGGCCTGTGGATTCCATGCCCATCTATACTCCCACAACAATGGCAGTCCCACAGGAGGAGGGGTACTTTGGGGAGGAGTGGTGGGGTGCACTCACACTGGCAGCAGTGGCTAGGCAGGGACATGCACACTGTCAAGGAAGGGAAGACAATGTCACCTGTGTACGCACACACCAGCCAAGCAATGTAGGAGGTGGCTGTGGCTGTGTGTGTACAGGTAAAGCGGCATGGGGAGGCTGCAGTGGGAGGAGGGTGTTGGCAGACTGGTGCATGTCCAGTGGGGGCTGCTCTGCCAGAGCACTCTGCTGCTCAGGTGAGGTCCACTAGCGCAGGAGCTATGATGTGCAGCACCAGGAGGTACTGGGGGCTGCACTGCAAGCAAACATGGCCAGTCTGGGGCTCTGGGAGAAGCCAGCCAATTGAGGGGTGCTCAGGTCAGACTGGCCTCATCTCATGGGCAAGAATGGCCTGCAGCATTCAAATCTGTCAGTTCTCCTAGGGCTAAAGTCTCCTACAGGAGCAACTTGAGCCTACAGGGATGGACATCCTTGGCTGTCCTCCACTAAAGATGCTCCTGCACCAAACCCTCTGGCCTCCACACTAGCTGGAGTTCTGCCCCTACCACTTCTCTTAGCAGCTCTCCCTGTCAACTCAAGTGTCTGTGGTGGTTGAGGGGTCTCCTCCTATGGGGATTCCAGAGGCCCATGGCAAGAGCAGGTTTCTCCTTGCCTGTTCAACTCACCCCTTCCCAAAGAGTCATTGAGGGTCAGGAACAAGTCTTGATGTGTGGTAGCCTCGTGCAGTGTTCCCAGTTTCCTCCCGCTTAACCCAAGCATGTGTCTTCCCTTGTACCCTCTCAGTGCCTTCCCTTTTACTATTTGCTAAGAGTGTGCCAGTCTTCTTGATGTCCCAGTCCCTCAGAGGGAGATGTTCCTTCTTGCTGTGACTAGTTGGCCATCTTCTATTTTTTTTTTTTATACTTTAAGTTCTAGGGTACATGTGCACAACATGCAGGTTTGTTACATAGGTATATATGTGCCACGGTGGTATGCTGCATCCATTAAGTCACCATTTACATTAGGTATTTCTCCTAATGTTTTCTCTCCCCCAGATCCCCACCCTATGACAGGTCATGGTGTGTGATGTTCCCCGCGCTGTGTCCAAGCGTTCTCATTGTTTCATTGCCACCTATGAGTGAGAATATGTGGTGTTTGGTTTTCTGTACTTGTGATAGTTTGTCAGAATGATGGTTTCCAGCTTCTTCTATGTCCCTGCAAAGGACATGAACCCATCCTTTTTATGGCTGCATAGTATTCCGTGGTATATATGTTCCTCATTGTCTTAATCCAGTCTATCATTTATGGACATTTGGGTCCGTTCCAAGTCTTTGCTATTGTGAATAGTGCCGCAGTAAACATACATGTGCATCTGTCTTTATAGTAGCATGATTTATCAGGATACAAAATCAGGGTGCAAAAATCACAAGCATTCCTATACACCAATAACAGACGAACAGAGAGCCAAATAATGAGTGAACTCCCATTCACAATTGCTACAAAGAGAATAAAATGCCTAGGAATCCAACTTACAAGGGATGTGAAGGACCTTTTTGAGGAGAATTACAAACCACTGCTCAAAGAAATAAAGGAGGACACAAACAAATGGAAGACATTCCATGCTCCTGGATAGGAAGAATCAATATCATGAAAATGGCCATAGTGCCCAAGGTAATTTATAGATTCAATGCCATCCCCATCAAGCTACCAATGACTTTCTTCACAGAATTGGAAAGAACTACTTTAAAATTCATATGGAACTAAAAAAGAGCCAGCATTGCCAAGACAATCCTAAGTAAAAGGAACAAAGCTGGATGCACCATGCTACCTGACTTCAAAGTATTCTATTTGTTTTTAACATTTACCTTTTAAGAGAAGGTAACAGATTAAAACTAAGGTTTGAAAGAGCAAATATGATATTTGTATATTCACAGTGTCACAGACTTTAAAATACTATAAGTGATTACACAGTACTGTACTCCAAATTGGCAGATAGGTTATCTGATTTATCCTGCCTCACTTGTTTTTTATGTTATTGTTAATGTGTTAATAACTATTCTAGTTTTTCACACACATAAAATTGTCTAACACTTCTTTGTTTCTCAGGTAATCTTTTTCATCTGCTTTCTATTATTTCGTCATCTTTGTTTTTCTCCAGCAATCATTTCCTTTAAGAGTATCTTTAGATGGGAAATGAATGTAATATATAAACCGAGACTAAATGTCTTGTTTAGCAAGTCACAGTGCTGATTTTTTGTTGTGATTTTCTGCTAAGTGTTTAGCAGATGTGATATTGTATGATAGAAAATTGCAGTAGTGGGGCAAACTGGAAACACTAACATACACATTTCAGAAAACACAAAGAAAGGATTTTTTTTCTTAAACAAAATTTGCATTTAAGTAAATAAATTCCTAAAGTTTAGAAACTTTCCAAGTCACTGCTTTGCAACTGATTTGCATTGAATTATGTGTTTTAGTTGAAATAATCTCCAGTGAACTTCATTTGAATGTGCGCATTGTTTTTCGGCAGGTCCTTAGTAAAGCGATAATTTCCAGACGTTTGAACTGTACTCTCCTTTTCTGGTTTTGTGTAGAGTTACATGTACAAATCAAACACTCTCATAATGAAAGCTGGCATGTCTGACAGTGATTCAAAAAGATAGTTATCCAGTAGTTCTACTTTAATATACTGTTGAGAAAGTAATTAGACATGTATATAAGGAAATGTGTGCAAAATGTTTATCACATAATTTTTCATCCACGTGAAATATTTGAAATAGACTATAGCAAAAATTGGTGGTGGATTTAAAATAATTAAAGTATATAGCCTTACACATTTACTTATAAAATAAATGTTTACTTAATCCTTATGTTTTGGTGTTTTTGGAAGAACACTGTAGGAGAAATATATGAGATAAATATGAGAGAATTATATACAGTTTAACCATATAAAATTGCCATTAAAAATTATGGAATGTTGGTAATTCCATATGGTTCTCTCTAATCCACCCAGGAAGTTTAGTTAAAACGTGGTTTCAGTAAAGAGAAAGGGGAAAAAACTGGTAGCTTTTACTAGTTGATGGCAATAGATATGCAAACAGGTAAAGAGGCATTTAAGGAAAATCAAAAGCGTTTGTAACTG
Source organism: Homo sapiens (assembly GCF_000001405.40). NCBI lineage: Eukaryota > Metazoa > Chordata > Mammalia > Primates > Hominidae > Homo > Homo sapiens. The sequence goes on along the minus strand of NC_000005.10, from coordinate 106,727,790 downwards.
GAGGTGGTATTGAGGAAGGGGATGGTAGAGTCAAGGATGACTTTCTTATTTGTGACCTGAACACATGAGCAGATTGCGTGTCATTTATGAAACAGGGAACATTAAAAGAGGGGCAGTGTTGATGTGGAGGGTGAGGCAGGAATGATGAGTTCATGAAGACTTTGTTCATGTCTATGTTGCGGTTGATGTGCTGCTCAGACATCTTAGTAGAGAAGTCTGGGTGATAACTGGGTAAGCAGAGAGCAGTCATGGACTTGTTGGCTCTTAAAGTATAGCAGCTGTGAGAGTGAAGATAATGGTTGATATATAGAAAGGCATGAGAAAATTTTGAAAACAATGTAGAGTGAGATCAGAGAGCTAAAACCATTCTGAGAATCACTGGGATTTAAGAAGATAGAAGAAACAAAAATCAGAAAAAGAAAGGACATCCAATGTTGTAGGAAAACAAAAGGGTGTTGTGGCCTAGGAAGGAGTACAGACTGCTTTTGTTGAGCAATCAATAGTGTCAAATGATACAGACATTTTGAACAAGATACTGGTTGAAAAACATCCATTGGATTTAGTCACATGGAAGTAATTGGTGACCCACGTACAAGGAAATAACGTGGAGTAGTTAAAGTATGTCCTTTATTGGAGTTGGTTGAAGTATTTAATAGAGTACTGTGGAGTCATGGAAGAGAAAATATATGTATGAGTAAATTTTTAAACATCAGTTTACAAAGCAGTTTTATAATAAAATCTATTTTATAAGAACATATTTATGTATATACACATAAAAGCATGAAATGACAGTAAAGAATGAACATAAACTATACACTACATAGTTTTCTTAAAACTTTATAGTATTATATCAGAGACTTTTTATGAAAACTAAATGAGATGAGAAAACCACAATTAAAGTAAGTCCATGATCACACAATGAATAAATCACTGGGACTACAGTTCTATTCAGGAAGTCTCCCACCCTTGAGCCCCTGAAAAACATCAGTATGTTAAATTTATTCCCAGGATTGTATACATTTAGAATTATTTTGTAATGTCTTATGTGTAGGAAAGAAAACTTTAAAAGTGAGCCATAAAACCACCTCAGAAAAATCTTTAATGCATAAACTTTCTTATAAAACAAAAATGCAAATTCCAGAATATGAATCAATTTTAAAATAAGACAAATGTGATTGAGATAAATTATATGAAGTATGTTCATATTTTTAATAAAATTATTCCAGAATGTTTAGACAAGGTTCAAGTGTTATGTTTTTTGAAAATCTTAATATGTCTAAAACTTGAAAACTTGAAATATTATGTTTAGTGGGACTATGCCTAATATAATAGGGGAATTCAAGCATGGTAAAACTGGTTGGTATGGATGTGAGATCACAATTATCATACTTCCCTCTCTATGACATTGACAACAAGGATCAGTAGTGAAAATTGAGCATGGTATTCTCAGTGAAATTTCTATAGATTGATTGTGCTCGCTATGCGTAGATAAAAGATCAGCAAATGCAAAATGGAATGGACATGATAGGTCAGAGGAACTTGCACATGAACTATGTAATACATTTCATTTCCTTAAGCTGACTAAATTACTGCTCCAGTTCTTTATTGTCTTTCTAAGCACATTGTGTTTAGTTATGAGTTGCAATAGAAATGTAATTATAACCCTCTTATATCATGAAATAATCAAGATTAGCTTATTAATTTCCAAAAACAAATACATGAATTTGGATATTATGTGTCAATGATATTTTGTATTTAAAATCTTTATTTGGTTATATAAGCATACTTTTAACATATTTTGTTATATTTAGTTATATATATTTTTACTTTGCTATGCACATATATAAATATTTAACAACAAATATAAACACTGCATTTTTTCATATCAATGAATGTAGAAAATCTTATGTGTTAGTAAACAGCACTTCTAAAATATTTCAGATATTAGTCATCCCATCCCAGGATCTAAAATGGAGTGTGAGCCAGCCACTTTCATGGTTCTGACTTACTAGGACCAATTCCTCAATAGCTCTTTCTCTGAAAATAATTTTTCACAAGCAATAGCATTCTCCCAATGGTCTCCATTACTGTGATTGACAGAGAATATGTAGGAAGTTGGCTAATACACCATAGTACAGGATGCAGTGTTCCAGGATTACCATTTTTAAGTGGCGACAGGTGTGAATCAAATTAGCATACAAAGGAGAAATATCACTTTGCTAGGTACTGCTCCCACGTCCTTTCAAAATGGCTATATTAATAGCTCGCTTGGTATCTTGCAATTTTGCCTCCTTCATTTGGATTAGAATTAACCAGCACCAGAAAAGACAATATGTTTTGAATGTTGTCATTTGATATACTTGTTATGAATGGGAAATGGTGCTAATTATTATTTTAGCCTCCAGTAATTATCCGAGAATCTTGAAAATTCTTTCACAGAAAACACAAACTGAAACAAAAGGTTACAGAAGGTATTTATCAAGTTCCTTGCATTTCACATTCTAGCAACTACCAGGTGAATCACACTACTGAAGTGCAATTATAAAAATTAAACTGCCATTTGGTTTGGACACTTTTTAAAAAATTCAATAAGAATGGAATATTTTGAGCCAATATTTTGTGAGAACTTAGGCTATGCTACAGCTTTACATAAATTATGTCCATTCCTACAGCTTTACAAAATGTTAACTTCATTTCCATTAACATCTTCACACAGCTATCCCTTCTATTAGCGTGTTCATGTCCCTACTAAGTGTGTTGCAGATTATGAACCAAGCTCTGTTTATTCTAAAGTCATAAAACATGCTAGCACCTTGAAAGTGATGCAGACATTAAGATAAATATTTTGAAAACTTAAAAACTAATCATTGTGAGTGTTTTCACTTGGAACTGCTTACCTCAGTTATTCTGATCTAGTTTATTTTCTTTATAGTACTTAACAAAATCTAAATTTTTGGAGACTATATTATTGATCTCTATTTTTGGTCTCTCTTCAATTTGAGGGCAGGGGTCTTGTGGCTTATCTCATTCATGACTGTATTCTCTGGGGTGTTTCCTGGCAACATGCCTGTATTTAATATTAGTTGAAGTTTAAAAAGGTGAGAATTTCAAATTGAATTTATTCTTAGAGAGTCATATACATTTTATATTATTTTAATAGTACATAATTACTATGAAATCTGTTTTTATATACTCTGATTATAACATATATAATAACAATCATGTATAATATTGTGAGAATTAAAGAAAAGGATGTTCTAAAGATGTGGATATTTAAAATGTATTAAAAATAACCCAACATTTTAATTTTGGAATATATAACCATTTGAGATATATTATTAGCTTTAAGATTTTTGAAATTACTATATCAAATGCAGAGCTGGGTCTCTAAAAGTTGTCAAAATTCTAAAAATTTACATCCTAAAATATAATTTAAACTTAATTTGGTTAGGGCAAAAGTATTCTGGCAAAATTTCAACCAGAGAAAAATAAGATGGATATTAACTATTTCTTCAGAATTTGATTCTTAAATGACAGCTCATTCTTCAAGCTCTGTTATTTACTTGGGTGCCATGTTCTCCATACCTTCCATCTGCATTTGGAGAGAATTTTCATGTGTGCTTTCCATAGTCCTGATTAAATCTTCACTACTGTTAAACATTTTCATTACTGCCTTTGTTAACCAATATTTTATTGCAAATCAACTTACCTTTTTCTTCTTTTACTTTTATTGAATTTCTGATTTATCATCTTCAGTTTTTTCTACATGGCCATGGATATAGCCTCTTACATCTTTTGGGGAGTAATGAGTAGATTCCTGGAAAAAGTGCTTCCCTTCCATTTAGAGATTCATTTTCAGTGACAGGCACTTCTCAGCTCTATGGCATTATTTTCTTTCCTTTGAGATTTTAAAGGCACACACTGTTTTGTTGTTTATCTTCTATTAGTAAGAGAGCTATCAATGCCAATATTTGTTATAAAACAGGATTTAATAGAATTCTTGATGGTGGCTGAAAAAAAATTCAAACTGGCTCCTCTGAAAAAGAGAATTCATTGACACACACGTTTAAGATTTCCAGCAGTAGATCAGGTATGGATGGATCCAAGGACTCAAATGCCATTATCAGTCACTCTATATCCCATGCCTGTTCCATTTATTTTGGCCACATACAGGAAGGCTCTTTCTATGTTTTGGAAAGATGGTCTTTAGATGGTTACTCTATGAAATCTTTGCCCAACAAGTTTCTTCACCCATACTGTAGTTTCACAAAAGTTTCTCTGATTGATTTGGATGTTCTCCTATTCAGGCTGTTTGTGAAGCAATCACTTCAGGCAAGATTTGTGAGTATGTTGGTCCAGACTAGGTTTCATGCCATCTCTAATGATGAAAACAGAGATTTTTTTTTTTTCCATTGCATGAAATGAGAGTTGGAGGAGAGTTTCCAAATAAAAGAAAATGATGAGGATATGACTGCTGGAAAGAAAAACCATTGTTCACTACACACAGATCATGTGAGTTTTTCTTAATGTCTCTCAGTATCTAGCAAGCCCAGGGTTCTTCAGATTCATGCACAGTGGCTTGGGTTTGGGTCCATTATTTCTTATTAAAGTAGGGCCAGAAGCGATGAAAATTACAATGGAAGTTTTAAAAATTTGGTTCCAATTCTAACTTTGCAACTATCTATTTGAACTTTAGCAGGTGATTTGACACTTCAGGGCTTCGACTTTCTCAAGTATAAATTTAGGTGAATATATTACATTTTGTTTAATTGATAATTGGATTACCTGTTTTAAAAGTGTAACTTGAAACAATGCAAATTTTATTAATCTGATTTATATTAGTCCTATAAATTTCATTTGTATATAATTTAATAAATCCCAGTAACTATCTTCTCTAATCTCAACCCTTCAAACAATGATGATGTTTTGTAAGTGACCCAAATTACCAAAATAAAAAATAATAGTTAATATTTATTAAGTGCTTACTTTAAACAAATTAAGCTATAATGTAGATAATTTAATCCATGGCATAAAATCTTAATTATTTTGTGGGTTTTATTTCTGAAACAATATAGAAGAGAAACCTAGTAATATCTGCTTTACTTTTCAGTGTAATAGGAATATGTTAGTGTGACTACTGACTACTTATATGGAGCATAGAAACCAATGTGATATCTTATCTGCATATTAATTAGTGATTATCCCATTGCTTCTGAGTTATATGTTTTTAGAATATATTTGCTGTTGCTTTTACAAGTAGAATTAAACAATTCAGCCTTTTCATTCTCAACAATTCCAATGGAATACACAAATTGTATTCATTTTTAAGCTAATTTTTTTTTACTTATGCAACAGTATCTGAGGCATTTTTACTCTTTGAAAAATGTATGTAACCTCTGCATTGCTACTGAGTTTTATCTGGTAGCATTTAACACCTCAGAAGTGCAATTTACTGTAAACTTCTCCCTGTAGTATTTAACATTTTTCTCATCAAACTCACATATTTTTTAAAATGAAAATCATACAGCTTTTGCATGAACAAAAGCCCTGTCATTCACTTGTTGCTTTCTCCCACATTTCTCATGGCATATTGTATTAGGTAATTTGTAAGGTGAGCTATTGTTCCTAAAGCCCTTGTAATGAGGTAGATTCATTCTTTGTTTTATGAAGCAGTAATTACTTACACGGCTACGGTCATAACTGTAACATGAATAGTGCAACTGTCACTGGGTAAAATGTGCTTTTTGAGCATGGAAGGTAGGTAGATATGATTTTGAGGTTTGCTGAATGAGAAAACATTAATTGCCAACTCATAACAAAGAAGTTTTTATAAGTAGAGCAAACTAGAAAGCAATAGAAATGAGTTCTTTTGATATAATTGTAGTTCTCAAAATGGTTTCTGAAGAAATTCTAAATTTGTCCGTAGTTTATTCTTTGATTATCTACTTAGAGACCTTACTTTTAGTGTTGCATAAAATACTTGTGGACTCTCTTGATATAAAAATGAATGATACTTTCACTACATAAAGATAGCACAATCCACAGTATACGTGTAAAACAGGATCAATAATAGTGCTGTGCAAATTTCAGATGAATCAATTCATTTCAAACTTTTGCTTATAAAAACTAAAATACTTCACAATGAAGAAAATTATTACTTGAAAATAATACCTATGCTCTTAAAATTAATAAGATATATTATATTTGGGGATAACGCAAGACAAAACAATGTATTCAATGGATCCATCCAATAGATTAAGAGAAAGACTATATTTTATTTGAAATATCTAACTTTTGATTTTTAATTTTTTCTGTGCTGCATTAATTACTCATCACTCCTTAATGCGTCTATTAAGTCTCTTGCCAAACTCATCAATGGCATTATCTAAATAATATAATTTTTCCATACTTGTATTTCACTGATACTGAGACAGTTTAAAGTAATGGAGAAAACAGGTTGAATTTGTTATATAGCCTTGGGAGGAAATAAATATATACAAGGCAAGCAATGTGAATGTTTACCAACCTGAAATATGTATAACAGTCAAAGTTTGGTTCCTTGTGTGTTGATGTGATGGAAGGCTATGTTTTCAACATTGTTTTCAATCTGTGCTTTACTCAGGCTTTCTTCTATTGGTTTAGAAAAAGGATTGCTTATCCTTTAGATGGTATTAAATTAGCATACTTCTTCCTTAGGGAAAAAAAAGCCACCTAAATATGTTCTATATCAGTGACATGTCCTCTGTAGCCTAAAATATACATTCAACCCTTGGAAATGCCAACTATATTCAACACTGGCCAACTGATGAAAATAATTTGTCCTATTGACTTAACTCCCACAGTTTGCCCCGTTTGCCATGGCTACTGTATAGTGTGCTTTTAGCTACAGTCACCTGCAGTGCTATAAGAAATTAGTTTTGGAAATGGTCTTTATCCTCCCAAATAAAGTTAGTGCATCCAGATTTGGAAACTGACAGCAGTAATATTCCCCAACTAAAGCTAGAGCTTAGCCCTCTTATACTTATTAAAAAGCCTATTCATACAAATTAAATCCATTCCATATCCTGGCCTCTGATGACAGCTCCATTTTTTTTCTTGTCTGGTTTGAATTACCTCAAGTCTGTACCCAGAAAGAATTTATCCCGTTCAAGAGACTTCTCCAAGCCTATAATAAATTCACATGGGTCGTCCCATCAATGTAGTGAATTTGCATTATTATTTCATTAAGAGTAGGAAAGAAAGCGGATTAGATCTCTTCCAGCATTGGCAGGGCCTAATTCAACCTGAAGACATGATTAAAGCTGGCATTTATGACTATAACTGTCAAAGAAAACTAATTGTAAACTGAGAACTGTGGATAATTATGGCTTTTGCTATTAAACCATTTCTCTCCTATTTATCACAGAACCAACTACAGATTTTACTACTGTTTGCATTTAGTTATCTGATTACTATGAGCCTACTTAAGCAAATGAAAATTGATCTGCATTCTCAAATTGAAGGCTTTATGTAGACTGAAGCTCAATTGTGATTTAGTATATGTGTTTTAATTTTGTTTTTTCCTTTAAATGTTTTTTTTTCTTTTTTCTTTTTTCTTTTGGAAATGGTGATGTGACACTAACACTACTTTGTCCAAGACACTGCATTTTGCATTGTTCGAATTACAAATCTTGAAGCAGCTTCCTAGTAAGCAGCTGGAAACGTGCTATTTGAACTACCTTTAATAAGAGACTGTCTAAAAATATGCCCATTTTATGTGCACATATAGACTTTAAAACCATGTGTATACATGTTTATATATTTTATGTTTATATATTTTATGTTTATATAATGATACAGGTATGAATAACTATGCACATAGAAAATATACATATATAACTATGCATGTAGAAAGATATGTCGGAGGGAGGAGCCAAGATGGCCCAATAGGAACAGCTCCAGTCTACAGCTCCCAGCGTGAGCGACGCAGAAGAAGGGTGATTTCTGCATTTCCATCTGAGGTACCGGGTTCATCTCACTAGGGAGTGCCAGACAGTGGGCGCAGGTCAGTGGGTGCGCGCACCTTGTGCGAGCCGAAGCAGGGCGAGGCATTGCCTCACTTGGGAAGCGCAAGGGGTCAGGGAGTTCCCTTTCTGAGTCAAAGAAAGGGGTGACGGACGCACCTGGAAAATCGGGTCACTCCCACCCAAATACTGCGCCTTTCCGACCAGCTTAAAAAACGGCGCACCACGAGATTATATCCCGCACCTGGCTCGGAGGGTCCTATGCCCACGGAGTCTCGCTGATTGCTAGCACAGCAGTCTGAGATCAAACTGCAAGGCAGCAGTGAGGCTAGGGGAGGGGCGCCCACCATTGCCCAGGCTTGCTTAGGTAAACAAAGCAGCTGGAAGCTGGAACTGGGTGGAGTCCACCACAGCTCAAGGAGGCCTGCCTGCCTCTGTAGGCTCCACCTCTGGGGGCAGGGCACAGACAAACAAAAAGACAGCAGTAACCTCTGCAGACTTAAATGTCCCTGTCTGACAGCTTTGAAGAGAGCAGTGGTTCTCCCAGCACGCAGCTGGAGATCTGAGAACGGGCAGACTGCCTCCTCAAGTGGGTCCCTGACCCCTGACCCCCGAGCAGCCTAACTGGGAGGCACCCCCCAGCAGGGGCACACTGACACCTGACACGGCAGGGTATTCCAACAGACCTGCAGCTGAGGGTCCTGTCTGTTAGAAGGAAAACTAACAAACAGAAAGGACATCCACACCAAAAACCTATCTGTACGTCACCATCATCAAAGACCAAAAGTAGATAAAACCACAAAGATGGGGAAAAAACAGAACAGAAAAACTGGAAACTCTAAAAAGCAGAGCGACTCTCCTCCTCCAAAGGAATGCAGTTCCTCACCAGCAACGGAACAAAGCTGGATGGAGAATGACTTTGACGAGCTGAGAGAAGAAGGCTTCAGAAGATCAAATTACTGTGAGCTACGGGAGGACATTCAAACCAAAGGCAAAGAAGTTGAAAACTTTGAAAAAAATTTAGAAGAATGTCTAGAATAACCAATACAGAGAAGTACTTAAAGGAGCTGATGGAGCTGAAAACCAAGGCTCGAGAACTATGTGAAGAATGCAGAAGCCTCAGGAGCTGATGCGATCAACTGGAAGAAAGCGTATCAGCGATGGAAGAAGAAATGAATGGAATGAAGCGAGAAAGGAAGTTTAGAGAAAAAAGAATAAAAAGAAATGAGTAAAGCCTCCAAGAAATATGGGACTATGTGAAAAGACCAAATCTACGTCTGATTGGTGTACCTGAAAGTGAAGGGAAGAATGGAACCCAGTTGGAAAACACTCTACAGGATATTATCCAGGAGAACTTCCCCAATCTAGCAAGGCAGGCCAACGTTCAGATTCAAGAAATACAGAGAATGCCACAAAGATACTCCTCGAGAAGAACAAGTCCAAGACACATAACTGTCAGATTCACCAAAGTTGAAATGAAGGAAAAAATGTTAAGGGCAGCCAGAGAGAAAGGTCGGATTACCCTCAAAGGGAAGCCCATCAGACTAACAGCGGATCTCTTGGCAGAAACCCTACAAGCCAGAAGAGAGTGGGGGCCAATATTCAACATTCTTAAAGAAAAGAATTTTCAACCCAGGATTTCATATCCAGCCAAACTAAGCTTCATAAGCAAAGGAGAAATAAAATACTTTACAGGCAGGCAAATGCTGAGAGATTTTGTCACCACCAGGCCTGCCCTAAAAGAGCTCCTGAAGGAAGCAATAAACATGGAAAGGAACAACGGGTACCAGCCACTGCAAAATCATGCCAAAATGTAAAGACCATCAAGACTAGGAAGAAACTGCATCAACTAACGAGCAAAATAACCAGCTAACATCATAATGACAGGATCAAATTCACACATAACAATGTTAACTTTAAATGTAAATGGACTAAATGCTCCAATTAAAAGACACAGACTGGCAAATTGGATAGAGTCAAGACCCATCAGTGTGCTGTATTCAGGAAACCCATCTCACGTGCAGAGACACACATAGGCTCAAAATAAAAGGATGGAGGAAGATCTACCAAGCAAATGGAAAACAAAAAAAAGGCAGGGGCTGCAATCCCAGTCTCTGATAAAACAGACTTTAAACCAACAAAGATCAAAAGAGACAAAGAAGGCCATTACATAATGGTAAAGGGATCAATTCAACAAGAAGAGCTAACTATCCTAAATATATATGCACCCAATACAGGAGCACCAAGATTCATAAAGCAAGTCCTGAGTGACCTACAAAGAGACTTAGACTCCCACACAATAATAATGGGAGACTTTAACACCCCACTGTCAACATTAGACAGATCAACGAGACAGAAAGTCAACAAGGATACCCAGGAATTGAACTCAGCTCTGCACCAAGCGGACCTAATAGACATCTACAGAACTCTCCACCCCAAATCAACAGAATATACATTTTTTTCAACACCACACCACACCTATTCCAAAACTGACCACATAGTTGGAAGTAAAGCTCTCCTCAGCAAATGTAAAAGAACAGAAATTATAACAAACTATCTCTCAGACCACAGTGCAATCAAACTGGAACTCAGGATTGAGAATCTCACTCAAAACCGCTCAACTACATGGAAACTGAACAACCTGCTCCTGAATGACTGCTGGGTACATAACGAAATGAAGGCAGAAATAAAGATGTTCTTTGAAACCAATGAGAACAAAGACACAACATACCAGAATCTCTGGGACGCATTCAAAGCAGTGTGTAGAGGGAAATTTATAGCACTAAATGCCCACAAGAGAAAGCAGGAAAGATCCAAAATTGACACCCTAACTTCACAATTAAAAGAACTAGAAAAGCAAGAGCAAACACATTCAAAAGGTAGCAGAAGGCAAGAAATAACTAAAATTAGGGCAGAACTGAAGGAAATAGGTACACAAAAAACCCTTCAAAAATTAATGAATCCAGGAGCTGGTTTTTTGAAAGGATCAACAAAATTGATAGACTGCTAGCAAGACTAATAAAGCAAAAAAGAGAGAAGAATCAAATAGATGGAATAAAAAATGATAAAGGGGATATCACCACCGATCCCACAGAAATACAAACTACCATCAGAGAATACTACAAACACCTCTACGCAAATAAACTAGAAAGTCTAGAAGAAATGAATAAATTCCTCGACACATACACTCTCCCAAGACTAAACCAGGAAGAAGTTGAATCTCTGAATAGACCAATAACAGGAGCTGAAATTGTGACAATAATCAATAGCTCACCAACCAAAAAGAGTCCAGGACCAGATGGGTTCACAGCCGAATTCTACCAGAGGTACAAGGAGGAACTGGTACCATTCCTTCTGAAACTATTCCAATCAATAGAAAAAGAGGGAATCCTCCCTAACTCTTTTTACGAGGCCAGCATCATTCTGATACCAAAGCCTGGCAGAGACACAACAAAAAAAGAGAATTTTAGACCAATATCCTTGACGAACATTGATGCAAAAATCCTCAATAAAATACAGGCAAAATGAATCCAGCAGCACATCAAAAAGCTTATTCACTATGATCAAGTGGGCTTCATCCCTGGGATGCAAGGCTGGTTCAATATACGCAAATCAATAAATGTAATCCAGCATATAAACAGAGCCAAAGACAAAAACCACATGATTATCTCAATAGATGCAGAAAAAGCCTTTGACAAAATTCAACAACCCTTCATGCTAAAAACTCTCAATAAATTAGGTATTGATGGGACGTTTTGCAAAATAATAAGAGCTATCTATGACACACTCACAGCCAATATCATACTGAATGGGCAAAAACTGGAAGCATTCCCTTTGAAAACTGGCACAAGACAGGGATGCCCTCTCTCACCACTCCTATTCAACATAGTGTTGGAAGTTCTGGCCAGGGCAATTAGGCAGGAGAAGGAAATAAAAGGTATTCAATTAGGAAAAGAGGAAGTCAAATTGTCCCTGTTTGCAGATGACATTATTGTATATCTAGAAAACCCCATTGTCTCAGCCCAAAATCTCCTCAAGCTGACAAGCAACTTCAGCAAAGTCTCAGGATACAAAATCAACGTACAAAAATCACAAGCATTCTTATACACCAACAACAGACAAACAGAGAGCCAAATCATGAGTGAACTCCCATTCACAATTGCTTCAAAGAGAATAAAATACCTAGGAATCCAACTTACAAGGGATGTGAAGGACCTCTTCAAGGAGAACTACAAACCACTGCTCAAGGAAATAAAAGAGGATACAAATAAATGGAAGAACATTCCATGCTCATGGCTAGGAAGAATCAATATCGTGAAAATGGCCATACTGCCCAAGGTAATTTACAGATTCAATGCCATCCCCATCAAGCTACCAATGCCTTTCTTCACAGAATTGGAAAAAACTACTTTAAAGTTCATATGGAACCAAAAAAGAGCCCGCATTGCCAAGTCAATCCTAAGCCAAGTCAACAAAGCTGGAGGCATCACGCTACCTGACTTCAAACTATACTACAAGGCTACAGTAACCAAAACAGTATGGTACTGGTACCAAAACAGAGATATAGATCAATGGAACAGAACAGAGCCCTCAGAAATAATGCCGCGTATCTACAACTATCTGATCTTTGACAAACCTGAGAAAAACAAGCAATGGGGAAAGGATTCCCTATTTAATAAATGGTGCTGGGAAAACTGGCTAGCCATATGTAGAAAGTTGAAACTGGATCCCTTCCTTACACCTCATACAAAAATTAATTCAAGATGGATTAAAGACTTAAACGTTAGACCTAAAACCATAAAAACCCTAGAAGAAAACCTAGGCATTACCATTCAGGACATAGGCATGGGGAAGGACTTCATGTCTAAAACACCAAAAGCAATGGCAACAAAAGCCAAAATTGACAAATGGGATCTCATTAAACTAAAGAGCTTCTGCACAGCAAAAGAAACTACCATCAGAGTGAACAGGCAACCTACAAAATGGGAGAAAATTTTCGCAACCTACTCATCTGACAAAGGGCTAATATCCAGAATCTACAATGAACTCAAACAAATTTACAAGAAAAAAACAAACAACCCCATCAAAAAGTGGGCGAAGGACATGAACAGACACTTCTCAAAAGAAGACATTTATGCAGCCAAAAAACACATGAAAAAATGCTCATCATCACTGGCCATCAGAGAAATGCAAACCAAAACCACAATGAGATACCATCTCACACCAGTTAGAATGGCAATCATTAAAAAGTCAGGAAACAACAGGTGCTGGAGAGGATGTGGAGAAATAGGAACACTTTTACACTGTTGATGTGACTGTAAACTAGTTCAACCATTGTGGAAGTCAGTGTGGCAATTCCTCAGGGATCTAGAACTGGAAATACCATTTGACCCAGCCATCCCATTACTGGGTATATACCCAAAGGACTATAAATCATGCTGCTATAAAGACACATGCACACGTATGTTTATTGCGGCATTATTCACAATAGCAAAGACTTGGAACCAACCCAAATGTCCAACAATGACAGAGTGGATTAAGAAAATGTGGCACATATACACCATGGAATACTATGCAGCCATAAAAAATGATGAGTTCATGTCCTTTGTAGGGACATGGATGAAATTGGAAATCATCATTCTCAGTAAACTATAGCAAGAACAAAAAACCAAACACCGCATATTCTCACTCATAGGTGGGAATTGAACAATGAGATCACATGGACACAGGAAGGGGAATATCACACTCTGGGGACTGTTGTGGGGTGGGGGGAGGGGGGAGGGATAGCATCGGGAGATATACCTAACGCTAGATGTCAAGTTAGTGGGTGCAGTGCACCAGCATGGCACATGTATACATATGTAACTAACCTGCACAATGTGCACATGTACCCTAAAACTTAAAGTATAATTAAAAAAAAATTAAAAAAAAGAATAAAAAATAGAAAATATGTATAAACCATTAACAGTATTTTCTTTTTAAAAATTCATAATGAGCACTTAAAAGTACAGTTTAGACAGATCATCAAAAATTCAGTCCATTTTATTTCTGCTCAATTTATCCTTGAAAAATAAATATTTGTCACTCTAAGTATATTACAAAATCTTGTTTTATTCTAATAAAATAAAAACATTTAAAAAAAGAAAGATATGTCTAGCACATACATACATATGTAGGTATCTGTAGTGTATAAATGTATAAATACATATATACATGTATAAATGTGAAATGTGTACATATGTAAGTGCATATACATATATACCTACATGTGTAAAAGTATATATACATATATACGTACATAGACATACAACCAGAAATATATCAATCACATTTTTAGTAAATAGTATAAGCCCTTCATGATGAACCAAATATCTTTTTAATTTTATAGGAAGCTATATGGGACTGTGGTTAATCATGCAAGCTCTACAGTATTTCTACTTAAGATTCAATTCCAGTTTTACCCTTTACCAGCTATGTACACTTGCAAAACTTCCTCATTTTAAAAATGTATAAATATTATTATGAGTGGGATAATTAAAATAATTGATGTAAACTAATTTGCACACAATAAGTGCTCAATAAATGTTAGCATTTAGCTAGTTTTATCAAATACTATTATTGTGACTGTGAATCGCTGTTCGTATGAATTTATGTGGCCATGTATTTTAAGGTGAAAATGTAATAATAGCAATATGTATAACTCAAGTACAAGCTTCAATTTTATGACACAGTTTTAATTCATAAAATCATATTTAGCAAAGGCAATTATTTAAAAGCTTAAGTAGCAGAATTTAATTTTTATAACTATCAAAATTATTTATGAATAATAAATTGCACATCAAAGGGAAACAATAACTTCTCTTGTCTAGTGCCCTGGTTTTCAATTCAGGGAATAGTTTCTTTGAATCATATAAAATAGTACTGATAATGAATAAAATGAATTATACATTGGTTAAGAGTAAGCTATTTTAAAATATCAAAAAATGAGAAATGTTGCTATTATAGCCGTTAAAGTTAGAGTAGATACAGGAACACCTGAAAGTTACTCTATCAACACCTGAATGTTAGGGAGAAAAATGTTTCATTCAGAAAATGCAACAAGAGTTGGAAAATGGGAAGGGTCATTTAGAATGCTCAGCTCAATTACCAAAATTGTATTTGATCCTCTGAGGGTCAATGAAATTAACATTTTATTCACAATTGCTCAGTACTATTAGAATTGGAATCCACGGTTTATGGAATTCATAACTGTATTTAACAGGTTTAATATTTAACCTATTAAATAATTCTACATGTTTAAGATCATTAATCTCTACTATAAACATAATATTAGTTTACCATGAACTTAAGATCTGCAAAAATAATAAATATATGTAAAAGTTTAATATGGAGACTTCTGAATCAGTAACTATTTTTAATATTTATTTAATTATGAAATAAAAGGCATATAAAGCTATCCCTGGTCTCTTACCTTAAGGGTAAGTCTGTGTTTGTGTATTGCCTTTTAACTGTGGATGACCAGAAACATTTCGGCAGTTACATTAATAATGCACATGCATTGTGGATACCAGTTCTTCACTTAATATTAGTTCACATACATTGATCCATGTTTTCATATATATATTTGTATTTAAATCACCTCTTAAAATTCCATTTTGGTGATATGCCATAATTTACTCAATCCATTCTCTTGTACTCAAGCCATTCCTGTACGACTTGGAGGCTGTTTTTAAAATGGTTATATATGATGATCACTAGGAAAATCTTACAGCTTATATCTTTGCTTGAATTACTTATTTAGAATTATTTGGACTCAGATTACATTTTTAAAGATATAAAACTGTGAAGTTTGAAAGTTTTTGCCATAGTATTTTCCAAAATAATAATATTAACAATAAGCTGTTCCTAATATCATTAGAGTATCATTTTGATTTTATATTTATTATTTTGTCAAGTTGTCAGTGGTATAGAAATATTATCACATGTTCATAATTTTAAAAATCCTCGTTTCAATTATGTATATTTAATGAATATTTTTCTTATGCATTATTTCATTGTGGAAAAGACAGCAGAATAAATAGGTCTTATTTTAAAATGAATTTCTTCATGTTAGGTGAAAGACCAAAGGTAACAAATCGACAATTATAAAATCAAGTTTGTTCTCTGTGTATACATTAAATGACATCTAATTATTTGGTCGCACTTTCTGAGAGCTTGCACTTTGCTCATGGGTCCTGAGGGATCGTTGATAAATAAATAAACTATGCTTGCACTTCAGAAATCTTAATTTCATATTAAAATGATGACTTGAGTCAACACTTTTATTTTTTCTTATTTTGAGATGGGCTTTCACTCTTATCATCCAGGCTGGAGTGCAGTGGTGTGATCTGGGCTCACTGCAACCTCCACCTCCCTGGTTCAAGCAATTCTCCTGTCTCAGCCTCCTAAGTAGCTGGGATTACAGGCGCCCACCACCACGCCTGGCTATTTTTTGTAGTTTTTAGTAGAGACAGGGTTTCACCATGTTGGCTAGGCTGGTCTTGAACTCTCGACCTCAAGTGATCCGCCCGCCTTGGCCTCCTAAAGTGCTGGTATTACAGGCGTGAGCAACCACGCCCTGCCGAGGCAACACTTCTGATGGAAACTTTTCTTAAGAAATAAAGCATCACAGAACACAACATTTAGCTTTGTTAATTGTAGTTAAAGAGAAAAGCAGTTTTTTTAAAAAAGTCCTTATTCTTGTGTGCAGTAGAACATCTTAGCTTATCTATCAAATTGTCATTAAAATTAAAGCATAAAGTAGGTAGGTCTATACATACACACATATTTTCTGATTCAGATCATGGTGTGCAAAGATTAAAAAAAAATTTACCCAATAGAGATACTAACTTTGAATGAAAGAAGTATAATTTTTTTCACAATAACATTTTCATCAATTTTTTTTTTTTTTTTTTTTTTTTTGAGACGGAGTCTCGCTCTGTTGCCCAAGCTGGAGTGCAGGGGTGCGATCTTGGCTCACTGCAAGCTCTGCCTCCTGGGTTCACGCCATTCTCCTGCCTCAGCCTCCCGAGTAGCCGGGACTACAGGCGCCCGCCACCATGCCTGGCTAATTTTTTGTATTTTTAGTAGAGACGGAGTTTCACCCTGTTAGCCAGGATGGTCTCAATTTCCTGACCTCGTGATCCGCCTGCCTCGGCCTCCCAAAGTGCTGGGATTACAGGTGTGAGCCACCGCGCCTGGCCATTTTCATCAATTTTTGTAATTCAGTGATGATTTAATAAGAAAGCTTTTATATAAAACTGCTTTTCAGATGAACTTTCTTTAAATTTTCCACAAGAAACAGATTCCAGGGTGGATTTATATTTAGAGATGCTTTTGCATCTGCAAAATACACATAAATATACATTTATTTTAAGTATAATGGAGAAAATATTCTGAATCATTAAAATGTATGTTTAGAATATGAATACTGCTGGGATATCGAAAATTTTCCAATATGGAAATATACTTCAATTTTGACTTCATTGCTTGAAAATAGTAATAGCTTATCTCAATTCTTTCTCGTGTTAAAAAATTTCTGCAATCTCCACTCATTAATGTAAAAAACAAGAAATTTGATTGTACCAAAGTGTTTGTAATGTCAGATAAAAGTTGTTGAAAGCATTTTTAAACATTTGTAGATGTATGAGTTATTTTATTAGATGTTTTGTTAGAAATACAGCCCTTCATTTTAATTAATTTAGCATCAATGATATCTCTATAGTAGTAGATTAGTAGATTGAGATGCAAAGAAGTTATCAAGCAAACCAAGACACACAAAAAATTAAAATGGAGAGTATTTTACAGACTCATGTTTTCTCAAGAAATTCTTGACAGCCAATTAAACAACATAGGAACACAATTACTCAGAAAAACACAATAGATATAATCAGAGTAATACTGGATTAAAGAGGAGTAATATATCATTGTCCAACTATAGTCCAAAGCCTGTTTTACATTATTAGGCAGAAGGCATATAACCTGCATGAGAGTAAGGAAAAATTGAAGTCCAAAAATATTGAATGGAAGCCTGAGAATTTAGCAAGTTTTATATGACAGTGACTGGAAAACCTACTATGCTACACAGAAATGCAGATGCTTTCATGCTTATTGATTGGTGGTAGAAACCAAGAAGACTACATGAGGTTTATAGTTAATATGAGAACCCTTGGTGCTCTGGCTGAATTAGGGGGGGTTGGTGGCTATGCACCAAAACTTTAATCAATTATTATCTTTCACTTTATTATACACATTGAAATAAGATCTTTTATGATGAAGGTCTCAATAATACAGGGGTATAAGAGGATAGGGAAAAAAAACCCCACAAGCATAGTTACTTTTACTATTTTCTTACTTTCATTTATTAACAATAATTCATATTAAAATAACACAATCTTTATTTATTTATTTATTTATTTTTTTTTGAGACAGTGTCACTCTGTCACCCAGGTTGATGTGCAGTGGTGCGATCTCAGTTCAAGGCAACCTCTGCCTCCCAGATTCAAGCAATTCTCCTCCCTCTGCCTGCTGAGTGGCTGGGATTACAGGCACCTGCCACCCCACCCAGCTAATTTTTATATTTTTTAGTAGAGACAGGGTTTTGCCATGTTGGCCAGGCTGTTCTCCAACTCCTGACCTCAAGTGATCTGCCTGCCTCGGCCTCCCTAAATGCTGGGATTACAGGTGTGAGCCACTACGCCCAGCCTAAAATAACACAACCTTTTAAAAAACTTCTACCTTTAATTGTCATTGCTACCAATAGGATTGTGCCCTCAAGATGCAGATTGTTGAATGACACAAAAATCAGATTTATTTTCTGAAGATGGTAGAAGAGGTTAACATCTTTCTGAAGACGGTACAAGAGAGACATCCCTAGGGAAGTCATGTATATCTGGATAAACGGGCACTCTATAGAAAATAGGGAAATTAAATAAGGAAATGCATTCTCAGGCAGACGATCCTTCTTTGAGAAACTTAGCAACCTAAGAGAAAATACTGAAGACAGTATTGGAAATTTCCAAATAGATATTAATACTTTATAGCAAAATCCACTGTTGATAAAACCACAGGCTCAGAGCTTCCAGTTGGCTTTATAGCATCCTACTCTTAAATATGAGGCAATAGCCAAGGACCACCACATTTTGAAGGGAAGCAGAGACCAAATAAGTTACACTGATAAATAACATCAAGTAAACTTTCATTCAGTGGCGTGATGGAGCCTACTGGCTCAGGGGCAAGAGTCAACTCTGATATGGTCTCCCAAGTTCTCATTCTGTGACTACATGTTAGTAGTTTGAAATCCACCATGGTGGGAGAACTCATATCATTAAAATTAGCTAGCTGTGAAATGTAATGCTATTATTAATTTTCTCAGAGATACACAGGAATAATTGTATCTGTAAACAAAACCAGGATGCTCTATTTTTAGATAAGGACAAGTCAAAACCTAAAACAAAACTCTTTTAGAAATTAAAAATATAAAACCCAAAATGACAACCTCAACAGAACTTTTGAAAGACAAAGTTTTTCTCCCCAAACCTACAGCAAAACAAAACAAGGTAAAATATAAGAAAAAAAAAGAATTAAACTGTCAGTTTAGAGGTCCAGCATCCTAGCAACAGAAAATCCTCCCCTGTCCCAAAAGGCAGCAGAGAAAATGCAGTGGAAGAAATAATTAATAATATTATTCTTGGGAGGCCAAGGCGGGCAGATCAGGAGGTCAGAGGATCAAGACCATCCTGGCTAACACGGTGAAACCCCGTTTTTACTAAAAATACAAAAAATTAGCCGGGCGTGGTGGCGCATGCCTGTACTGTAGTCTCAGCTATTCGGGAGGCTGAGGCAGGAGAATGGCGTGAACCCGGGAGGCGGAGCTTGCAGTGAGCGGAGATCGCGCCACTGCACTCCAGCCTGGGCGACAGAGCGAGACTCTGTCTCGAAATAAATAAATAAATGAAATAAAATAAATATTATTATTATTGTTCATGTTTCCCAGACAGAAAAATCATGAATTTCCTGAATGAAAGGGCTCACTAAATATCCAGAACCACGGGTGAAAACAAATGCATGCCATGATACATCATCACTGATTTTCAAATCATGCGGATAACAAGAAAATCTTACCAGCTTCCTCAGAGAAAAAATAGTCTTATACAAAGACTCAAAAAACAAAAAAAGTTTTTACCTTTTCAATTTCAATTCAGGAGGCTTGAAGGCAGAAGCACAATGCCATTAAATTACTGAACAGGAATGATTTCCAATACAGAATTCTGTGTTCAGTTAAATACTCATACAAGGATAAGACTTGAGTAAAGACAAATTCAGACAGGTAGCAAAGACTACTGGACATCTTCACCCAAACTGAGGAATGTAACAGCAACAAAAAGAGGAACATGTGTGATGGAATCCAGGAAACAGGGCGTTCAAATACGGCAGAGACGCAAAGAGAATCTCCAGGATTATGATGAAGTGAGAAATGTATACTTGTTGTACTATATACATAGATTGAAGGAGGTGAGGAACAAACAGCCAATAGAGATTCTTTGGGAAAGTATATTTGATGGTATACCTGCTAAGTCTGAATATATGTCAAATAAATTTTTACACTTGGCTGGATATTTGAAGTTTTATAAGTAGAAACTATTTAAACAAACAGCAACATGAAACAAGATAAAATTCACTCTGAGGAAAATAAGTTGTTGGGACAAGAGAAGAATTATAATATGTTCCATGGCTCAGTGGTGAATAACACTTACATAGTCATTTTAAACACTGGAAAATGTTCTAAGTTAAGATTTGATTATAACTGCATTATTAGGATGGAAGTGAAGTATACTTGTTTCTGTGAGGTTGAGGGAAGGAAAGGGAAGATAATAATAGAGCTAAAACCTTGTCTGTCTTAGTGGAAGTTAATAGATAATGCCTAAAACTTAAGATTCAGGATGTAACTATATAATGATACTTTTCATAGATTTGGTGATACAAATAAAAAATACAAACAGAAATACTAAAATATTAGCATAAAATTGAAAGTAGGTGACTCTGTGGAGGAACAAATGGCAGGGTTGGTAATAAATGTTTTTCATAATAATCTTTATGGAAGTTTTTGACCCTTCAAACTGTGTATATCTTCAACTTTGATTTAATTTAAAAATATTTGATTATAAAATGTTACACATGTACACAGTATAGTGCAATATTTTAAATCACTGGCTCTGGAGTCAGGTTGGGCTAATTCTGGAATAACAACTAATTCTATGATCTTAGAATTAACTCTTCTGTGAGTCAGTTTCTTGCTTTGAAAAAAAGACATTATGCTAGGGCCTATTGTTCATTTTTGTGTAGATTTAATAAAATATTTTGTGTAAAATGAATAAAAGTTATGGGCACATAGCTCTTGTTGTCATTGTTAGTATTGTTGCAAGTACTGCTTTGAATACTAGTACTACTACTTCATTATAATACGAACTTCTCATTCTAGACCTCTAGTCCTTCAGTTCCCACACCAAAAAAAAAAAAAAAAAAAAAAACCAAAAAAAACCAAAAACCTAGTCACTTTTAATATATAGGTATGTGAAATACATATATTTTCCATTTTTTAAGCAAATAGAAAGTTAATATATATATATCATTTTACCTAGCATGTATTATTTAAAATATAATGTATAGCCTGTGAACCAGTACATATCTATCCTTTATTTTCCTGCTGCAAAGTCTTTCATTATCTAAATGTACTGTAGTTATCTCTTTACTTACCAATGGATATAAAGTAGGCTCTAGTCTTATATACTGAAAAAGCATGTAAGTTTCTCAAGCAAAGGTGCACATCTGCTGTATAATTTCCCCTAAGGTGTATGGTAGGCCATTTAAAATTTTTTGAACTGCTTTGACTGAACTGTAAGACTCTCAAAATCTAAAACTTAGCATGTTGCACACTCTGCCAGCCTTTGCAATCTGAGGGTTTAGTGGATTAAAGCAGTTAACTGAGAGATTGTGTGCAGAAATATAGTATAGGTATTTTTTTTTCATAAAATTAGGATAATTTCACCAGGCTGGTGAGGATTCTACCATGAGGCTGGAATAAATGAATCAACATTGATACCATAATATGCACTTATAAATTTATTATTTTAACAAATATTGGTTGAATACCTTCTATGTGCCAGTAAGTGATGGTTGCAGCAGAAAAGACTGACAGTATTACTAATTGGTTTATCAAATTTTCAAGGTTTTAAAGTAGAAGGTAGAAAAGTCTGGGGTTCATTGTACTATATAATGAGAATTTATTGAGCTATATTTGGACAAAAACTAAACTAAACCAAACCAAACCAAATGAAAAAACAAACAAACAAAAAAACTCAAAAAAAAGAGAAAATGAAAGAAAAAAGAAAACTCAATACATTAATTTTTTTTGCTTGAATAATTGGACTAATCACATTTCATTTTCTTAGCCTAAATGCATTTTAATCACATATATCTTATGAGTTACAAAAATACTTTGTTTAAATGACCACATTTGATTCTATTTAATTCCTCCCTCTTGCTATTTTCTGATGTTTTCTTTGGGCATCTGCTCTTGTAATTATCTAGACCATTACACAGTCCTGAGATGCCCATGACAACCCTGTGAATGGATGTCCCTGTCTTTCCAGTAAAATTATTAATGTATCCTTTATGTTCATGCAGTAAAAGGAGCATCAGACAGAATATTTTTGAGGAAAAAGTAAAGATATTCAATTTATTTGTGAGGAAAAAGGAAAGATGTTCAATTTATCAAATTCTAAAACGAACCACAAGCATGGAATAGAATATGTGTGTGTGTGTGTGTGTGTGTGTGTGTGTGTGTGTGTGTGTATATATATATATATAATTTAATGAACAAGTATTTACAGGAGAAATAATTGGGAAGTTTTTTGATGAAAAAGTAGATGTGATTTCCATTAATTTCAGAAAAATAAAAATTAAGTTCACACTTTCTAGTGGGATTTCTAGAAATAGATGTCAAAAAGTGAAATAAGATATTCATGTGTCCAGTTCTAGACGCAGAGAAATCAAGATGGTGTCAAACATAAGAGTAATACTGAAGTTTAAGAGTATAGGAAGACTTCATATGCTGAAAGTCTGCTGCTCAGACACAGCTCACAAATTATTTGACTAGAACATAGTGTTTAAAATATGCCATCAGTTAAAATGCAGGAGATTTTTTATACAAATCCAAAATTTCTGGGTTTTCTGGAACAATCTGCATAGCTGGCACATTAGACCCAATCCAAGGGATGGTGCACATTTTCTAGCTTGCCACCATCTTTGTCAATTTGCAATGATGCCCTAGCCCTGACATTGAATCTTAGCTTCCTTGTAGCATCATGTTCCCTTTGTTGCCTTTCTTTTTCTTGTACAATCAAAAGTGAAAAATGAATTAGAGGGTTTCATGTTTTAAGGAAAATGAGAAAAGTGCTTTTTAGTGGAAATGAATATTCTTACGT
Organism: Homo sapiens; assembly: GCF_000001405.40. Taxonomy (NCBI): domain Eukaryota; kingdom Metazoa; phylum Chordata; class Mammalia; order Primates; family Hominidae; genus Homo; species Homo sapiens. The sequence continues at coordinate 106,704,263 of NC_000005.10, read as the reverse complement.
TTTAATATATACAATATGTGTGCCCAGAAAGTCAAGATAGCATGTATGTAAACCCAGCCAAATTTCCTTATTTTTTTTTTTTCTGTCTTGATTCTGTTAGTTTTCTGATTTTGAGATACTGCATTTCAGATGATACAAACAGGATTTTTGGTTCTGGTTAGGAACATAAATGGCAATGCTAAATTCCAAATGCTAAATTCTAAAGGCTAAGCCCCATGCAGCGCAACCAGAAAATAATAAAAACCTATTGACTACATTTCCAGTGCGATGAGAAGTAAGAGAAAACCCAGAAGTCCAATTACCACTGAATGACACCCAAAGCATCTGAGACCAAAAGAATCATTTAGGAAGCCTGTGCAAGTCACAGTGGTTCTGTGGGGAAGAAGGAAGGGTGTGGAGGGGCCATGTGATGGTAGACCACAGAAATCTCCAGCAAATATTCTTCCTCAGATAGACTCCCCTCCTCCCCCAGGAAGAGGGAGCCACTCTGAACAAGGCTGACAGGGTAAAGGCCTCTAGGAGTGAGAAAAAGGTACCAGAGATGACAAATTATAGGACGTGGCATAAAAATACACCTTTGAAAATGAACGGAATGCCCAGGAAGACAATTGCCATCATTCCTAGACAGAGTAGTCTGTGAAGAAATTAGAGAGATATGGGATTGTTGGGAAAGGTCATCACGAACAAGAGTAGGTTCCACGAGGCCTACCAATACAAAAACAGGTTGTTTTACAATACTTTATTGCCATAGCCAGAGAGCATGAAACCCTTAAACAAGAAATCTACAGAAAACTCTCCTCCCATCACCATATCAATACTGCCACAGTAATCTGCTACTAGTTCAGAGAAAAACATATCTCATTCAAAAATGGGTAATAAAAAATAAAGTTTCTATTAAAATATTACAAGAAAAACATGAAAAATAGCACAATTTCTACCTAGATGATAAGAAAAACATTGCTATAAAGCACATTAAAATTGTACCACGAACTTGTATATGAAGAACAACAAAAACAAAATAAACCATCAGTGAGGCATTTGTATCTATAAAGTAACACTCCAAAACAAAAGTACAAGAACAAAGGAAGGACACAGTCACCTAACAAGAGGTGATAGTTTGATTTTAAGATAATGTAGAACACAATGGCAGAGTACAGGAGAAAGAGAAAAACATGGAAAGGTTTCTTCAGAAGATTCAGTTTTAGAAATGAAGACTCAATTCTAAGGAACAGGAAGGAGGAATATAGATACTATGGAAAGCCAGCAGAATTAGTAAGATAGATTGCATTAGTCCGTTTTCATACTACTATAAAGAACTGCCTGAGACTGAGTAATTTATAAAAGAAAGAGGTTTAATTTACTCACAGTTCAGCACGGCTGGGGAGGCCTCAGGACACTAACAATCATGGCGAAAGGCAAAGGGGGAGCAAGGCACTTTCTTCAGGAGGTGGCAGGAAGGAGAGTGCTGAGCGAAGTGGGAAGGGCACCTTCGGAAAACTATCAGATCTCCTGAGAACGCACTCATCAGGAAAGCAGCGTGGCGGAACTGCCCCCATGATTCAATTACTTCCACCTGGTCTGTCTCATGACACGTGGGCATTATGAGTGTTAAAATTCAAGATGAGACTTTGGGTGGGGACACAGCCAAGCCACATCATAGATGATTAAAGAAAAAAAAGCATAGATAATATGCAAAGGTGATTCAAAATTCATATAACTAGAATCCCTCATGAATCAAGGCAAAACAATGGAATAGATGAATATTAAAACTATAACTCGGCCGGCCACAGTGGCTCACGCCTGTAATCCCAGCACTTTGGGAGGCAAAGGCAGGCGGATCACAAGGTTAGGAGATCAAGACCATCCTGGCTAACACGGTGAAACCCCCATCTCTACAAAAAGAAAAAAAAAAAAATTAGCCGGGCATGGTGGTGGGCACCTGTAGTCCCAGCTACTCTGGAGGGTGAGGCAGGAGAATGGCATGAACCCAGGAGGCGGAGCTTGCAGTGAGCTGAGATCGTGCCACTACACTCCAGCCCGGGCAACAGAGCAAGACTCCATCTCAAAAAGAAAAAAAATATAACTCAAGAAACTTTTTTCTCAAATTAGAAAAGAATTGAGTATCTGTATTGAAATTAGCATTGTTTTATGCAGGAGAATCTACCTAGATTCATCCAGAATGAGAAAATCTCATCAGCTGTGGCTTCAGGATTCACAGGTGAAGCACCTGTAATACATTCAGGGAAAGCAAGTGTGAACCCAAAAACTAAATGTTCTACAGCCAGTGAAGACGTCTTTCAGGTTTAAAGGATATATTCAAACAGTTTTGAATATATAAAAACTCAGGGAATTTTTTTTTTCCTAAGAAACTACTGGACAGTAAGGACCAATCACCCGTTTATAAGGGGGGTTAACTCATGAAATCATTTTGTTAATTTTGTTCTGCTGCGATTAAAACAATTTTGTTTTTATGGATTACATTTAGAATTAGACAAAATGAATAAAATGTCTTATGAAGTCAGTATATGGAACTTTCTGTTTTTGCAGCATTCTAAGGCAATTTTCAAAGAATGGAAATTTTTCTTATTTTCCTTTTTAATTTATACTAGATACTAATTTACAACATCTTTTTCTTTCTAAATTGTACTGTAATGAAAATATTCTTATGTACATACTTTTATTTTATGTCATCTTTTATCATTCTTTCTTTAGGCTTTTTGCTATGAATTTCCATCTACGTTACAATTTTGTATCTTATGAGTCTTCATATATATTTTAACTATTTTTAGTGTATGATTATATTTATTTGCTATTTTAATTTTTTATTCTAAATCATTTGGGAAAATCTTTTTTAAGTGCCAAAATTTGTTTATACTTCAGACATTTCTCTTTTTAAAAAATTTAGGTCAGTCCTGTAGCCTAGATAAATTAATCTTATGCTTTGGAATATGCTGATGCTTTTCTTGTGAAACTATGTTTAATGTGAAAGAGGCATTAGTCTTATCCTAGTAATTTCCACTCTAAAAAAACAAAATGTTAATATCAAAAATAGTAAACTTCAAGTGAATTGACAAGTATTTTAAAATGATGTAAATAGAAATAATTTTAAACGTATTGATATACATTTTAGGGATATTCTCCAAATTCACAATATTTAAATGGAAAGTATAAATGCCTTTAAAATTATGGGTTTACAATTCAAGCAATATTCATTAGTATGAAAAACTTTCTTACAGAATACATAGAAATGATAGTTAAATTTTATCAAATGTCTTTTTAAATATGTATTTAAGATAATAGGAAATAAAGGACTAAAATCTCAGAAAGAGCTGAAAACCGCAGTGGCGAACTGCTTGAAGCAATAGTGACTTGTGACATTTTGGTCATATTCATGTGACTAATAACAAGACATATTTTATTTGATGTTTGGAAAGGCAGTAAAAATAATTCAGCAGAATAAGATGAATATTTGTAATTTGGAACCATTCTGTTCAAGACAACCTTTTTGTGGAGGCATAACCTTAATAAGAGTAAACCAGAATAAAAGTCTGCCTTATCCCTTTCATCTTAGGAAACTTTTATCTGTTGTATCTTAGGTCTGAGAGCAAGACTGTTTTGTCCTCAAGTGTATTTCTCCTTCCAATTTATGCTGCCAGTATGTATCAGGAGAAAGTGCAATCATTTAAAAGTATGTCCAGTATAATCCTTCTATCTGATACAAATAAATATAATAACAACAGGAGGAGGAAGAAGAAGAAAGAGAATTATCTCCATGAAAGCAGAAGTATAAGAAATAATGGAAAAAATGGTAATAGGAAGAGATTAAAAAGTCAGTGGAACTCAAGCAGTAAAACTTGAAATTAATAATAAATCAGAAAAAAGTTCTATATCTGAAAATTAAAAAAAATAAAACATTGGTAAACCCTCTTTCACTTGGCAGAGCTTCAATAACATAACAATCTAGGTGTCTCTGTGGTCACCCATTCATTCACTCCTCCTAGGAGACAATGAGTGTGGCTTCATGTGATTGGTGATTTTTGGAAAAACAGCCTGCACATAGTGCTTTATTCCCTTTCTTTAACCCATTTCTTTCTTGGTTTCCTGGCTGCCTGTAGCATGCATGATTTTGGTTCTGCTTCTCTAGTGGCTGTTACAGGGACAGAATTTTTCCTTGGCTGATTGAATGAAGGGCTAGGAATAAACACTTTTGGTGGAAAAATTCAACTTAGGAAGTGTAAGATCTGACTCGTTAGTCCAGGAATCCTGGGAATCAGACATGAAGTGGAATTTCAAAGAACACTGCTGGGAAGATACTTTTGGGGCTTGGGTGTGTGAATTTAATTTTTAAAATGTATTTATTTTTTAGAGATGATGTCTCACTATGTTGCCTAAGCCTGACTCAAACTCCTGGTTCAAGCAATTCTCCCACCTCAGGCTCCTGAGTAGCTGGGACTAAAGATGTGTACCACTGTGCCCAGTGGGTACATGCATTACTTTAATAATAATAATTTTATGTTTAATTATTTATTGTGGAGAGAATTATATAGAGTGGCAATGCGCCAGATGATCCCTGGATAGCTTTGGTCTACCAGTCTCAAACCCCCATTCTGGGAATGCAATATCCTGAAACAGGGAGGAAATTCCTGAAATGGAGAAAATTCCTTGTTCTTGTCCTTCCAAGGAAATGTAACATCTTGAGTTAGAAAGGAACTGCCCAAGACAGCTTAGTCTCTGCTGCTCTCTCCCTGGAAAAAGAATGTCCTTCGAAGCTTTGCCCAGTGGGTCTATATGGGTCATGTCCATATAGAACCCGGAGGAAGCTGCCTTTCAGAGTCCCTGAGCTGTGGCACAAGCAGGGGGCGCTTGCAGTCAAGATTCCATCTGCCCGAGGCAGCTTTATTGAGCCTTGGGGGACTGACTCCTGACAGATCCTAGGCTTCTGTTGTCCCTTGCCTCCTATCTGTAAGTAATAAACTCTCTTCATGTACCTTGCTGCCAAGCTTAAGTGGGCAATACTCGACAAGCTGCCCCAAATTCGACTTTGCATTCAGGGTCAAGGAGGAAAGTTTGGAATAGATAATCTTGAATTCTTGTAGTTAGTTCACTGGCTAAATAGTAAAAATATCAAATAATTGTTGAGTATGATTTAAGGTGACATAATCATTGTGAGTAGGCATCCAGATATTGTTGATGTGCTGAGGGAATGTGCCAGAAAAATGTATGGAAATAAGTCTATAAGTGAAATCATGCTAAGGGCAAGTCATATTGAGGGAGAGTTAGTTAGGATGATACTAATATAGGTCTAAGCCTGGATGACATGAGAGAATATTTCTTGGGTGGATTTATTCAATTTGAGAAAGGGAAGGTGGAAAAAAACAGTTTCAACTATGGGTTCTTGGGGGAGATGCAAACTCAAACATGTGGGACGTAGAGCAAAGGGGAAATAAAAAAATCACAGATTCAGTGAACAGTTCCAGTTCATGATGATAGCGAAGGAGAGTGAGTGACTTTACCTCATTTTAAATGTTACAAATAGGTAAGCTTTATTGGAAAATTACACTAGAGGCATAACTCACTACTGAACAAGAAAAAAGTCATGGAAAAAATTGCCTTTTAATGACTGGGGCATTTCTTTTCTTTCTTTCCCTTTCTGTTCTTTCTCCCGTTTCTTCTTATTTTCCTTCCATTTTTGTGCCTCCATGAAGAGAGATCTTCGTTTTTGCCTCGGTGTTTCCTGCGACTAGGTGGGCAAGTCTGTGTGATTAGGACATTCAACGATGGTCAGCACTCTCCAATTTCAGCTTTCTCTGTGTCTTGCAGACAATGGTTAGTAGCCCAGCACCATACTTGCAAGTTTGTTTTATGCGCATTCATTAGGAAAATCTTCTAGAGACTTGGTCAGTGGCCTGGTATGGGTCAGCTCACACCAGCAGGGATGGGCTAGATATCACATTCCAAGAGGGAGAACCTGACCCTTGGGATGAAGGATTCCTTAATCTACATGACTATGGAAGCATCCTTTTCTGGTAACAACCAGGGCCCAGGAACAAATAGAAAATATGATGTGGCAGACCCATGGTTTCATCCCCATTGTGCCAACCCCATGATTGTAACTGGGTTCAGAAAAGAGCGATTATCTCCTTCCTTGGCATGATCAGGAGCTGAAGTCCAAGTCTTTGGATTCTTGTATGATTTTGGCAAGGTGGTGGCAGAATTTACCATGCCATGTTCATGTCTGGGGAATTACATGCATGCTGGGGAAGAGGAGAGGAAATTCTGGAGTCCAAGTCATGGGATGACAGAGTTAACCCATAGGATGACAGAGTTAAAGTTGATTTCCCTGGGTCCTTATACTTGGCTAGTTTATTTTCCCGTAAGAAATTAGTCTTGGGCAATTTAACCCTTACATTTCAATAAATAATGATATTAACATTTTAATTACTCACTTGCCCTGTACTTCTGTTAGGGGTTTGAATAGATTGAACTTGGGAGGGAAAAAGATTATTATTTTTTGACTCCATCAAACATCCTAATGATTTTAATCTAATCTTTTCTAATGTTAAAATTTTCAAGAGAAAATTTATAGCATCTAGTGTTTATTTTAACAAATAGGAAAATGAGCAAAAATGTATTGCACGTCCAACTCAGTAACTTAGGAAAGTTAAAACAATGAACTTCAAGAAAACAGGATGTGAGTTAAAGTAAGATAAAAAATACCAACAGACTAGGAAAAATGTATATATATATATATATATATATATATATATATATATATATATATATATAAAAAATAATTCAAACCCAATAGCTAACTATTTTTTAAAAAAAGGAGAAATCACAAATACTTAAAGTAATAAATGATGAGAGGACATTAATTAGATAAACTGAAAGCAAACATGAGAAACTACATGGTTCGAATGTAGGCGAATACATTTGAAAACATTGCTGACACACAAAAAAAGTTTGGGAAAATATAATTCAATTCCTGAATACTTATATATATTGTTATATTATAATTCTCTATATAGTATATATATTTGTTATATATACCCACAATACACACATACACAGAGGAAGATGAATTTCCATTGAAGAAATAGAAAATATTTTCTTCTTCTTTTTTTCTTTCTTTTTTTTTTTTTTTGAGATGGAGTCTTCCTCTGACACCCAGGCTGGAGTACAGTAGCACGATCTTGGCTCACCGCAACCTCTGCCTCCTGGGTTCAAGTGATTCTCCTACCTCAGTCTCCCAAGTAGCTGGGACTATAGGCACCCACGACCAGGCCCGGCTAATTTTTGTATTTTTAGTAGAGATGAGATTTCACCATTTATGCCAGGCTGGTCTTGAACACCTGACCTCAAGTGATCCATCCATCTTGGCCTCCCAAAGTGCTAGGATTACAGGCAGGAGCCACGACGTCTAGCCAAGAGAGAGAAAACATTTTCAAAGCAATAACAATTCCTTCCTAAAAATGTTTTACCCTCATATGGTTTCACAGACAATATTATACAATACTTAAAGAACAAAAAGAAAGTCATTGGTAGCTTGATGGGGATGGCATTGAATCTGTAAATTACCTTGGGCGGTATGGCCATTTTCACAATATTGATTCTTCCTATCCATGAGCATGGAATGTTCTTCCATTTGTTTGTATCCTCTTTTATTTCCTTGAGCAGTGGTTTGTAGTTCTCCTTGAAGAGGTCCTTCACATCCCTTGTAAGTTGGATTCCTAGGTATTTTATTCTCTTTGAAGCAATTGTGAATGGGAATTCACTCATGATTTGGCTCTCTGTTTGTCTGTTGTTGGTGTATAAGAATGCTTGTGATTTTTGTACATTGATTTTGTATCCTGAGACTTTGCTGAAGTTGCTTATCAGCATAAGGAGATTTTGGGCTGAGACAATGGGGTTTTCTAGATATACAATCATGTCGTCTGCAAACAGGGACAATTTGACTTCCTCTTTTCCTAATTGAATACCCTTTATTTCCTTCTCCTGCCTAATTGCCCTGGCCAGAACTTCCAACACTATGTTGAATAGGAGTGGTGAGAGAGGGCATCCCTGTCTTGTGCCAGTTTTCAAAGGGAATGCTTCAAGTTTTTGCCCATTCAGTATGATATTGGCTGTGGGTTTGTCATAGATAGCTCTTATTATTTTGAAAAACGTCCCATCAATACCTAATTCATTGAGAGTTTTTAGCATGAAGGGTTGCTGAATTTTGTCAAAGGCTTTTTCTGCATCTATTGAGATAATCATGTGGTTTTCGTCTTTGATTCTGTTTATATGCTGGATTACATTTATTGATTTGCGTATATTGAACCAGCCTTGCATCCCAGGGATGAAGCCCACTTGATCATGGTGGATAAGCTTTTTGATGTGCTGCTGGATTCGTTTTGCCAGTATTTTATTGAGGATTTTTGCATCAATGTTCATCAAGGATATTGGTCTAAAATTCTCTTTTTTGGTTGTGACTCTGCCAGGCTTTGGTATCAGAATGATGCTGGCCTCGTAAAATGAGTTAGGAAGGATTCCCTCTTTTTCTATTGATTGGAATAGTTTCAGAAGGAATGGTACCAGTTCCTCCTTGTACCTCTGGTAGAATTCGGCTGTGAATCCATCTGGTCCTGGACTCTTTTTGGTTGGTAAGCTATTGATTATTGCCACAATTTCAGCTCCTGTTATTGGTCTATTCAGAGATTCAACTTCTTCCTGGTTTAGTCTTGGGAGAGTGTATGTGTCGAGGAATTTATTCATTTCTTCTAGATTTTCTAGTTTATTTGCGTAGAAGTGTTTGTAGTATTCTCTGATGGTAGTTTGTATTTCTGTGGGATCAGTGGTGATATCCCCTTTATCATTTTTTAGTGTGTCTATTTGATTCATCTCTCTTTTTTTCTTTATTAGTCTTGCTAGCAGTCTATCAATTTTGTTGATCCTTTCAAAAAACCAGCTCCTGGATTCATTAATTTTTTGAAGGGTTTTTTGTGTCTCTATTTCCTTCAGTTCTGCTCTGATTTTAGTTATTTCTTGCCTTAAAGTTCATATGGAACCAAAAAAGAGCCCGCATCACCAAGTCAATCCTAAGCCAAAAGAACAAAGCTGGAGGCATCACACTACCTGACTTCAAACTATACTACAAGGCTACAGTAACCAAAACAGCATGGTACTGGTACCAAAACAGAGATATAGATCAATGGAACAGAACAGAGCCCTCAGAAATAATGCCGCATATCTACAACTATCTGATCTTTGACAAACCTGAGAAAAACAAGCAATGGGGAAAGGATTCCCTATTTAATAAATGGTGCTGGGAAAACTGGCTAGCCATATGTAGAAAGCTGAAACTGGATCCCTTCCTTACACCTTATACAAAAATCAATTCAAGATGGAATAAAGACTTAAACGTTAGACCTAAAACCATAAAAACCCTAGAAGAAAACCTAGGCATTACCATTCAGGACATAGGCATGGGAAAGGACTTCATGTCTAAAACACCAAAAGCAATGGCAACAAAAGGCAAAATTGACAAATGGGATCTAATTAAACTAAAGAGCTTCTGCACAGCAAAAGAAACTACCATCAGAGTGAACAGGCAACCTACAAAATGGGAGAAAATTTTCGCAACCTACTCATCTGACAAAGGGCTAATATCCAGAATCTACAATGAACTCAAACAAATTTACAAGAAAAAAACAAACAACCCCATCAAAAAGTGGTCGAAGGACATGAACAGACACTTCTCAAAAGAGGACATTTATGCAGCCAAAAGACACATGAAAAAATGCTCATCATCACTGGCCATCAGAGAAATGCAAATCAAAACCACAATGAGATACCATCTCACACCAGTTAGAATGGCGATCATTAAAAAGTCAGGAAACGACAGGTGCTGGAGAGGATGTGGAGAAATAGGAACACTTTTACACTGTTGGTGGGACGGTAAACTAGTTCAACTATTGTGGAAGTCAGTGTGGTGTTTCCTCAGGGATCTAGAACTAGAAATACCATTTGACCCAGCCATCCCATTACTGGGTATATACCCAAAGGACTATAAATCATGCTGCTATAAAGACACATGCACACGTATGTTTATTGTGGCATTATTCACAATAGCAAAGACTTGGAACCAATCCAAATGTCCAACAATGATAGACTGGATTAAGAAAATGTGGCACATATACACCACGGAATACTATGCAGCCATAAAAAATGATGAGTTCATGTCCTTTGTAGGGACATGGATGAAATTGGAAATCATCATTCTCAGTAAACTATCACAAGAACAAAAAACCAAACACCGCATATTCTCACTCATAGGTGGGAATTGAACAATGAGATCACATGGACACAGGAAGGGAAATATCACACTCTGGGGACTGTTGTGGGGTGGGGGGAGGGGGGAGGGATAGCATCGGGAGATATGCCTAATGCTAGATGACGAGTTAGTAGGTGTAGCGCACCAGCATGGCACATGTATACATATGTAACTAACCTGCACAATGTGCACATGTACCCTAAAACTTAAAGTATAATAAAAAAAAGAACAAAAAGAAATGCCAGTTAGAAACTAGAAAATAAAAACATCCCCAGTTTCAAGCATAAAATTCTTCAAAAATGAAATTGATAAGAATTTAAATTTAAAATTTAAAAATGTAAAATACCATCATATAATCTTACATTTTTAAACATGAATTTTGATATAATAAGTCTTTATTTATTTATTTATTTTAAGATGGAGTATTGCTGTGTCACCCAGGCTGGAGTGCAGTGGCCTGATCTCGGCCCACTGCAATCTCTGCCTCCTGGGTTCAAGCAATTCTTCTGCGTCATTCTCCCTAATAGCTGGAATTACAGGCCCATGTCACCATGCCCAGATAATTTTTGTATTTTTAGTAGAAATGGGGTTTCTCCGTGTTGGCCAGGCTTGTCTCAAACTCCTGACCTCAGGTGATCTGCCCGCCTTGGCCTCCCAAAGTGCTGGGATTACAGGCATGAGCCACCATACCAGATTATAGTAATTCATAATAAAATGTTAGCAGAAGTTGAAAACAAAGCATAACTTCCTTTAGTGGGGTTTGTTCTAGGACTAGATTGGAGATATATATATATATATATATATATATATATATATATATATAGAGAGAGAGAGAGAGAGAGAGAGAGAGAGAGAGAGAGATCATGTTATTTGGGATGTAGTAAATTATTATCTGAGCATTTCTGTAGATGCTGAAAACTGATTTGACAAACTTTAGTTCCCAAGTTTTTTTTTGAAACTTTCAGAAATAGAAAAAATGAGAATTGATTAAAAGTTTTCCTAACATAGTAAAATGTATTTATCTCAACCCAAAGGTTAGCATTATTTATAATGGGAACACATTAGAAGCATTCCCACTGAAGTAAAAAACAACTAGAACCGTGGAATGTGCCTCTAGTCCTCGCCACTCATGAGGCTGATTGGGGAAGATCACTTGAGCCCAGCAGTTTGATGCCAGTCTGGGCAACATAGTGACACTATGTCTCTAAAAAGTAAGAAAAAAAAAAGGGGTACCCTCTATCACTACTATTTTTCAAGAACTCTCTGTACCCATTATACAATATAATTACCAAAAAATGAAAGGTATAAACATTGAAGGAGTTTAATTATTAATATTTATCAAAGATTTCATTTTATACCTGTACAGTGAAAGAGAATCAAGTAAAATCAACTTCTTGTAATGAAAAAGTTAGCATATACTAATACAGATATCCTCAACTTACAGTGGGGTTACAGCCTGATAAACTCATCACAAACTGAAGATACCATGTCTAAAATGCATTTAATACTCCTAACCTATCAAACATCATAGCTTTGCTTAACCTATTTTAAACATGCTCAGAACACTTACATTGGTCTAAAGAATACCTAATTCTTCAATACCTAAATAAATCTTTGTCTTTTATAATTATTACAGTTTTCATTTTGAGTGGGGACTTTCTTCAATATAAAACAACAACTTACATAGTGCAACAAGAAGACAGAAGAAATATGATGAAGAAATGTCCCATATATATTAGTAACGAATAAGATAGATGGAAAATTAACTTTGCAAGAAATGCTCAAATTCTACTTTTAAAATATTTTAAAGATTCGAAGAAGACACAAAGTTATGAACAGATGGAAAGGCTACTTTCTTAGAAAGTAAGTCTTTACATTATCTTGTCTATAACTCTTGTCACATTACATATTTAAAGTTATAACACTTAAAAATGCCATCAGGATTTTATCTGAAATGTTCCTAATGTTCACTATTAACTGCTTCATTTCCCACTTCAGACCCAGAGGACACTGGCCTTCGCAGCCTCATGCAAGCAGGACCATCTGACTCATTCTTAGCAATAAAATCAGAGAGGAAATTGCTGTGTTCTTTCCAGGCTGAGGCAGTGAAAAGTCTATGGATACTACTATTTCTCCCTCTCACTTGTGACAACCTTAAAGGACCCTTTCTTTTGAGATGATGAGTCTGACCACTGGCACAATCAGAATTGTTGAATTACTTCGTTGAATGGAGCCATGTAGAGGAGGTATTTGGACATGGCAAAATTTGTCTGAGCCAAGAAGAAGAAACAAAACAAATTTTGCTTTAATCCACTGAGAAATTATAGTTATTTCCTTCTACAACATAACCACTTCTTCCTAATAAGAAGGAAACTTGGTATTGGTAGTAGAGTATTTTTGAAAATAGACTATAAAATATATGATATTGAATTAACAATAAAAAGTATTTCAAATGTGACATGCAATATATAAATGTAACATGGAGTATATACCTCATTAAAATACAGAAATGATTAGATAAAAAATAAAATCTGGTCATGTTCCACCTATAAAACAACCAAAAAAAATAAGAGAAACTGAAAGTATCTGATAAAGGTATTCAAGCAAATAGAGCCCAAAATAGGCCATTATTACAATTCCTATTTAACAAGGTAATAGCCTTTATAATATTGGATGGAAAAACATAAATAAAAGGTTTAAGATTCTCAAAAACATAAAATACCTAAATAAATCATTGTCATTTATATTAGAGTTTTCATAAAAAACACAAGACTATAGTGACAAATTCATCCCATTAATAGGAGTGATCAGCACATTTTTAAAACATAACTAAGAACTGTTACATTTAAAGCCATACCTCAAAGATGTTATGGGTTTTGTTCCAGGCCACTGCAATAAAGTGAATCTCACACTCCAGACAGCCACATACATTTTTTGGTTTCCCAGTGCACATGCACATAAAAGTTATGTTTTCACTATACAGTAGTCAAGTAAGTGTGCAATAGCATTATGTATAAAAATATACATGCCTTAATTAAAAATACTTTATTGCTATGCAATGCTAACAATCATCTGAAACTTCAGAAAGTTCGAATCTTTTTGCTGGTGTAGGTTCTTGCCTCAATGCTAATGGCTGCTGACTAATCAGGGTGGTGGTTGCTGAAGGCTGGTGTGGTGTATTAGTCCATTCTCACACTGTTATAAAAATACTACCTGAGACTGCATGTTTTATACAGGAAAGAGGTTTAATTGACTTACAGTTCCACATGGGTGGGGAGGCCTCAGGAAGCTTACAATTATGGCAGAAGGTGAAAGGGAAGCAGGCACCTTCTTCACAAGGTGGCAGGAGAGAGAATGAAAGCAAGAAGAGCTACCAAAGACATATAAAATCATCAGATCTTGTGAGAAATCACTCACTAACACAACAACAGCATAGGGGAAACTGCCCCCATGTTCCAGTTACCTCCACCTGGTCTCTCCCTTGACAGGTGGGGATTATGGGGTTATCGGATTATAATTCAAGATGAGATTTGGGTGGGGACACAAAGCCTGACCATATCAGGTGGCTATAGGAACATAAGACAATAAAATGTAACACATTTATTAACTCTTCTTTCACAAACCATTTCTCTGTAGCATGTCATGTTGTTTGATAATGTTTGATCCAAAATGGAAATTCTTTCAAAACCAGAGGCAATGCTTTCACATCTTGCCACTGCTTTATCAACTCAGTTTATGGAATAATCTAAAAGGTTTGCTGTCATTTCAACAATGTTCTCAGCATCTTCACCAGTAATAGATTTCATCTCAAGAAACAACTTCCGGGGACTGTTGTGGGGTGGGGGGAGGGGGGAGGGATAGCATTAGGAGATATACCTAATGTAAATGACGAGTTAATGGGTGCAGCACACCAACATGGCACATGTATGCATATGTAACAAACCTGCACGTTGTGCACATGTACCCTAAAACTTAAAGTATATATATAAAAAAGAAGCTCTTCAGTTTAATTAGAAAAAAAAGAAACAACTTCCTTTGCTGATCCATAAGAATGAACTTTTCACTTGTTCAAGTTTTATTATGAAATGGCAATAATTTAATCCGATTTTCAGGATCTACTTCTAATTCTAGTTCTCTTGTTATTTCTACCACATCTGCAGTTACTTCCTGCACTGAGTTCTTGAACCCCTAAACATCAGCCATGAGGGTTGAAGTATATACTCCAAATCCCTATTAATTTTGATATTTTAGCCTCTCTCCATAAACCAAAATGTTTTTAATGACATTTAGAATGGTGAATTCTTTCCAGAAGGTTTTCAGTTGGCTTTGTCCACATCCATCAATTAAATTACTATCTATGGCAGCTATAGCTTTATGAAATATATTTCTTAAATCGTAAGACTTGAAAGTAAAAATTATTTCTTGATCCATATGCTAAGGAATGAATATTGTGTTAGCAGGTATTAAAACATTAATTTTTTGTACATCATTATCAGAGTGCTTAGGTGACTGGGGACATTGTGAATGAGTAGTAATATTTTAAACATATTTTTTGTGATCAGTAGGTCTCAACATTGAGTTTAAACTATTCAGTAAACCATGCTGTAAACAGATATGTGGTCATCCAAGCTTTGTTGATCTATTTAGAGAGCACAGGAAGAGTAGATTTAGTGTGATTCTTAAGGGCCTTAGGATTTTCAAAATGGTAAGTGACGAGTGGTTTAAACTTCAAGTTACCAGCTACAATAGCCCCTAATAAGAGACTCAGCTTTTCCTTTGAAACTTTGAAGCCAGGCATTGACTTTTCTTCTCTAGTCATGAAAGTCCTACATGGCATCTTCTTCCAATATAAGGCTGTTTTGTCTACATTAAAAATATGCTTTTTAGTGTAGCCACATTCATCAAAGATCTTAGCTAGATCTTCTGGATAACTTGCTGTGGTTTCTGTATCAACACTTGCTGTTTCATCTTGCACTTTTATGTTCTGGAGACAGCTTCTTTCCTTACACATTATGAACCAGCCTCTGCTAGCTTCCAACTTTTCTTCTGCAACTTCCTTACCTCTCTCATCCTTCATGGAATTAAAGAGAGTTAGAGCCTTGCTCTGGTTTAGGCTTTAGCTTAAGGGAACGTTTTGGCTGGCTTGATCTTCTCTCCAGACCACTCAAACTTTGTTCATATCAGCAATAAATCTGTTTTACTTTTTTTATCATTTGTGTGCTCACTGGAGTAGAACTTTTAATTTCCTTCAAGAACTTTTTCTTTGCATTTACAGCTTGGCTAACTATTTGGCACAAGAAGCCTAGCTTTTGACCTATTTCAACTCTTGACATGCCTTCCTCACTAAGCTTAATTATTTCTAGCTTTTGATGTGAAGTGTGAGATGTACAACTTTCTGTCACTAAAACACTTAGAGGACATTGTAGTGTTATTAATTGGCTTAAAATCAACATTGTGTGTTTCAAGGAATAGGAAATCCCCAGGAGATGAAAAGATACGAGGCAGTGGCCCATCAGTGGAATAGCCAGAACACACAACATTTAAGTTCACTGTCTTTTATGGGCATGGTTCATGGCACTCCAGAACAATTACAATAGTAACAATAAAGATCACTGGTCACAGGAATTCAAAGCAGATATAATAATAATAATAATAATAATAAAGTTTGAAGTACTGTGACAGTTATCACAATGTGACACAGAGATATAGTGTGAGCACATGAAGTTGGAAAATTGCTAACAATAGACATTGGATACAAGGTTGCCACAAACATTCAATTTCTAAAATATATATATATATTCTATATATCTGAGCAGTATAATAATGGAAAGTGCAATAAAATGAGGTATGCTTGTATATAAAATGCCATTTGTAATAGCAACAATCATCATAAAGTGTCTCAGAATAACTTCAACAATAGCTGTGCAATAATGTTTATGGAGACCATTAAAAACTTTATTGAAAGACATTAAAAATAAATGTTACATTGAAATATATAACATATTCATGAGAGGAAAAATTAGTGTCCTAAATATGGCAATTATCTTTATATTAACTCATAAGTTTCTCACAATCTCAATAAAAAATATTTTTTAATGTAGCTAGTGGATTTTCACCATCATGTGGAAAAGCAAATGGCCAAGAGCAGCCAAGGAATTTCTGTGGAAAAATTTAGTGACGATCACCCTAGCAAATATCAAGTTGTAATATAAATCTCTAGTAACAAAGAATCTAACAAAAACAGTTTTGTATCAATTAGTTATCCACAAGAAAACAATAGAATTCTAACCTCATATGATAAATAACATACTTCAATAAGTTTATAAAAATTATATAGAAGAATGTATGGCATTGGAAAGGAAGAATTTTGTAAACAAGATACAAAATCAAGTACATTTAAAAATTGCTAATTCTAATCATAAAATTGATATGAATTGGAGAGCAATTTGGGAATATTAGCAAACTTGAAGATACACTTACCATATGGCATAGTAATGCCACCTCAAATTATAGATTACAGAAAATCTTTCTTATACTTTTACCAAGAAACATAAATAGACAGGACTGATTCTAGCAGCAGTGTTTTTAAATAGCAAAAACAAAACACAACAAAAAACAATGGAAAAACATAAATTTTTATCCGCATAAGAATTAATACATAAATTGTGTTTATTCATACAATGGACTTATATACAGAAGTAAAAATAATTTATTGTTATACATAATAATACATGTGAATCTTGGAAGTGTAATATTTAACAAAATGAAAGTTCCATAATGTTATATAAATGAGCATATATCTTATAGACAGTATTTGCATAAACAACACAATATAAATTTTGTATATACAAGCTTTGTAGAAAATAATGTGGTTAATATTGTGGGAGGAAGAGAGGAATGAAATTTCTGAGGGCAACATTGGTGATTTCAACATTATGTAAAAATTGGATTAAGGATATTTAGGATTCTTAGAGTACTTTTTTGTTTTTAAGGATGTCTAATATTTTATAATGTTTTTTAAAAAAACACTCAAAAAGAAATTTAGTGTTTAATAGTAGTTAGATATGAAAGACTCAACTAATTTAATAACAGTTTAAAAAGACAATGTTATGTGTGAGATAAACATTGTTTTAGAAAAAAATTAAATTGTAACATAAATTAAAAGGTTATCAAATAACAATCCTGGATAATCTACATGTATTTTAATGATGAATGCTAAGTGTATTTAGGAAAAAGCTTAGGACTAATAATTGTAAGTTGACATTACTTCTATAAAAATGGCTAAGAGGATAAGCAAAATGTCATATGAATATTAATTTGTAAATATCATGTATTTTTTGCCTCACATGTTTAAATTGAGAGAGAAAAACTTAGCAAATCACATTCACCAAAAGCTGTCTATTTTCTTAAACAATGGTAAGTGAGGCAATTTAAAGAATGTAATGGTGATTCAGGAACATGAAATCAGTGGACACTTGATTCTAGGTTTAGTAAGCCAAGTACCTATCCTTGAACTTAATTCAGCCAAGGTGTTCTGACTTATGTTCTTGTCCTTTGCCTTTTTAATAAGTATCAGAGCTACAATAGCTTGAAATATGAGCACATGTGAACTAGCCTTGTCAAGGTAACTTCTAGACATAACGAGTGTGCTTTGGCAAACCTTGGCAAGTACAGATCATTTCATTATGAGATTCTGTTACAAGATCATGATGATACCTTTGAATTCAAACCATCATGCTTAAGTAGTTGCTGTCTAAAAGGAATTTACCTCTAATAAACTGACTTCAGAAATTCTGGCTTCTTCACAAGATGTTTGAAATGAAATGCTACATGTATAATGAATGGTACTGTGGATATCTACTTTAAAATGCCACATGGCTAAAAAGTGTTTATGCTATCTTGCGTCAAGCAAATCCATTGGTGTCATTTTTCCAACAGCGTGTGCTAACTTTATGTCTCTGTGTCAAGTTTTGATAATGATAACAAAATTTCAAACTTTATTGTTATTATATCTGTTATAGTAATCAGTGATTTTTAATTTTTTTAATTTTTAATTTTTATTGCTACATAGTAGGTATATATATTTATGGGGTACATGAGATATTTTGATATAGCTATATAATGTGTAATAATCATATCAGAGTAAATGGGGTATTCATCACCTCAAGCATTTATCATTTCTTTGTGTTATGAACATTTCAATTGTACTTTTATTTACTTTTAAATGTACAGTTAAATTACTGCCAACTGTAGTCTTCCTGTTGTGCTATCAAATACTAAAACTTATTCATTTGTCTATCTGTATTTTGTTCCCATTAACCATCCCCACTCCCCAGCACTTTCACTACTAGCCTTCCCATCATTTGGTAACCTTCATTCTATTCTATTCTCTATCTTTATGAGTTCAACTGTTTTAATTTCCAGCTCCCACAAATAAGTGAAAACATGCAAAATTTGCCTTGCTGTGCTTGGCTTATTTCACTTAATGTAGTGTCGACCAGTTCCATCCATGTTGTTACAAATGACAGGAACTTATTCATTTTATTTATTTTTATTATTTATTTCCATAGGTTTTGGGGGAACACGTGGTATTTGGTTACATAATTTCTTTAGTAGTGATCTGTGAGATTTTGGTGCACCCATCACCCGAGCAGTATACACTGAAGCCAATTTGTAGTCTTTAATCCCTCTCTGCCTTCTCACCCTTCCCCCCAGTTCCCCAAAGTCCATTCTATCCTTCTTATTTCCTTGTATCCTCATAGCTTAGCTCCCACTTATGAGTGAGAACATACGACATTTGATTTTCCATTTCTGAGTTACTTCACTTAGAATAATAGTTTCCAATTCCATCCAGGTGGCTGTGAATGTCATTAATTCATTCCTTTTTATGGCTGAATAGTATTCCATTGTGTATATACACCACAGTTTCTTTATCCACTCATTGATTGATGGGCATTTGGGCTAATTCCAAATTTTTGCAACTGCAAATCGTGTTGCTATAAACATGCCTATCTGAGTATCTTTTTCATATAATGACTACTTTTCCGCTGGGTAGATATTCAGTAGTGGGATTGCTGGATCAAACCGTAGTTCTACTTTTAGTTCTTTAAGGAATCTCCATACTGTTTTCCATAGTGGTTATTCTTTCTTATGGCTGAGTATATGTATATGTGTGACATTTTCTTTATCTGTTTTTCTGTTGAAAGACACTTAGGTTTTTTCAAATCTTGGCTATTTGAAATTTTGGCTATAATGACAGGGTTGGGCAGGAGTTGTGGCTGAGACTGTATGGGCTGCAAAGTCTCAAATATTTACTATTGGATTCCTTGCACAATAAGTTTTCTGACCACTGGATTAGAAGGAAATCTTGCTATATACACATACACATATGCCCATTGGTAAATATTAAATCTGAATGGACCTTATTTTGTGTTAATAATTTTTTTAAAAGTTCGGAACACATTTTAACATAAATCATAGAAGCAGCTTTTGAAGGGCATGTGAGACTATTATGTGCATGATAATAATGGAAAATGATCTAAAGAAACATTAATAATATAAAGAAATTAGAACAAGTGTTTTTTTATTATTATTATTATACTTTAAGTTTTAGGGTACATGTGCACAATGTGCAGGTTAGTTACATATGTATACCTGTGCCATGCTGGTGTGCTGCACCCACTAACTCATCATCTAGCATTAGGTATATCTCCCAATGCTATCCTTCCCCCCTCCCCCCACCCCAAAACAGGCCCCAGAGTGTGATGTTCCCCTTCCTGTGTCCACCTGTTCTCATTGTTCAATTCCCATCTATGAGTGAGAATATGCGGTGTTTGTTTTTTTGTTCTTGCGATATTTTACTGAGAATGATGATTTCCAATTTCATCCATGTCCCTACAAAGGACATGAACTCATCCTTTTTTATGGCTGCATAGTATTCCATGGTGTATATGTGCCACATTTTCTTAATCCAGTCTATCATTGTTGGACATTTGGGTTGGTTCCAAGTCTTTGCTATCGTGAATAATGCCGCAATAAACATACGTGTGCATGTGTCTTTATAGCAGCATGATTTATAGTCCTTTGGGTATATACCTAGTAATGGGATGGCTGGGTCAAATGGTATTTCTAGTTCTAGATCCCTGAGGAATCGCCACACTGACTTCCACAATGGTTGACCTAGTTTACAGTCCCACCAACAGTGTAAAAGTGTTCCTATTTCTCCACATCCTCTCCAGCACCTGTCGTTTCCTGACTTTTTAATGATTGCCATTCTAACTGGTGTGAGATGGTATCTCATTGTGGTTTTGATTTGCATTTTTCTGATGGCCAGTGACGGTGAGCATTTTTTCATGTGTTTTTTGGCTGCATAAATGTCTTCTTTTGAGAAGTGTCTGTTCAGAGCTATCTATGACAAACCCACAGCCAATATCATACTGAATGGGCAAAAACTGGAAGCATTCCCTTTGAAAACTGGCACAAGACAAGGATACCCTCTCTCACCACTCCTATTCAACATAGTGTTGGAAGTTCTGGCCAGGGCAATTAGGCAGGAGAAGGAAATAAAGGGTATTCAATTAGGAAAAGAGGAAGTCAAATTGTCCCTGTTTGCAGACGACATGATTGTATATCTAGAAAACCCCGTTGTGTCAGCCCAAAATCTCCTTAAGCTGATAAGCAACTTCAGCAAAGTCTCAGGATACAAAATCAATGTACAAAAATCACAAGCATTCTTATACACTAACAACAGACAAACAGAGAGCCAAATCATGAGTGAACTCCCATTCACAATGGCTACAAAGAGAATAAAATACCTAGGAATCCAACTTACAAGGGATATGAAGGACCTCTTCAAGGAGAACTACAAACCACTGCTCAAGGAAATAAAAGAGGATACAAACAAATGGAAGAACATTCCATGCTCATGGGTAGGAAGAATCAATATAGTAGAACAAGTGTTTTCAAAAAACCAATCAAGGTATAACAGAAGAAATGTTTTGAGATCAGCATATTTATTCAGATTAAAAATTTTCAACAATATTCTAGGAGATTTAATACAACATCCCCATACACACACACACACACACACACACACACACACACACACACACACACGAAAAAACTGTTAAAAATATCCAGGTGGAAAAAACATGTTGAGTATAAAAAGAGTAACCAGTATGGCACTAGACTTTTCCTCTGCAATAATAAATTAAGACTAAAGTGAAGAGCTTTGAGACATAAAAGCAGTAGTCAATATTTTTATGTCAATTCACTTGTTTTGTAGATGTGCAAATCAACAAAATACATACTCAAATATGCAGATGTTCACAAAACATAATTTATGAATTCATTTTGAAATAATTATTTAAATAGTAAGTGCAAAATAATGCTGAATGTCTCTTATGCCATTAAGAGACATTAATGTCTCATATTTAATGACATAAGAGACATTCACAAACTATTTTTTTAAAAATAGGATTGGCTTTATTGTGCATAAAATATGTCTCTTTTTATGTTTTATTGTTAAGTACATAATTATACCTGTGCATATAATGGTGGGAAATGTATAATAAAGTTATTGTCATCATTTTTTCTATGCTGCAAATTATGGAAAATTTGTGTTCATGTTTAACTTCTTTTCTAAATTTACGATAGCCAACATATATTTCACAATAAATATTATAAACATATTTGAAATTAATATATCAAAGCTTACTTTTTATATCAGTTGTATTGGACATGAGCTGTATTTTTTTCTATTTACCTTAATGTAATTTTTAATAAAACTCAGGATTGTTTTTACATTTAAAAAGTTAGTGTGTCAGTAGCTTAGAGCCCTATTTTTTTATAATATAACTGACTGCATTACAATATGTAATAAATTCTATTTGGTAATGAGGAATGTCTATGCTTAATAGCACCACCACTTTTGTCAAGTTCTTTTTCAAAAAAGTTGGGTTATGGATACACAGAGTTTGAGAAACAGGTGTTTATGCATTATTAGCTTTCTTCTGTTAAGCTGTAATGCTTTGCTTCTAAATCTACCACCATTATGAAATAATGTGTTATCTCAGTAAATGATAGTCACCCATGTTTTTAATGCCAGATCATAATAATTAAAATTAATCTCTAGAAAGGTAGGTTAGGAATGCTTATATGACAGGATGTTTTACATCTGGTGCTTAGTAAAATCATAAAATGCAACAACGGAAAAAATATGTATTTATCTAAAGTAGTGAGACTGAGATTCCTCGGTGTCATTTGGAATTTTCATAATTGGGGAAGCAGGGTGGCCTGACCTCCAGGGAAGAGAGCTAGGGAGGAGAAGTGGAAACCAAGATGATACCTGGAGATGAAAACCATATGCAGCCAGACCACTGAGCCTGGGCAGTGAAGTGGGCAGGGGCAGGTAAGGGTGCAAGTCCTCACATAGCGAAGGAGGCTTTATGTACATTGGTTAGAGAGGAGGCTAATGCAGAACTGGGACAACCAGGTGGGCTGAAAAATGTAGCTGCAATTTACAAGGAGAGGCTCTGAGAAAAATCAAAGAAGTCTGGCAACATATTCATGGTCATTAAAGCAGCTGGGTTTCTTAAGTCTAGAGTCTGCCAGGATAATGATTCAGTGTTCCCCACGTGTAAAATCAGCTTGTGGGCAAGGAACTGGCATATGTACTTATTTGTTAATGGTAGGGACATATACAGGAATATAAAGCATCACCAATAAAAAATACTTTTATTTTTAAACAATTTGTTCATAAGAAAAATGGTAAATGTTACGATTTAGAATTTCCCTGTGTGTAAATAAAATAAGGAAACTCAAAATCATAGCATTTGCCACTCAAAACATGTAAATATCCAACAGTTAATGTTTACAATGCAAGCAGAATTAGAAACTTAATTACTTTTAGTTTAAGTGAATATGCAAAAAATTCCTTTGTGAGACAGCTCAAGACTATGAAGTTTTTTAGTAAAAATATTAAATATGACATACATTTAGAAAACTAGGTAAATGATAGGAGTGAAAACAAATGGAAGGAAATCCTGACAGCATATTTAATAATACTATTAATTCAATGCAAAGTGGAAATCCTGAAAGCAATGGACAAAAGGGACTTTTAAGAAGGGGGAACATAGACAAAGTTGAAAGAAATAATGTAGAGTTCAGCTGCTAACACAAAGGAGGAAATCGACTCAGAAACATTTCATACTTCTTGGCATCCTTCTACTGTAAGGTTTTCCGTATTTCAGTTGTTGATATTCCTAATCCATTAGGGGTTTACTTTTTGGCAAGGTAAGAACAGAAAAGAATTCATTGTGCCACTATAAACAAAGTTTAAGTAATTATATCTCAAAAGCTTTCCAAAAAGGATTTCTTTTCTCTGGACTCTGAAACTGGGTGTTGGAGAAAGCTTCCTGGTGTGGTATTTCTCAGTTTTCATTTTCACTTTGGCTAAGAGGACTATTTTTGCACTGCCTTTTTCTTATTTTGATAAATCCAAGTTGGTTTCATTTTTGAGTAGCAGATTACCCTGAAATTACTACAGGTGGCTAAGAGGTTTTGATTTGTCTCAAGTTAGGCAGACTTAAATATATTTGTAGTTCCATTTGTGTAGCAGATGACTACTAGCTTACCTTGCTTGCCCATTTTTATTTTTATTATTGTACTTTAAGTTTTGGGATACATATGCAGAACGTGCAGGTTCGTTAAATAGGTATACACATGCCATGGTGGCTTGCTGCACCCATCAACCCATCATCTACTTTAGGTATTTCTCCTAATGCTATCCCTCCCCTGGCACCATCACTCCCTGATAGGCCCCGGTGTATGATATTCTCCTCCCTGTGTCCATGTGTTCTCATTGTTCAACCCCCACTTATGAGTGAGAACATGCAGGGTTTGGTTTTCTGTTCCTGTGTTATTTTGCTGAGAATGATGGTTTCCAGCTTCATCTGTGCCCCTGCAAACGACATGAACTCATCCTTCTTATGGCTGCATAGTATTCCATGGTGTGTATGTGCCACATTTTCCTTATCCAGTCTATCATTGATGGGCATTTGACTTGGTTCCAAGTCTTTGCTATCGTGAATAGTGCTGCAATAAACATATGTGTGCATGTGTCTTTATAGTATAATGATTTATAATACTTTGGGTATATACCCAGTAATGGGATTGCAGGGTCAAATGGTATTTCTGGTTCTAGATCCTAGAGGAATTGCCACACTGTCTTCCACAACGGTTGAACTAAATTACACTCCCTCCAACAGTGTAAAAGTGTTCCTATTTCTCCACATCCTCTCCAGCATCTGTTGTTTCCTGACTTTTTAATGATCACCATTCTAACTGGCATGAGATGGAATCTCATTGTGGTTTTGATTTGCATTTCTCTAATGACCAGTGATGATGAGCTTTTTTTCATGTTTGTTGGCTGCATAAATGTCTTCTTTTGAGAAGTGTCTGTTCATATCCTTCGCCCACTTTTTGATGGGGTTGTTTGTTTTTTTTAAATATTTGATGGGGTTGTTTAATATGGAACCAAGAAAGAGCTCGTATAGCCAAGACAATCCTAAGCAAACAGAACAAAGCTGGAGGCATCATGCTACCTGACTTCAGACTATACTACGAGGCTACAGTAACCAACACAGCATGGCACTGGTACCAAAACAGATATATAGACTAATGGAACAGAACAGAGGCCTCAGAAATAATGCCAACATGTACAACCATCTGATCTTTGACAAACCTGACAGAAACTATTAATGGAGAAATGATTCCCTATGTAATAAATGGTGTTGGGAAAACTGGATAGCCATAAGCAGAAAACTGAAACTGGACCCCTTCCTTACACCTTATACAAAAATTAACTCAAGATGGATTAAAGACTTAAATGTAAGACCTAAAACCATAAAAACCCTAGAAGAAAACCTAAGCAATACCATTCAGGACATAGGCATGGGCAAAGACTTCATGATTAAAACATCAAAAGCAATGGCAACAAAAGCCAAAACTGACAAATGGGATCTCATTAAACTAAAGAGTTTCTGCACAGCAAAAGAAACTATCATCAGAGTGAACAGGCAACCTATCGAATGGGAGAACAGTTTTGCAACGTATCCATCTGACAAAGGGCTAATATCCAGATTCTACAAGGAATTTAAACAAATTTACAAGAAAAAAAACAATTCCATCAAAAAGTAGACGAAGGATATGAACAGATAACTGCTTGCCCATTTTTATGCCTTACCAGCTAGCTTATCATTCATGGTGTACACTTTATAGATGTAATAAACTTGAAATCATTAAGAGGTTTGTCTAAATTAGAGTTTTGCTCTCAGCAATGTCAGGAAATAGGATTTCAAAAATCAAACTGAATAGAAAAATGTTTTTGTTTTCATATTTAGTAGGTTGTCTTTTGTATCCTAGTTCCATATATTGTTCAATAAATTCACTCTTAATTCTAAGTCTTTATTAAGCCATAACTTTGAAATACCTTTTCTACTTATCTTTATTCTGTTTGTTTCATCGAAGTTTACTTCCTCTATGAAACCTTTTTGAAGTAATCTGATTCAAACTTGATAATCCTAATCATTACAGATTGCCTTATCATCTATGTAAATAGGTCATACATATTTATTTGGGTGAGAAGATTTTACTATGAACATTTATCTTGGGTAACAAGAAAACTGAGAAGGTCATATTTCTAAGACAGTCTTTCAGCAAAGAAACAAGGGTAAGCCATGTCATGTTTATCAAGCATGGGGGAAAGGACTCCTTATTCAATAAATGGTGCTGGGATAGCTGGCTAGCTATACGCAGAAGATTGAAACTGGACCCCTGCTTATTACCATGTACAACAGTTAAATCAAAATAGAATAAATATTTCTATGTGAGATATCAAACTATAAGAACTCTAGAAGAAAATCTAGTAGAAGGATTCTGGACATTGGCCTTGGAAATAATTTATGACTAATTCCTCAAAAGCATTTGCAACTAAAACAAAAATTGACAAGTTGTAACTAATTAAACTAAGGAGCTTTTTCACAGCAAAAGAAAATATCAACGGAGCAAATAGACACTTTACAGAATGGGATAAAATATTTGCCAGCTGTGCATCTGACAAATGTCTAATATCCAGAATCTGAAAGTAACTTAACAACTCAACAAGCAAAAAACAAATAACTCCATTAAAAAATTAGCAAAAGTTATGAATGGACACTCCTCAAAAGAAGACATACAAGTGGCCAAAAAACATATGAAAAAATGATCAAAATCTCTAATCATCAGAGAGATGCAAATCAAAACCACAATTAGATGCCATCTTACATCAGTTAGAATGGCTATTATTAGAATGTCCAAAAACAACAGATGCTGACAAGGCTTTGGAGAAAAGGGAACACTTATACAGTGATGGTGGGAGTGTAAATTAGTCCATATAGTGTGGAAGGCAGTTTGGAGATTTCTCAAAGAACTTAAAATAGAATTACCATTTGACCCAGCAGTCCCATTACTAGGTGTATATTGAAAAGAAAATAAATTGTTCTACCAAAAGGACACATACACTTGTATGTTCATCGCAGTGCTATTCACAATAGCAAAGACATGGAATCAACCTGGGTGCCCATCAATGGTGGACTATTTAAAAAAATGGGGGTACATATACATCATGGAATACTATGCAGCCATGAAAAAGAAAAAAATCATGTCCTTTGCAGCAACATGGATGCAGCTGGAGTCCATTACCCTAAGGGATTGATGCAGGAATAGAAAACCAAATACTGCATGTTCCCATTTATAACTGGGAGCTAACCAATGGATACTCATAGACATAAAAATGTTGGCAGTAGACACTGGAGACTATTAGAGGGAGGAGGAAGAAAAGGGGGCAAGAGTTAAAAAACTACTAGGCTCAATACCGGAGTGATGGGATCAATAATACCCCAAACCTCAGTATCATGCAGTATACTCAGGTAATAAACCTGCACATGTACCCCCTGAATCTAAAATAAAAGCTGAAATTATAAACATAAAATAAAACTTGCTTTGCTAATATAATTTTAGAAACAGAAAGTATACAAAGAATTGGAAACTGAAGCATAAAGATAAGAAGCAAAGTTCATGTAGTGAGTGCGTGGCCAGGTTTCAGACCCAGACAATCTGGTGCCAGAGCTTAGTTGCTTATGTACTTACTAAATAACACCTGAAATTGGGTTCTGATAACAATCAACCATGATCCGAGAAAAGTCACTGCCATCTACCTTTTTTCTTTTTAGAGAATATGCATGTTCTCTGAGGGTTTCTGACTGGTCAGCCATAGCTGGCAGAGTGTGCTAACTTTCCCAGTATTTCCTTTTGTGAAAAATACACTTGTCTTCTAAGATACAGGTTCTAAGAGGCTTAATTTGATTTTTCCATTTGTATAGTTTGGTAAAACTCAGATAGTTTTCTTTTTTTATCCTAGTTTAAAAAAATAAATTTAGAGACTGCACAATAATATTGGACTATTATTTATTTGTTGGTTAATGTTATTTGTAGGCCTTAACTTTTTATTTTATTTATATAAGTAATAAATACATTTTTGTATTCTAAGTAAATCGTATGTTCTTTGTCTTCTATTAGAAGAACTGGATAATACCACAAATATAATAAATTCCAATCTTCTATATCTACAAATAAGAAAGACCTTAGATTCACAAGGCCTGTGTAACTTGCTTGTGAGCACATTGTTCTCTAGCGACTGAATCAGGAGAATAATTCAGTAGGGCAGACTCCAGGCTAGTTCCGTTTATGCCATAACATTTAAAATCTAGATAAAAAAGTTATGCTTCATGTATTAGGTGAAATAATTTTGAAATTCATCCCAAAATGTAGATAGAATTGATGATAAATAAAATTATATTAAAAAAATTTAAGTAAAAACTAATATGTTGCATTAATATGTATCTAGATTTATTATTGTTATCAGAGAAAATCCACTAAGGACACAATCCAGGAGGCTTCAGTCAGCAAGAGAAAATGTTTTGATCTGCTATGAGTCTGATCACATGCTCAGAGTGCTTAGAGTTTGGGTAAAGCACTCAGACATGTTTATACTACTGATAACATTTGCTTCAACTATCTGCTCTGATTACTTATTCGTTGGCAGGGAAAACTATTCACATAATTGTTAGAAAGTACTTTAGATTCAGACAAACCTTGATTAGAATCTTGACAATTCCATGTACTACCTGTGTGACCTTGGCCAAACTACTTTAAACAATAAAGCCTTAGTTTATTTGTCTGTAACATGGTGATCGTGTTGTACATATTGTTGCTCTGAATGAAATCAAGTCCTTAACTGTTTCTGACACATAGTATAAAATCTAATTTAAAAATAATATTTTATTATCTTTATTGTTATTATTTAGTGCCCAATGAACAAATCGATTGCAAATTTTTCTCAGCATCCTTCTAAAGGATTTAAATCAATAGACAAAATACTTTTTCTTTCCAATTGGATAAATAATCTTTTGGGGTAGAAGGCTGTAAAGAAAGTGAAATTGTATAAAGAATTCTAAATGAACTCAATTAAGGCTAGATGCTTAAATTATACCTTGGGAAAGTACAGGACTAGAAATGTACAATTTCTTATTTAATGTTTGCACAAAATAAATGCATGTGGGAGAATCTAAAAGATTATAAGAAAAAGTTTACTAAATAAGATTTCTAGAATTATTTAAGTAAATGTTAAAGAGAACTTATAAATATAATCAGATCTGAATGTGGATCACTTAGAGTGTCTTTAGGCAGCAGTGAACTTTAAGGAAGATGTAAGCAAAGAGGTGAGGCATGGAGAAGAATAAAATGGACTCTCCAATTGTGAGGGTCAGCTTAAGATAAAATTTACAACACTAGCTAATAAGCTCTACCTGGTTCTTCAGCAGAATTGTAAGTTCTTGCCTAGGACTTAGAGAATATAAGAGCATGAACAATGTTTCAAAAAACCCTTGCTTTTCATTCTTCAATGACAGGAAATACTAGATCAACACACAATAATGAGATCTGCAGTGTCTTTTAAATTTTTGGCTAAGAGCCCACTAATCAGAATAGTATTACAGTCCAAAAGTTGTATCTTTTAAAGATAATTTTATTTAAGGAATATATTATAGACTTGAGTTGGATCTACCATTTAGTTGTTAACGTTTATTCTTGTAGTTGATGATTTTGGTAATCAATGTTGGCTTCTTCCATGACTGTATTGCCTAGTTTTATATGACATAAATCATAGTCTTGGTTTTGTCTTCTATCAAAGGTGTGTGAATTTTTAGCTCACAAATTTGTTAGACTGTTTAATTCATAAGAAGCAAAAACAAACTCCTGCTTGAACAGCTCTAATTGTAATCAATTTCACTTGTGAAATAATTTTATGATAATGTATCATTCATATAAAATAAAATTTTTAAATCTATAATCCATTGGTTCATCAGCCTAAAAATGGGCTAAACTGCAATGAATAGATGAAGTATCCAGAGTGATTTTCAAATTAAAGAATATAAAAGATTGTAAGTTGCCCTAGTTAAGAATTTCTATAATTCCCCTGTGAGGAGTGTCTCTAATTGTTTGCCTAGATTGCTCTGGGCAATGGCACTTTTAAATATTATCGTATTCATGTGTTTATCACTGCCACTGTATGACATGGTTGTGCACAGCTCAGGCAGATTTGCATCCACTCTTTTTCTTATTCTACCATCTAAATATGCACTGAACATATTTCAAAGGCAATCATCTGGTGAAATCTTAATTAGCACTATAGGCAGAAGTTGTTAGTGATCATATTGCATTGTATACACCAAGGCTACACAATTTTTTTTTCCTTCAAACAGAAGGGATGAAAATATGTTGCTCCAATGAAAACTTCTCAGAATTACTTTTATTGAATTAAAGTGACTTATGCCTACTATTATGAATATATGTATTTATGTATTACATAGAATGGTACAAATTACACATGAAGGCAATATACTACAGTAAATGGACTTTTCAGACAGACAGGAAAAGGTTTAAATTTTTCCTTCAAATTATTCAAAATATGAATGTTGATATAAATCTATAATTATTTCAACTACCAAAACGTTTTTTTTCCTCATCTGTAAAACAGAGACCAAATGGGATACTATTTTCCTGAAACTCCTCCATATGGTAATTATTGTCATTATGTCATTATCATTATCATTATGTTATTCCTTCTCCATTTGAAAGCACCTTGTACATAGTTCTAGTTTAATTCTTATCATATTGCTATGTCTCTCTCTTCTCTCTGGAATTACACAGAATACAAAATAAGTGCACAGGGATATTTGCTAAATGAATAAATAATCTGCTATGAGATAATATAAATATATTCATAAATCAAACAGTGAATAATGGTATCTTACATTGACTGTAGGGATGTAAATAGAAACAAAATATTTTCTACATCAGAACACATTTTAATTTAAATAAAATTTAAAATAGGCACGCTAATGTAAACAAAACTTAGATTTAATATTGACATATTATCTTATAATTAAATATGTTTAGCATCACGTGTAAAATAATTCATTCTATTTGCTAACTTTAAGCATTTAGAAGTATGATCAAAAATTGCTTTTACAAGAAGGTAGTTGGTCCCGGTGCATATATGCAGACAGCTTGATAAAGTAGAGAGAAAATGGTCATTGAAGTAAGAATGACTTGGGTTCAAATCAAATTTTTTAACCTTGACATATAAGGGAATGAAGATGGAGTACAGAAGAAAGGCATAATAAGAAACAATAAAGGAAGGTTGATGCAAGAACATGAATCACAAAAAGGAAACAAAAATGGGAGGAGAAACTTAACAAGGGAGACTGAATACAGGCAAGATTAAGCTAAAGATATAGAGACAGTGAAATAGTAGGATAAACGGTGAAAATAAGGAAAGATATATTTTCTCATTTACCCAGAACTACTGTAGACAACTAGCCTTGGTAAAGAGGGTTGCATAATTTAAATCAAAGGGTAAATCAATTTATGTCACTTTTGTCCCCTCCTGGAAATTGATGGTGAGATATAAGAAAAAGACAGTTGTTTCTGTTGTGCTAAATAGTGTTTTTGTGAGTAGTTGGTCCTTTGTTTTGTCATTAAGGAGTTTTGAATATGGCAAAAGATGTCTAGAAATTGCATGAGAATAAAAAAGAAAAACTGAAAGGGGAGGAAAGGAGTTTGAAGTAGGGAAGGAGTAGAGCCATATGGCTATGTAAAACCACTCTGTCACACCAGAATACAGGTTATATACGTCTACACTTGTGTGAGTGATGTTTGAGGGGAATCTTAGGGAATGGGTGCTGAATTCCACACTGGGATATTAGAGTAGAATATATAGCAAGTTAACCTTCTGTATAGTTTTCATATATTTATATATATATATGACAGTCCATAAATGAGGAAATATAACTAGCAGTGATTATGAAAAAATCACTCATTGCACCCTTCTTCTTTTCCTGACTCTCCCCAGAAGTTTTGGATAGATTTCCTGGATCCTGGGATTCCACCATAGCTGGAGTAGATTTTCAGTCAATTATATTTACAAAAAATCTAAAGAGATAGGATATCTGGGTTGATATCTGGCTTAAAAGTATTGGAGCTAGACACACATTGTAATATACTCAAATTATGTGAATCAATTGTGTCTAAAGATGAATCAGTTATTCAAACAAACAAAGGAACAAATAAATAAATAAATAAATGAAAATTGATTTATTCAAAAAGAGTTAGTGCTGTTTTTGTTTTCAGCCATTTGGGTGGCAGTTAGGTGTAATATATTTACCCCTCCAATTTTTTTAACCAATTCATCTTTTCTAATCAATTTTTGCCCAAAGACCCAGATTTAGTTACTGCAAGAAGACAGGATGACCCAGGCCTACTCTATGCAAGATATCACCAGAAATTGCCTTGACTCCAGTGAATAGATGTTGCTTCCATCTCTCATGGAGTGGTCCATTAAGGAATTGGGGTTTTAGAGGCAAGTTAACCTTCTGCATAGTTTCCTAAAGAACTCTGTGAAAAGACAGGGTCTTCCAGTGTACTTGATTTTGAAATGTCATGACCTTATTATGCCTGTTTATAGTATTTGTGAAAGCAATCTAACCTAAGCATGTTTTACTTCCCTTTCACTCTCAGAACAAATTGGACTTAGTGGCAGGAAACTGCTATACATCAGAATGTATACAGCTATGGATTCAACTTGAATGGTAACATTATCATTTTTCTCTGTAACCTTAACTTTAAACCACTTTGCACTGACTGTCATTTTCAAATGAGCTGAATTAGATAAAATGATAGTTAACATGTTTCCATTTTTAATAAGAATTTTATTGGAGTATATAATATAGAATGAAAATACACAACTTATAATTATCACAAAGTGAGCACACTCATTTATCTATTCTACATCTATATCTATCTCTATATTTACATATATATCTATGTATATCCAGGATATGTCAAGTATATAAAACCAGATATTTCTGGTATATTAAAAACAGATATCGGTGAGATTTTTTTTTATTCATTAATTGAGAAAGACCAAAGGAATTACATATGTATTATTGCCAAATATAAACAAGAACTTTTAAATTCTGCTAAGACAAACATTCCAGAGAACAATTTAGCAATATATACCAAAACTCTTAAAAATGTGCATACATTTGACTCAGCACTTCTTTCAAAGAATTTATCCTAAGAAATATATGAATGTTTCCACAAAGAGTTTATATTAGTAGTACTTTGTTAACCATAGTGAAATTTGGGGAAAATAATCATAGGCAGTTCGTCCAAAGTAGGAGACATTTTACATAAAATATGGTGCATTCATAGAAAAGAATAATCCATGGTCATTAAAATTTTATGAAAGCAAAATATTCATTGTTATAAGGAAATAATTCTAATATATATTTAGGAGAATAAAGAAGAATAGGTACTATATAAAAACCTTATTTAGAAGTCTAACTATTATACACACATATATTTATGCAACAGGATAATAATATCAGGGACTTATGACACAATATATGTTGCATGTAAGTAAGATGACAGACCAAAGTTAAAAGTAATGTTTGAGAATGGTTTTATGACATGAAGGTCCTTTACATGGGGACTACTAGCCAAGATAATAGGTAGGAATAGGTTCAGAGCATAAGAAGCAAGTTTGTAAAGAGGGTTTTGTTTTGCTTTGCTTTCTTTTTGGAGAGTAGAGTTCCTGTGCTGTGACTCCCAGCCTCCCCCTATTTGCTTTCTCTCAAGTCCATTTATAGAAGCTCAAAAAAGGCCCATCAGATTGCTTGAGATTTATCCCCTATACTATGTAAATGGACACTTTGAGCTGTTCTTTGGAACATGCCAGAAGGATAACAAGGCAAAAGAACATGGTTACTACCCCAAAGCCTCTAGGCAGAAAGAGGGTAGTAATATTTGGGAACTAAAACTTTCCTAACTGAGGCATGAGTGTTCGGGGACCACAGGAAGGAGAACATAGAGCTACTGTAATGACTACCCATGAAAACTACCTAGAAGGTTCTACAGGGGCATGGACTACAGGAAAAATCGGGCCTGCAGGAAGAACAGTTACTTGGAAAAAAGCTGCATCACAGCTATGGTGGAGGTGTGGCAGGAGTGGGCAGGTGAGGGGGCCTCTGAAGTGCCCAGGAAGTTACCATAAGGGACAGAGATGGAAATCATATACACCTACTGCTGTAGAAGACTGTACCCTTCTGTACTGTGTCTCCTTGAGCTTGAATCTAATGAGATCAGAATCCAGATTACTAAGCAGTAGGCAGAAGGACATGCTCTGAGCAGAGAAAGAGAGAAGAGGGACCACCCTCCCCACAGTGGCCCTGACTATGGTGAGAGGAGAGAATCCAAATGTTCAACAAAGTTCACAGTTTGGTATTTGGTATATTGGTATTTGATTATTTGATATCAGACATTTTTATTTGATTTTAGAAAATTCTTCATTCCATTGCCCACTTTCTATTGGTACACTTATTTTCTAAAGATTTTTATTTGTGCTTATTAAGGACATCAAAACTTAGGCTTTCTTTATCATTCAGAAGATAGTCATAAAAACAGAAACTGTATTGACTGTTTCAAACAGTTCCATACATGGGATAGGGCATTAATGTTTTGAAAACTCTGAAGGAAGAAAAAGGAGAGGAGAGTGATATAGGAGTATAGGAAGGATGACAGATTTTTACACTGAGATCAGAAAGCTGCAAATGACCCTGAGTTGGAACCATAAGCGGACACCTGCTGCTGTGCTGTTGTATATGCCCCTGCAGCAATTCAGTCTCCAAACCAGCACTGATGCTGCTGGACTGGACCTCCAAAGAGGGGCCTCTGTTTGGCCTACTACTGCCACAGCTGCTAAAGATCATGACTGTCTCCCCATCAATGTCACCAGAGCCAAGGTCGGCAACTACTTCTTTTAGAGCTAGATGCAGAACATGCTTTTTTCCTTCATCCTGCCTTTTAATATCTATTCCCTCTCGTCCAATGGCAAAGCTTACCAAAAGCCAGCTAGTTAGGAAGTCTGGAGAGAGCACTTTAGAGGGCCCAGCTTTGGGGACACAAAGCAGAATATGTGAGGTGAGGACCAACGTAGGGCCAAAAGAATAGTGATATGTAATTTGCACGATGCATATAAATTATAATTTTTTCCAAATTCATTTATCTTTTTATTTTACAATGTCTTGTGAACATACCAAAGTTCCGAATTTTATTTATTAAAATTTTCATCCTTTTCTTCTGTTTTCTGCCATTAATATTTTGGTTAACATGCCTTGTATGTATAATTACATATGTAAATAATATACACATATCAATATATATAAATTTCCCCAACACAACATATAAATATATTTATATAGTTGCATTTAAATTTTAATCCTTCTGAGTATTTATTTGTATTTTGAGAGAGAGATCTAATTCATCCCTCCCTCCCTCCCTCCCTCCCTCCTTCCTTCCATCCTTCCTTCCTCCCCTCCTACCTTCCTTCCTTCCCTTTTTCCTTCTGTCCTTCCTTCCTTTCAGCGATTTATTATTATTATTATTGGAGTGGTAAACTAATTGTTTTAGCACTGTTTATTTGACAATTTATTATTTCGTCAACAATTGTAAATGCCACCGTGGAGAGGTCTCTAAACTTACTGGATCTTATTTCTCTTTTCCAAGTCTCTCTTTTACCACACGAATCAAACTTTAGCTGATACTTCAGGACCATTATCCATGACATCTACGTAGTTTATAAAATCCAAATTCCAATTCTCAGCTCTTGTCTTGCCTGTTGTATCACCCATCCCACCATTTGGTCCACTTGACTAGCTTCTTACTTTCTCTTATCTCACCAGGTGGTCCTTCTCAGCCTCTTTTACTAGTTTCTTCTTCTAAGTTACTGATTTTTAATGTTCTAATTTTCTAAGGCTCAGTCCTTCAACTTCCTCTCTTCTGTTGCTACATTTACTCCCTAGATATTTTTATTCAGTCTTTTTGGTTTAAATACATCTATATGGAGATTTACATCTCCATTCCAGAACTTTACCCCATATTTCATATTTATACAGTGTATACCTACGTGACATGACCATTCGCATATCCAAAGAGCATCTCAAACTCAACAAAATCAAAACCAATACCTGTATTTGGTCCCAAACCTCTTTCCCCTGTAATCCTTATCTCAAAAAATGGAAATTCCATCCTTCACATTGCTCAGGACTAACACCTTAGATTCATATTGGTTCTTCTAGTTCTCTGAAACCCCACATCCAATCAATGACCACAGACCATCAGATTTTCTCTCAAAATGTGCTAAAAGTTCACTAATTTCATTGGTACCATCCTAGTCAAAGCTACCATTATCTTTTATCTGGATCATGTCAACAGTGAAATTGAATCAGTTTCCCTGATTTCACTATTTTTCTCCTCCACTCAATTTTAAGGACAAAGCCAAAACTTTTCTTTAACATATAGGTCAGATTATGCACTGCTTCTGTTCATAACCATCTAAAAATATCTTAGCTCATTGATAGGAAAATCTCTATATCCCTTATTATACTCTTAAGAATATCAACCACATCATTTCCTTGCTCAGACAACCTAAAGCTCTGTCTCCTTCTTCCTTGTATTACTCAAACTGCTTCACTTCTGTGTTTTCTAATCAGCCTAACATACAGATGCTTCAGGACCCTTCCTTTCTTACTGTCTGGAGTCATCTTTCCCCACGTATCTCTATTGTTCACTCCCTCATCTTTCTCAGTTTTTCTCAAATCTCACCTTTTTAGTACGGTCTTTTTGGCCAACCCATTCAAAATTGCTACATCAGAGCTAGCACTTCATATTCCCCTTGCTTAGTTAATTTTCATTAATAGCATTTATGAACATCTGAAACATACCATGTTTTACTTATTTGTTTATTGCCTGTCTCTTTGACTAGAATGTGAGCTTAATGAGGGCATTTTTTTTTTAGTGTATTTTGTTCACTGCTTTATGTTCATTGTCCAGAATGGTGCCTGGCTCTTAGAAGATTCTTAATAAATATCTGTTTAATTAATAATTTATAAGCTAAGTATGTAATCCTTAGCTTTATTTCTAGACTAATTTTATGCAGTGATTTGCTTTTCCAACTTTCTACCAGTACTATGATTTATAAATAATAACAGCTGTGTAGTGGATTTTAATATTTGGAATTCCAAATGTCCTTTTTAAATAAACATTTTTAAAAACTTTAGACATGTTTCAGATTTACAGAATAATTTTGAAAATTACGTAGATGTTGCTAAACACTCTATTTTCAGTTTTCCTACTATTAACATTTTATATTAATATGAACCAATATTGATACATTATTAACAAAGGTTCCTACTTCATACAGATATCTTCAGTCTTTACCTGAAATCTATATATATATATATATTTTTTACTGTTCCAGTAATCCTTACAGGATACCATATTACAATAGTCATCTTTCCTCTTTAGTCTCCTGTTGGCTTTAAAAGTTTCTCAGACTTTCTCGGCTTTGCTTAACTTAAATTTGATGAGTATTGGTCAGATATTATAGACCTCTACCTTTACTGGAAATTTTCTGATTTTTTTTTTTTCATGATTAGACTTAGGATAAAGGTTTTCAGAGGCAACACCACATAAAAAATGTGTTCAGCACATGACATCATTTAAGGGTACATACTATCAACGTGACTTCTCACTGTTGATGTTAATATTGATCATCTGGCTGAGATAGTGTTTGTCAAGTTTCTCCACTGTAAAAATCACTCTTTTATTTTTGATTCCTATCTTGTATTTTTTAGAATGAAGTTACTATGTGAACTCCCCGCTTAAGAAATGGGAAGTTATGCTTTATTTACTTGACAGTAGTGTCTCTACATACATTATTTGGAATTACACATAGAAGATTTGCATATACTGTCCACTTATTTCTTTAATCATTTATTCATATAAGCATAGAGAAATTTATTGTATATTATTTTATGCATTTTATTGTTGCAGCTTTGGCCATCAGAAGCTCTTTCTTTTGGCTTGTGCATTCCTTTCACACACCCACCTGACTGTGGGTTTTTTGAGCACTTTCTTATTTTCTAGCATTGAAAGATGCTCCAGAATGATTTCATATATTTTCTGCCTTAGACTTAGAATCACTCATTTGTCCAAGGGTATCTTGTTTCGTTAATTGGTTGAAGGTTTCAAAAACCAAGATCTAGGCATTAAGCCTCAAGTATTCATGATTGATTGACTGATTCATCAAATATTTCTTGTGCACCTTTGTCTATTGCAGATGGATGCTAAAATTATTTCACATTAAAAATATATTCCATTAAAGTTTGTATTACAATGAATATAATATTTATACATTGACTTGACTTGAATTAATAAATTTACAATATTGAGTCATCCCCTACAACCAAGGTTTGCCTCTAACACAAGTCTTATTTACTGTCCTTCACTCGTGTTTATATTTTTCTTCATATTCACATTGCATTTTCCTTGTTAAGTTTGCTCTCATTAAAAATAATATTGCTATTGCGGATGGGTTCTTTTGTTTCATTTGCATAATTGGCAATGCTATTATATTTATTTCATAAATTAAACTTTACTAAACTCATATATTTTAATAGCATTTCCATTTATTTTTGAATAAATTATCATTACATCGTAAACTAATTTTAGCCTTAATCTCCTGCTATCTCATATTTACACTTACTTCTTGATGGGAAAAAAACTTCCAAAAAATATTAGATGTAATGATGAGATCCTTCCCTTATTTGTGTTTCAATTCTACTAAAAGAAGATACAAAAATGAAAGCATATTCTGACTCAGTAATACAATCTTGTCAGCCTATGGTAAAAATTCAGACTTATGAAATGATGGGCACTTCAGATGTAATTCTGATAATACATCAGCAATTTTAAGAAATCACCTAGAAGAGGAAATGTCAAAATGCCGTAGGATCTACTCTAGGTAAATTGATACCACAGAAACTTTATTGCGGTCATTACCATTCTAAACCACACATCAGCTTTTATCTAGATGTTTCTAATATAGCTATGTATTTCTTATATTTAAAACAAACCTGTGTAATCATTAAGGTTATAGCATTCTTGTTAATAGAAGAGGATGCCTATTCTTTAAAATGTGAATTTGGTAACACATAGTGATAAAGCTAATATATAGCATCTGACAGAGGGTTACCATAGTTTTCAAAATGAATTTCATTTCATTTCTGATGGTTTTTATCTTAAAGAGGTACTTAAATACATAACTGCTTAAAAAAATTAAAAAATGCCTCTTCCTTTGATGGATATCAGTAGAAATATTTCTTCAAAAGAGATTATTAAATAATTGTTGCTTTTATTTAACAAGTAAGTTTGTGTGTTTAGTTTGTTAGTTTTCCCCAAAAATAGTGGCAGTTGAAGGCAGGATGATCCTAGAGATCATTATGGGATATTATGTAAGGTTTTTTTTTTTTTTCCTACAGAAGTTTTAGTTTCTTATAGCTAATGTGGAAGGAATGGATAGTATTAAGAAAACACACTGTAATGAAAACTCACTAGCTATTATTGAACTGGCCATCATGATATTGAATAGTAACCCTTAGTTTCAGATTTCCACCTGACAGAAGATTAACCAGTGAGATCAGGCTATGCTTGATAGAAGTGTAGAATCTGGGAGGAGAAGGATTAGAAATAGAAATACAAAGTTGGCCTCTTTTTTTAGTTTTTTATTCTATGATACAGACTTATCAAAACTAAGTGCTACTTTATTCCAGTGTTAATGTTGACATGTGACTAAACTTTACAGGCTCATTAGAAAAAAAAATAAAAACCCATCTACACTTAAAGAAATAATGGTGATTCTAGAACTTTTTATATACTGTGAACTATGTTTTTTAAATATTGTAATATATTCCATTGGATATATAGAAAGTTTATAACTAAGTATTGGAAAGTTTGTAACTAGGTATTCACACTGCTGTGGTCTGAATATTTGTTTCTCCTCCAAAATTCATAGGTTGAAAGCTAGCTGCCAAAGTTATGGTATTACCAGGTGAGCCTTTGAGAGGTGATTAGGTCGTGAGGACAGAACCCTCATAAATGGGATTAGTTCCTTTATAAAACTGACTCCAGAGAGCTAGCTAACAGTTCCACCATGGAGAACACCATGAGAGAGAAGGCACCATGGGTGAACCAGAAAGCAGGCCTTCACCAGACACCAAATACGCCAATGCTTTGATTTTATACTTCCCAGCCACCAGAAATGAGAAATAAATTTGTGTTTTTGTTGGTGATAAGCTACCCAGTTGTAATATTTTGTTATAGCAGCCCTACTAGCCTAAGACAACACCTTATAATGTATGTAGTTGGAATACTCTTGAAATCCCATCATTTTCTATAGTTCTTCAAAACTTCAAAACTTATTCCATTGGCCGGGCGCGGTGGCTCAAGCCTGTAATCCCAGGACTTTGGGAGGCCGAGGCGGGCATATCACCTGAGGTCCGGAGTTTGAGACCAGCCTGGTCAACATGGAGAAACCCCGTCTCTACTAAAAATACAAAATTAGCTGGGTGTGTTGGCGCATGCCTGTAATTCCAGCTACTCCGGAGGCTGAGGCAGGAGAATGGCTTGAACTCGGGAGGCGGAGGTTGCTGTGAGCTGAGATCGCGCCATTGCACTCCAGCCTGGGCAACAAGAGCGAAACTCCGTCTCAAAAAACAAAAAACAAACAACAACAACAAAAAAAACCCTTAGTCCATTTTTAACAATTCTCCATCAGCATAAGGATTATAAAGAACCAAGATAAATGCAGGAAGATGTTTATTTTTTCGTGGACATAAAAGTTCTATTTGTCATCCCAGGATCCAAAAATTATCTGAAGGCATTTTTGTCTGAAGTGGGTGTACAGCTGGGTGATTTGTGCAGGTTACCTGAATCTCTCCAGGAAATGGAGTGAAGATGTGAATAATGAAAGCACTGCAGCTATAAACCAAGGGTTGGCAAACTTTTCTCTGAAGGACCAGAATGTAACTATTTTAGGTATTGTGGGCCATACAATGTCTGTTGCAGATGATCAAGGTGAATTCAAGCCTGTTACTCTTCTCTCTGCCCAAGTTGGATGTCATTAAAGCTTTACCTCCAGAGCAGGAAGGGGTATCTGGAAGAAGGCTGGTTATGGGAAGCCAGGGATTTAAATGAAAGCATCAGGCCATATTAACTTGGAGGTGCAACTGAACATGCTAAGAAGATTAAAAATAAGCTTGCTAGATACATTTCATTTAATTTAAAACTTTTATATCATCAACTGCTTAAGACTATTCTAGATAAACACAGTCTTCCTTGTATAGTTAAAGTAGACCATTTAGGACAGAATTAAGTCTACTGATGATCAGTCTTTCCTTTTGGTCTTTAAGGTGAAGAACACATGATTTGAAGGCAAAAATCTGTAATGAATAAATGACGTGCTTTTTTTTCAGTTGTAGAGAAAAGAAAAATAGTGAAAACACAGATTTTGAATAACTTGGAAAGTTTTCTAACCATGTATTGATCCCAAGCACTGATTAGACTCTCTAGTAATTGAAAATAAAGCTGTCTTGTTGAGAGTAACAAATCATCTATATGTTTTAAAATATAAATTGTTTATTTGGCCTTGACAATTATAAAGAAGAAAAGAGGTCCATATTATGAAGATATTGTGCTGTAATGTTTATTTAGCTCAGATTTGCAATATGAAATGTACATTCTGAATAGGCATTTTATGAGCAGTATATCAAAATCTGAAGAATTTCACATTGGTTGAAGAATATTTTTCAGATTTTACATAGTTTTGGCTTATTTAATATATGTCTGGAGATTATGTTGAGTAGTTTGAGTTTATTTAAATAATATGTATTTATGTGTGTGTATACATAGGCACATTGAGTACAATCGATAACATGTCTCAAACGTGTAGTTCCATTCAAAATCTATGACTTTATATGATAATAGACTTGAAAGTAATAATTCCACATTGACTTCCCAAACTGGTCAGCAGAAGACAGGATAAAAATGTCTAATGAAATGTTTTAATCAGTGTCCATTCTCCACCCAAGGTTGAGGTTGGATGAAATCCAGAATGATTTGCTTTGTCTTCCTCATATTTATCAAATGCCAAAGTAGAAAAAAAGGCACCTCCCCGCTACAAAAAAAAAAAAACTTGGCACAAATGAAAAACCTTAAAATTAACTATTTTTTCATTCTGAGGTTTTATAAGATCTCACATTTGGCTACAGAAAAACAAGGTGGTTTCCATCTTTTCAAGACAGAACGCAGTATGTTTTTCATTGGGTCAGTACCCCTGCCAAAATTCCTTGGCAAAGGGAATTTTTTGTCTAGCTAACTGTGATATAATAAATGATCAGACCAGATTGTCAATGAATAGAGAGCTGCCTTGGGGGATGGGGAAATTAGTTATTTCTTTTCAGTTCTTGCCCCCCAAAATATGAAAGCTCTGAAAACTATACCACAAACTTGTGGAGAATTAATTATTTAGCAAGTAATAGTGTGTTTCTCATTTGTCTAAGTCCTTTATTTACAAGTTTATTTTCATTATTAAACATTTATTCTGTAAGATTTTAACTGTAACACATGTTCATTTGGATAATATGGCAAAGTTTAAAGAAAAAAAAATAGCCAGCAATCATTTCACTACCTACACATATCAATTGTTAAAATTGTGATTACATTAATAGCTGTTTATTTCTCTGTATTTGTAGAATATATTATATATATAATGTTACTTTGTATTCTACCCTTTATAAAAGCTTCATATTATAGCCCAAGCAATTTGCCAAGGCATAAAACTTTCTCATAGATAATACTTTAATATTTTATTCAATTATATAATAGTACAATAACTTATTGGTAATTTAATACATTTCCATACAAATATCTTAAAAATATAACATTTAGGATTAATGTGGCTTTCAGTAATGTAAAACTTGATATATAACAGCATAAATAAAAACTTTTGAAAATTCAAATTATTATGACCTTGGAGGGAGGAGCCTGCTGGAATTGGTCCAACAGTTCATTGGCATCATGGTCAACATTAAAAAAAATACCTTGGATTTTGCCCATGGCTGGAAGACAGCAGCTCCATCTCTAGATTTTGCATTAATATTCAATGCAGGAAGAAGTGGGAAGAGGAGAGAAGTTGCACCAGCTAGGCCTGTCCTTTTGAATCAGAAAAAGTAAAAGCTTTCTCCCCATCTCAACTCCACTTTTTAATATTAGAAAAATATTTTATTTTATTTTTTAAAGCCAACTTTTCCACAGTTGCTTTTGCTCCAAGTCTCTTCACTCTTTCTCCATCACCATCCCCCTCCTCTTCCTCTAAGCTTATTATTAATTTCAAACTTCTGTTTCTCTGCTCACTTTTTCCTTTTAGCCAAATAAAAACAGACAAGTCCTTACATTAAAAATGCCTCTCCCTTCATCTTTTCTCCCTCATAACTGTAAACATTCTCTCACTGACTCACACTCCATTAAATTCTCAGGCCAAAGTAATCTTATTTTGTTCCCTCTCACAATTCTAATACATTATCCTTTCAAAAATCTGTGATGATCTTTATAATGTCAAGAGCATATGTTTTGCTTCAACACCTTTTGTCTAAACAGTGATAAATAGTGTTTATTTTTCTTAGAAATGTTCACTTCAAAGTATCTTGGATTCCATGTAAATATCTTCTCTTGAGTCTCCTAATGCTTCTAGAATGATTCATTGAAAAACTTTTTTGAAGGTCCATCTTTGGGATATCAATATTACCTCCAAATTTTAAACTTGTTATTCTGGTATTGATTCACTCTGAATATTTGCCAAATGTGATCTCAACTACTCTCAGGGGTTTCACAAAATATAAAATGCATTGATTGAACATTGATATTTCTATTCAGATATCCTCCCAGATAGATAACTTACATAACACCTAACTGCATAACACATTATTTAACTCTGCCATCACTGAATTTATCATGTCCAACAATCTTTTCCTCTACAATTCACCTCATCAACACCCCAGCCCCTAAAAATACTGAGAAGCACACTAGTTACCTCATTACAATGCCTCCAACAATGCTGTTATCAAGTAGTAATTGTAAGTACTTCTTAACTATATTGATACCTACTACATTTACTTTCTATTTAGGCTTCTGTAAGCTCTTACTGGTAGTATTTCAATAGCTTTGTAATGAGGTCACGTTACCTAAATTCATTTATCGCTGTGAAGAAAAACGACCACACCTGCTGCTCAAAATCCTTCAATTATTCTCCATCTCTCATAAGATAATCCTTCAGTTTTCCCCATTATTCATAGGATAATTCCCAAGAGGCATTTCATGGCAGTTAGTAGTATTCCTGACCTGGTCCATATCTGAAACCTGGTCTTTAAATGACAACACAGCTTCATCTTGCTTTATTCCTTTCCCCACACTTTATGTGTTCGTAAAACCAAAGTTTGTGGAGCTCCTGGGGTACTCTGCAATGATATACAACTTCTGCCTTTCTTTATACTATGTGCTCTTCTGAGACTATGCTTCCTAGCTTGCCGCCTTGACCCACTTAATTATTGCTGATTTCGTAAATTTAGTTTGATGCCATTTCTTAATACTCTATGCCTGACCTAGATTTTTTCCTGAAAGTTTCAGCTCTCTCCAGTCTCTGGATAACCCTTCCTCCAAAAATATCACAGTAATTTCAGTTTCCCCAAATGCCATGATCCTTTCCCCCTATGGACTTTTTTGCATGAATCTGATCTTTCCTTTTTTTTCTCTCACTTTAAACCACCTTCTAAACTTCCTCCAGCTGCCCTCTAGCTATTTCCATTTTTACCGTAGATACAACTTTGTCACAGAAGTCTTCCTATCAAAGTCTTGATTTGC
Organism: Homo sapiens; assembly: GCF_000001405.40. NCBI lineage: Eukaryota > Metazoa > Chordata > Mammalia > Primates > Hominidae > Homo > Homo sapiens. The sequence continues at coordinate 106,659,478 of NC_000005.10, read as the reverse complement.
TTCCTTTAATGTCATCTTATCACATGACAATATCAAACACATAAAGTATTTAACGTGTCAGATATGCTTCTAAGTATTTGACCTATACGAAACTATTTAATTCTCATGATAATGCTATAGGGCAAATGTGATTATTATTCACACTTAGCAGATGAGGAAACAGAGGCATTGTGAAGTTCATTAGTTTACATCCTGTTGAGCAGTTAGGAAATGGAAGAAACAGACTGTTCAGAGCCAGGCTGGTTCCCTAGTGCTTACTCTTACTGTATTATACTTCTGCAGGTACTTTTCCCATCATACAAATCACTTTGTTTACTTACTTTTATCAATCACAATAATATAAACTCCATGAAGATTTATTCATTATTAAATCACAACCATCTATCCAAGCGTCTCTGAACATTCTTGGTGCTCAAAAAAACTTTGATAAATGACAAAGAGATTTTACTAAGTGCTTCTTTTCTGTACTCCCATAGCACCCTGGGAATAGCTATGATTTTGCTGAATTCTTACCTTTATTTACTTATAGCCTTCCTGGCCTTATTGAATTGTAAGCCCCTCTAGGACAAAACACTTTACTTATCCATCAGTGTGTCCCAAGTGAAGCACCGATGCTCCATAAATGTTTGTTGAACAAATCTGTAGATAATACTGGTGGAAGAAATGTGTGTAAGATGTTTTTGAGGGTACCTCAACAGTCCCCATCTGTCTTTACTTCTATGTGGCACTAGGAAAGTATTAAATCATTCTTGCATTAATCACCTATTTTTGAGATCCCTTTATGTTTTATTGTAAATGAAGATGACTGTGAAATATATTTTCTCCCTAAATTACTCAAACTGTTTTGTGAATCTTAATTCTCCTCATATATAGTACTGCTATCTAAAAAACAGCAAGATACATATTAATAGTCTACTAAAGGTTCATACCAATGTTGCCACAGGAGTTTTAAAATGAAGCAGAAAATATATTTCCTGCCCACAGGGACAATGCAATGTAGAAGTTAGCTCCAGCTTGGCTAAATCTCTGCAAACATAAATGATACAGACATGTATATCCTATTAAGATTATTGATGTATCAAGATACACACAGTGAAAGAATGTCTGAAGTAATTAGACCCAGGTGGATCTAGTTTGGCAGGTTTCTAAGAGGTGAATCAAGTAGAAACTTGAAGGAGGGTAGTATGGTTTTATAGATTTAAGAAAGGAAGTGTAGTGAGAACATACCAGCACACTTAAAACCACATGGAGAATAATGTGAAATGTTTTCTTTTTTTTGACTTTAGTACTTATAACAAGTCACAAAGTTGTATATAGTAGTTTGACCTACTACTCTGAGACAAACTCATAAAAGTCCATTTTCTTTGTCAAGTAGGCCAGGCATGGGCTTAATTGTTATTTTTGTTGCCCCACTGTTTGTATTTCTGCAAAGTGAAGTCTCACATCTCTTTCTACCTCTGCTGTGGTCAGCTTTCGCTCCCTTTTCTTCTTTTCTCTCCTTTCTTGTTTTATCAGTATTATTTGGATTTTTGTTCAGGAACTCCTAGAAATCACTGCTTGCACTTCCAGTATCTTATTAGTTTGTTTCACTTTAACAATCTCTTTTTGAAACAAGGAAATGAGGCATATAAGTATTTTGGCGTCAAATGTTAAATTTAACAAATATAGATACTTATAAATGTGGAGGATATATGAATTCACTATTTTCACATAATGGAACTTATTTTAAATGCTCATCATATAGCATAATATGTCTTACATAGTAGAAAAAATAATTTGAATGAGAAAACATGATTAGTGTCAAGATGTGGTAGCTATTTTTGACAAAATTTTAGATTGGAGTCTTTCCCAAGGGGCCATTATAAACTTGATTTGAATAAACCAAAGTCTTCCCTAAAGAAACTCCAATTTTCTATTTTGTTGAAAAGTTTCATTTACATAATCTTCTCATAAAGCATTATCTGCAACTTGAGTGAAATGGTGAAGTGGCATCACGTAACGCTAACAGTATAAATTTATCTGAGTTGAAACATTAAGACCATCTCTCCAGTTTATGTCTTTACATAAAATCAGGGTTAGAAACAGGATAAATGAATTCTACAGACAAAACCTGAGGCAATAAAATAAATAAAGAAAACTCACCCTGTTGTGCTTTCACCTGGCCTTTCCCTCCGCCCCCCCCCCCCCGCCCCATATACTCAGTGTTATAAAACATCTAATCTGGATTTTATTCCTTCCCTTTTTCAAGAGAGGATAGAATCTGGGATTCATTCTCTGGCACGCTGCTTATCAGGAAAAGACAGGATTATATAAAAGTCTAAGCATTGCTCTCTTTTTTCCAAACTCTCTTTGGTCTGAAATTCCAATTACATCCGCAACTCACAAGTAATTTGTGTTGCTTCTTAACAATTATTTCCTTGTTTTCTATGCAGAAACTTTTCAATCAATTAGAAACAATAGTACAAATGAGCAATTGTACTATGATTGGCAAAGTGTTTCTTGTATTTATTCCCAGGAGGGAGACATTTGACTATTCACCCAGAATGTGATGAGAACAATCAGAATTACATACAGCTTTATCACTGCATTAATAAAGGAATAAAAAACAAATGTTGATCCTATATATAAATAATAGATAATAAAAAGTCAGTAGTTAGTGAATGTTTACTATGTACCAGATGCTGTTTTAACTAGAGGCTTTACCTATGTTATCTCTTCCTATGGGACAGATACTCTATGAAGTAGCTACCCTTCTCATCTCTGCTTCATAGGTAGGGAATATGAGGCTTTGGAGTTTGTCACCTTCTCAGTGATCTTAGCTGTTGAGGAGGAGAGCTGGATTTGAGGCCATGACCATCTGACTTCAGAACTTAACACTTCTAAACAGAAGTTTATGTTATTTTGTATCTTCATATTCCAAATCCCAAAAGATGTTTACTGTTAAAGAGTGCTTAAATCATTTATTCTATTAAGTTCTCTATAATTTCAATTAAAGCAGAGTTTAATAACTTTTGAAACATAATTCAATAAGGAAACAAAAACAAATGGGCAAAGCTATATGTTAGAATGTTTCAAGTGTTCAAATGGACTTTTTCACTTGCAAACATATTTCAAATACTTTTTATTGACATTTCACATAATATATCTACACCAATCTCTTTAGTAGTCTCCACAATAAAACTGCTTGTTGTTCTGCTTTGAGCTTCTGCTCATCTTATATTTAATTATTCTCTCTCTGCCCTTTTAATCCATCATCTCTTTCATCCTCTCTCCATCATCTAGAAATTCATTTAAATACTTTACTTCCTATGGATTTCTTCCAGGGATGAAGTTTATTTCCTTTCTATGTATTATTTAAAAATAGACTAAAATAGACTTTATTTTATAGATGAAGTTTATTTCCTTTCTATGTATTATTTAAAAATAGACTAAAATAGACTTTATTTTATAGAACATTTTTACATTTATGATAAAGTTGAGCAGAAAGTACAGAAACTTTCCATATAACACATGGTCCTCCCCACACACAGCCTCCCCCAATCTCAACATACCCCACTAGAGCGGTACATCTGTTACAATGAAGCTACTCTGACATATCATTATTACCCAAATTCCATAGTTTACATTAGAAATTATTCTTGGTGTTGTACATTCTATGAGTTTTGACAAATGTTTAACGACGTGTATCCACCATTATAGCATCATACTGAAGAGTGTTACTGATCTGAAAATCCTCTGTGCTCTATCAGCACTGTCTCCCAGCTAACACCTGACAGTCACTGATCTTTTTACTGTCTTCATGGATTTGCCTTTCTAAAGTATTATATTATTGGACTTGTACAGTCTGTAGGCTCTTTAGATTGGCTTCTTTCACTTAGCAATATACATGTAAGGTTCCTTTATATCTTTTCATGACTTAATAGCTCATTTCTTCTTAGTGTTCAATAATGTTTCATAGTCTGGACCAACTCTATCTGTTCACCTACTGAAGGACATCTTGGTTGCTTCCAAGTTTTGGCAAGCATGAATAAAGCTACTGTAAATATTTGTATGCAAGTTTTTGTGTGGACAGAGTTTTCAACTCCTTTGAGTAATTACCAAGGAGTTCCATTGCTGGATTTTGTGGTTAAAATACAATATTGATTCTTCCTATCCATGAACATGGATTTTTAAATTTGCGTTTGTAATCTCTGATTTCTTTGAGCAGTGTTTGCAGTTCTCCTTGTAGAAATATTTCACCTCCCTGGCTAGCAGATCATTTGAGATAGAAAACCAACAAAGATATTTAGGACCTGAACTCAGCACTGGATCAAATAGACCTGGTAGATATATACAGAGCTCTCCACCCCAAAATACCAGAATATACATTCTTCTCATTTCCACATGGCACATAGTCTAAAATCAAGCACATAATTGAAAGTAAAACACCCCTCAGCAAATACAAAAGAACTAAAATAACAACAAACAATCCCCATAGCACAATAAAATTAGAAATCAAGACTAAGAAGTTCATTCAAAACTATAAAATTCCATGGACATTGAATAACCCGCCTCTGAATGACTTTTGGCTAAATAATGAAATTAAGGTAGAAATCAAGTTATTTGAAACTAATGAGAACAAAGATACAACATACTAGAATCTTTGGGACACAGCTAAGGCAGTGTTAAGAGGCAAATTTATAGCACTAAATGCCCAAATCAAAAGATCTCAATTTAGCAACCTAACATCACAACTAAAAGAACTATAAACCAAGAGTAAACCAATCCCGAAGCTAGCAGAAGACAAGAAATAACCCAAATCAGGCCTGAATTGAAGGAGATTGAGACATGAAAAACTATTGAAAATATCAAAAACAAAAGCAGGGTTTGCTTTTCAATTAATATTTACATCATATGTCTCTACTTAGGCATTGCTACTTTATGTCTTTTGAGATTTAAAATATTCCTGTGTCTGAATATTGTTATATGAATGTAGCACATGTCTCATCCTCTGAACAAGGGCACTATTTTCATGATAAATTTCTGTATGAATTAATCCATGGTCCAGGTCCTCTGACTCGCTCAACCTCTGGTCCTACCATTGTGACCCTCAGGAGTGCTGATTACCCTTTTTCTACTCTGGAATAAGGATGCAGACATCACTTTCTCTTAATTCCCTTTAAAATAGATGAGGGTATAAGTTTTAATAAGAATTTATGGGAAGAATTTTGGACACAATGACAGAAAGCAAGCAAAGGCTACTGTTTGCAGTCAGGGAGGATTGCAGAGTTTTCAGACTTTTACCAATTCTTCCAGGTAGTTCACCATCTTAATGTAGAAGTAAACACCAAAAAATGAGACTCCCATCCTTCTCAAGACCTGGCATCTTTTTTGTGTTGGGACAGGGAGAAAGGTAGAGGTACGACATGTATTACTCCAATTACTACTGTTTTTAAGTTGTAACTGCTTATGTGACTGATAGTACTTTATAAAAATTTTATTTATTTTGGGTGCCTGAGAGTCTCACAGGATGACTCTATGAAACTTCTGCAGGATCATTCTGCTTAATATTACCCTCAACTAAGAAATTCTAATTTGACTCAACCACATCCACTCTCCTATGGCTTTTCTTCCCACCTCCCCCTTGGTGCTTGCTGCTGGGATTTTTGCCGCTTGGATTTTCCTTGAATTTTTGATGGGATTATTTCAGCAGAGCTACCACTCCTGATGGCCACTGGCTCCATGCAAAACTCATAAGCATCTTGCTCTGCTCTAGGAACTGTCATTTCTCTCTGTTCTGACATGAAAAGGGGGCAGATCAACAAACAATAACACAACTCATGTAGATGTCAACCATGGAAGGGAACCCTAGATTCTTCCTTGATGGGCTTCCTTGCCTTCCTTTTCCCTTGATAAACTCATCCACAAAACACTACCTTTCCAAGTGGCAAATCTAAAGACTCATCCCCTTTCTTGATTTTCTTAGAGTGAGGATGGATTAATGACTGCAGGACCAATTTTTTTTTTTTTGCCATATATACACATATGTATGTATGTGTGTATATATATATATATTTTATATATATAAAACTTTAAGCTCTGGGATACATGTGAAGAACATGCAAGTTTGTTACATAGGTATACATAGTGGTTTGCTGCATCTATCAACCTGTCATCTACTTTAGGTATTTCTCCTAATGCTATCCCTCCCGTAGCCCCCTACCCCCAACAGGCCCTGGTGTGTGATGTTCCCCTCCCTGTGTCCATGTGTTCTCATTGTTCAACTGCCACTTATGAGTGAGAACATGTGGTGTTTGGTTTTCACTTCCTGTGTTTGTTTGCTGAGAATGATGGTTTCCACCTTCATCCATGTCCCTGCAAAGGACATGATCTCATCCTTTTTTATGGCTGTGTAGTATTCCATGGTGTATATGTGCCACATTTTCTTTATCCAGTCTATCATTGATGGGCATTTCGGTTGGTTCCAAGTCTTTGCTATTGTGAATAGTGCTGCAATAAACATACATGTGCATTCGTCTTTATAGCAGAATAATTTATAATTTGGGGGGGTATATACCCACTAATGGGGTTGCTGGCTCAAATGGTATTTCTGGGTCTAGATCTCTGAGGAATCACCATATTGTTTTCCACAGTGGTTGAATTCACAATTGCTACAAAGAGAATAAAACACCTAGGAATATAACTTACAAGAGATGTGAAGGACCTCTTCAAGGGGAACTACAAACTGCTGCTTAGGGAAATGAGAGAGGACACAAACTAATGGAAACGCATTTCAGGCTCCTGGATAAGAAGAATCAATATTGTGGAAATGTGCATACTGTCCAAAGTAATTTATTGATTCAATGCTATCCCCATCAAGCTACCATCGACTTTCTTCACAGAATTAGAAAAAACTACTTTAAATTTCATATGGAACCAAAAAAGAGCCCGTATAGTCAAGACAATCCTAAGCAAAAAGAGCAAAGCTGGAGGCATCATGCTACCTGACTTCAAACTATACTACAAGACTACAGTAACCAAAACGGCATGGTACTGGTACCAAAACAGATATATAGACCAATGGAACAGAACAGAGCCTCAAAAATAACACCACACATCTACAACCATCTGATCTTTGACAACCCTGACAAAAGCAAAAAATGGGGAAAGGATTTCCTATTTAATAAATGGTGTTGGGAAAACAGGCTAGCCATATGCAGAAAACTGAAACTGGACCCCTTCTTTACACCTTATACAAAAATTAACTCAAGATGGAATAAAGACTTAAACATAAGACCTAAAACCATAAAAACCCTAGAAGAAAACCTAGGCCATACCATTCAGGACATAGCCATGTGCAAAGACTTCATGACTAAAACACCAAAAGCAATGGCAACAAAAGCCAAACTTGACAAATAGGATCTAATTAAACTAAAGAGGTTCTGCACAGCAAAAGAAACTATCATCAGAGTGAACAGGCAACTTACAGAATGGAAGAAAATTTTTGCAACCTACCCATCTGACAAAGGGCTAATATCCAGAATCTACAAGGAACTTAAACAAATTTACAAGAAATAAAACAAACATTCCCATCAAAAAGTGGATGAAGAATATGAACAGACACTTCTCAAAAGAAGACATTTATGCAGCCAGCAAACATGAAAAAAAGCTCATCATTACTGGTCATTAGAGAAATGCAAATCAAAACCACAATGAGATAGCTTCTCACTCCAGTTCGAATGGTGATCATTAAAAAGTCAGGAAACAACAGATGCTCGAGAGGATGTGGAGAAATAGGAATGCTTTCACACTATTGGTGGGAGTGTCAATTTTACAATTTCTAAGCCTTGGGCAAAGATGACTAGACCCAAATGTGTGAAGGCTACTCTAGAATGTGGGTTTTTTTAAAGCCCCTGTTATTTTCTGATTTTGGCACAAATCTGAACAACTTAAACTTCAGTGGTTGAAATCGTCTGATCATTCTCCACATAACTGACTCGGTTTCTGATATTCTTCTCATCTTGCATTTACTAGCATGTTTCCATCCCATTCATTTTCAGATTTTAATAGATCAATTTCCTAAGGTGTAAGATCACTGAGTTTTTGTATGTCATTCATACTTAGACATAATATCCTGAGATTTTTACTGTAATCAAATTGTTTTATTGCCTTTTCATAGGCACTATATTATTCCCTTTCCTTAGACATTTAATGTTTAAGAATAAGTAAAATACCTTTCTTTTTGTGCAGCCCATATTCTCCCAAATAGAGTAATTATGCATTTATTTCCAAGTAATACTTTCATTATTTTTTCTAAAAGTATTGATAATTGGTTTGTAAAATTTATTATCTAAATTCTGATAATATGATTTCTTCAGAAGGAGAATTTTCCAACTAACCATTTCCAAAGCATTGTAATCCCAAATTAACTTTGAAAATAGATATATTCAAAATAAGAAAGAAAAATTTCACAGGGGCATGGGCTACATAAAAATGTGAAATTTGTATTACCGTTTTATGAAGTATTATCTTCTCAGTATAATTATTTAAATGAAATGGCTAGACCTTAATGTAATAAAAGAAAGAACACTTTGTGTGAGAGACTAAATTTTGTCACATGGGAAAAATACCATATAACACACTTCACTAAACAATTTAGTGTTGAGGCGTTTCATCTGAATTACAGAAGCAACAGAATTCTAACTTTGCTTTACTTGGAGTTTGGTCCTAACAGGAATTTGAGTCATTCAGCTCAGCTATCAATGTGTGTTCTCTCTTTCTCTGAACACTGTAAGATTTTGTTTTTGCTCACTAATCATTATTCTTCCCACTTACTAGAAGTTGAATCAATAGACTTTCTTCTCTATGTGGATTTGAAAAGTGAATCCAGATTCCAACAAATGCTTTGTACAACCAAGGATTTCTAGAGCATGACTATGTTAAATACAGGGCAGCTTTAAAATTGATCCCGACCCTTGTAAAGCTTAGAAATTATTTAGAATGCCTTGAAGATAGGCAATCTATAATTAAAAGGCTCTGTTCTTAATGAAAATAACCATTACAGCATATTTACGAAAATAACTAAATTAAATATTAATTCAGACATTATAACAGTATAGCCACTAGTGGTATAAAAAGGGAAAATATATATAACCATATATAATTTTAGCAACATTATTATTGTTTCTTGGACGTGCTCTTTATAGTCAAATGTGATAAAAGTTTGGGAATTTGAAGAATCTGAAAAATCATGTTAACTTAGAAGCACTTCACTGTCTGTGACCTGTGAGATTTTTTTTCTGTTATCTTTATCTAAGAAAGAAATTGAGTATTATATATGCATTATTGAAAAAATATGATTTCTTGTGCCTTTTAATAAGAGCTCTAAATTACATGAATAACTTGTGAACAGTATTTCATATTCATCATTTTACTTGATCTTTTTTATTGATATTAACAATAATATCTAATATTGTAAAAATATTTACTAAGTTCTAGACAGTTGACAAAGAAAATTTTAGTTTCAAAAAGCATCGTAACTACCATGAGGCATCGATGTCTATTTTATACTGTTCATTTACTTCTAGAAAATAGTGAAACTAGAATTCGTTCCCACATTTATGCTTCCCAATACACTTTATTTCCTTCCAATATTTCTCAGAAGAAGGCAGAGTAATTATTACTGACCATTCAACAGATAAGCTCTATGGTTAGCAAGATTTCACAGGCTTTGGATAAACAGTTTAATTCAGTTTCTGCTACATCTCAATATTACCTTCCTTCAGTTGTGCAGACATGGGTGTGAGGGAAGGTACAACTTAGATTGAAAATCTCAAATCTTTTATGGCAATAAGAAAGGAATGTAAATAACAGTATCAAAAGACAAATATAGCTACTTCACATGTGTAGAATTTGAAAGAAGATTCATGTGGGAAGGCCTTTATTCATCCATCTTATGAGTTGTTAGTAGAGAAATTTTGGTAAACAGTGACATTTTGATTACTTAAGTTCATTTTTTTAAATTCATTTTTTTCCTCACATTTTTTAAGGACTATCACATTAGAATCACAAAACTTATTTCCTTAACTTTTTTTTCTTTTTAAATTTCCTCTACAGTATAAACATCAACTACTGTGCAGCTGCTTTGGAAAACTTTGGATGAGCAAACAAAAGCCACTTATTTCCTACTTGCTCTTACAGCTTATAATATAGTATAATAATATCATGTCTATTTTCTTTTTCCATTTCATTATACAATGACACCATTGTTTTTATACAATAAGAAACATAATACTATGCTGTGCATTTTTCCTTCTAGAAGGCTAGTAGAATATAAATGTTATTTAACAATGAAAAGAATTGTCTTAAGAAAAAAAGTCTTTTACATTTTCTGTGACAACAATCATAAAAGAAAAGCAATGTAGTTACAGCAGCCATTAAAGAGATTTTTCCCTTTTACTTTAGATTTTTGTAACAAAGAATAAAGACACGCTCTTAGCACACTTTAGAATGTATTCTGATATTCTGTATTTAATAGGTATATCTTGCTTTATCCATTTATCTTTTGTGTTGTCCTGTAAGAAGGCATAATGTACTGTATTCAGCCTGTTGTGAGTAGCATAAAACCAGGAAGGCAGAGGTCCCAGGATGCTGAAATATAAAACATGTAATCTCAGTAATGTTGCTGTTGTTGTTGTTTTTATTTTTACTTTGAACACACCCTTGCAGTGCAGGCACTTTCCATCATTTCCTCCTTTGCTCCTTGAGGTCCACAGGGGGCCATGTGGAGTGGAAAAAGCGGTGGGGATGAGCTCAAAATCTTGGGTTAATTTCAGACTTAGTCATTACATTCTTTGAAAACTTTTGAAGGGAATATTTGTGCATAGACCTTGTTTTATTCCTGGTTTCTCAGAATACTTGGTAAGAATAAGGACTAAATAAGTATTTCTTGAGTGAATAAGCACATGAGCTCAGACAAATTGTTATCTGCGTCACAGATTCCTCAGTCCAAAAATGGAATTAATACTATCTGAAACATTAGAATAAATTATATGTGTGTGTGGTTTGTCCATGTATTTACATAAAACATTTTATATTTTAAGTTATAAAGTGCCCATGGAAAGATAAAGGATTACTATTACTTGTGTTAATACTGGAATCCTTGTTGAAGACACTTCGTGGGGAAAATGAGTACCTTAGGATATTCACTTGCTATGGAAAACATCAAAAAGCAGTATATCCAAAGTAAAGGTTATTAATACAAAAAGTGAGAAATGTCACTATGCTTTTAGCTTGTGATAAATCTCCCCGGCCTAAACATCTGTTCCCTGAGTGGTAAGTTGCATAGCATTTAATGTTGTCAATAGAATCTGCAAGAAGAAAAATTCAGTGTTTTTACACATCAGAGATGTTCCTCTCACAGTGCACTGCCATTTAATACTGATGTCAATCAGAAACTTATTTTTTAAAAGTTGTGAATTTAACAATGGAATCATTCTCAGCCTTAGGAAACTCACAGTGATTTAGCAAGTCAAGGATGGGGCAGTAAGAGAAGCTCATCTATGGTATAGGCAATTATGAGCACATTGTTTATAAAGAATTTAAAAACAATAATAAAACTTGATGAAAAATGGTCTGCTTTTTATTAACAGCATGCTACAAGTGAGTGATAAAATTTTCTCCCAGAAAAATATTTGTGTTGTTCTAAGTTCTAAACAATGTTCAGTTACTATTGAGTTTTCATAATATATATGTAAGCTTCAAATTAGCACATTTTAAAATTACTTGTCCTTTAGTAAACATTGTATTCTATGTGGAATTTAATTTAACTCTCAGTTATGCAGCCAAGCCCTGACACATGCATTTGTTACTAGAGTAAGTTGATAAAACTTTGGAATTATCTGAGCTCTCTCCAAGCACAGCTCATGACTCCATTTAAACAACAGAGAAGAAATAAACGGTAATAGCCCATTGATTGTAAAATGAAGGAAAAAAAAAAACTTGAACTGTTTTAATTCTGTCATAATATGTGGTCACCTGGGGTTTTATACCTGAAGTTGCTTAAATTATTTGAAGCTCTTAGAATTGATCCCAAAGAAACAAAGACATAAGGCAATATTGCACTTTCTGGTATTTATCATAAAGTGGGATTTTTATCATTCTACGCAAAATTTACCCTGTTTAGACTTTTTTCAAATGTGCATATAAGATGTATTATTTGAGATAATCTTTTTTTGAAATTAGAATTATTCAAAAATGTTGGTCAATCAGTTATGAACAGTGATAGAGTTACAGATTTCATTATATTGTCTACATTTTAAGAAAATTAATTTTAGTCTTTAATAAATTTGCAGATTAAGACTTCAAAACAAAATTTTAAAACTTTATAATTTTTTCAGTTGCAGATCAATACATGTGTAATATATTTCTCCCTTTAAAAATAGAGTAGCATAATTAAAAAATGCTACTCTGATCTTGTTCCTCTTTTTGTACTGTAATAACTCTAAATTATTCTATGATTTTTACTAACATTATTATACATATGAAGTTCAGTAAAGTAAAAACCTTTATGTTTTATTCTCTCTTTCTGGCCATTATAATTATTCTTGTATTTTATAATTATTACTTGATAATGACGTACTCAGAGTGCCACTTATATTTGGCCTGCTATTGATGATGGTATCTGACCAACAGATTGTCACATGAAGAAAAGAATGTTGAAGCCAGGTCCATCTCTTTTCAATCCACATGGAAGAAACTTTAAATATTAGAGAAATTTGGTTTTCAACTTAGCCTTACATGGTTGGTAGGAAAATAAATTTAAACATTTAACTCTTTGTGTTTTCATAATGAAGTGTGTAAATTTGGGATGACATTGAGATAATTGAAAGGTAAACGTTCCCCTAATGTTGGTATTAGAATTTCTGTTCATTAAAATACACTATTAATTGTCTTAACAGCTCCAGACTGGAGGAAGATATTTGCAATACATGTAAATACAAAAGGATTCATGTCTAGAATGAAATATAAATCCATAATCCAGAAGTCAATAGAAAAGACCGAAGGACAATTAAAAGCTGAGAAAAAAACTTAAACAGGATATCCAACTGGGATTGAACATGTATTCAATGTCAGTCATATAAGGAGAATTTAAATTAAAACCACAAAGTGATATTATCATGAACTCACTAGAATAACTTAAACTAAAAGAAAATAAAAGATACTGACAGTACTTACTCCATTATTGGTAAAAATGCAGAATAGCTGAAATTCTCAAATACTTTGGTAAATACATAAGCATAAATTTCTACAACACTTGGAACATAGTTTGATATTATCTACTGAAGTTAATCATATGTATTCTCTGTGAACAAGTAATTTCTTACAAAAATAACATAGAAACTTAATTCATGATAGCCAGGAACTGTCAGCAATCCAGTTATTCGTCAAGGTTAAAGTAAGTGAATTATCTATGGTATATAAACATAATTGAATACTATACATCAATGAAAATAAGTAAACTACTGCTACATGCAACGAGGTGTACATATCTCACAAGCAAAACATACATGAAATATATAAAGAATATATAAAAAATTTCTACACAATTTATATAACTAGAAAAAAATAATATATAATGTTAGAAATCAGAATAGCACTTAATTTGGGGTAAAGTATTGGTGTTGAAAGATATGTTAAGTAGGACTTTTGGTCTGCTGGTAATATTCAACTCCTTAAAGTTTTCTATATGCATGTTACCTTCAATAAAAAGATTTTAATTAAAATAAATTATACCATATTGCTTTTAGTACAATTTTAATCATAGAGCAAATCTAAACAAGGACAGCACTTGCATGGCAAAGCCACACAAATTATATCTCCAATCTATAATCACACTAAACATAAATTGACCTTTACAGCAACCTCTGGCATAATGTACTTGTGTAGACTTTTATATTTTATTAAAAAATATTTTTAATATAAAGGTCATTAATAAGCAATTTAGGTAAAATTGGATTTAGAGATTGAGGCGAAAAATCTAACTATTACATTTGTTTCTTGGATGGCAATTTAATATCTTATTCACAACTAAATCATTATCTGACACAGAATTACTAGATTGCCTAGTGGAATTACCAGTTAAAGAGATGTAAAGAATACATGTGTTACATTATTCTTAACAATGTCTTGAAATGTACATTAGAGACGATTGCTTTGCCAGACACATAATAATGCTTTTAAATCAAGAATCTATTGAAGGTTTTATTATACCTGCACTATTATAAAAGGACTAGCCTTTTTAAAAAAATTAGATAGGCCTATTTGTTATATATCAAGTTTATTTTTTCCTAACAAACCACAAGTAAACTGGCAAATTCTCTGGGTAAAAAAATCCCTAAATCTTCACCAGAGACAGAGGATAAGAGAATGGCAGTAATGCAATATAATAGCAAGAAGTATTAACATCTGCCTTTCTTTTTTACTTACTAAGGTTTTACAGGGTTTTTAATATTCATAAAAGCCAATTTTATAATTACCTCAAATGATATATAAAATGTCATCAAATATAAAATCACTGCAAATTACTGGTGGTTTGAAATTAAAGCCCCACACAAATGTTGCCTAAATAAATGTATCTACATTTAGTCAAAATTTTAAAACATGGAAACCGAAGTTTACTAACCAGAAAAATTAAATTCTGAACGGCTTGAAGGATATCTTAACCAAGTAGGTTAATAAACTTTGTCCTTTTATCAAACAAGAGATTTTTCAGGACAATGTCTTTACAATATTAATTCTTCAATCGTTTTAATATTATAATTCTACATAAAAATAAGCTCAGCTTATTTTTTCCCATAATGTCAGATACTGATTATGAATTATTTATATGGAAATTATGGAGTTTTTGTGTATTTACATTTCTCAAAATCTGAAAAAATGTATTGAAATATGGGAATGAAATTTGAATAAACATTAAAGTTTTTAAAAATTCTAGGGCATTAATTGCATATGGTCTCCATTATCAAATTAATGTAATTTGTCTATTAGTTAATCAATAAAAGATACAGAAGTAATCATAGAAGGATTATTATCTAGGTGAAGGATTGTTGCCCAACCATCTTTCAGGGTAACTGAGCATGCCTGGGGCCCAGGTTACCTGATACTTGCTCTCAGGCTGCCTCACTTTTTCGCTCACACTCTGTTTGTAACTTTATGATGTCCCATTGAGAATGCACCTAAAACCCACCCTGTTCAACTCACAGAGCTGATTTGCATCCAAATTACTGATATTTTAGCCTCTAGAAGTTAATCTCAAATGTTTGTGCTCAGCAGCCATTGGTTCCCACAAAAATGCCATGTAAGAGAATTTTTTAAAGCTTCAACATTATGTACTTTAGGAACATGAACTTTATTTTAAAAGCCTGTACATTTGTAACTAGTTCTTAGGATACCGCCTTAGAAATAACTACCCAATAGCCAGTGGTGGCGGCTCACATATGTAATCCCAGCACTTTAGGAGGCCGAGGTGGGCAGATCACCTGAGGTCAGGAGTTGGAGGCCAGCCTGGCCAACATGGTGAAACCCCATCTCTCCTAAAAATAGAAAAATTAGCCAGGAGTGGTGGCACGTGCCTATAATCCCAGCTACTCAGGAGGTTGAGGCAGGAGAATCGCTTGAACCCAGGAGGTGGAGGTTGCAGTGAGCTGCGATCACACCATTGCACTCCAGCCAGGGGACAACAGTGAAACTCCATCTCAAAAATAATAATAATAATAATAATAATAATAATAATAATAATTTTATATTCTGGGTGATCTTACTTGTTCTAGGAGTATTTTTGTAGATTCCTTTTGGTTTTCTCCATAAACAATCATCGCATCTGTAGCTATATAGTTTTATTCCATTCTTTTGAATTGTTATGCCTTTTATTTCTTTTTAGGCCCTATTTCAGTGACTACAACTTCAGTATTTTATTAAAAAAGAGTGTTGACAGTTGACATCTTTGCCTTGTTCCCGATTTTAAAGCGGCAGCATTTCCACTTTCACTATTAAGTATGTTGCTAGTGGGAGGTTTTTAACGGCCAGGCTGGCCAACATGGCAAATCCCCGACTCTAGTAAAAATACAAAAAATCAGCCTGGTGTGGTGGTGCACACCCGTAGTCCCACCTACTCAGGACGGTGAGGCAGGAGAATTGCTTGAACGCTGGGAGGCGGAGGTTGCAATGAGTCAAGATGACTCCACTGCACTCTACACTCCAGCCTGGGTGACAGAGAGAGACTCCGTCTCAAAAAAAAAAAAAAAAAAAAAAAGCTACCCAGAGTAATAATTTACTCTATATTCAATGTTGACTTATAATATCACTTTTAGTTCTAAAATATAGGTATTTTTCTGTTTCTACATTGTTTAATCAACAGTTTTTTTTCCTTGAGTATAGTTAAGCTAATCTGTTTTACAGATGAATATTAATTATCTTATCCACTCCAGTAAGAACCTATATAATTGAAAATTCACCGAATTCAGGATTCAATTCCTTGCTCTGTTATTTGTTTGTGTGTTCAGTTGCATGATTTGTGGGTTGATAGGGTTTGAGGGGCTCCATTTGTCCAGAGTTGCTTCTGGTGATAGGTGCCTGCTTTTAGTGTCATAAGAGTCAGAAGACCCCTTCATTCAATAGCTCAGCAATTCTGTCCTTAGCTGCTACAGCCACTTTTCACTGAACACTGGCCAAAAGTGAAGCCAACAACCTGGCTTAAGCATTTAGTTGGATACAGGACATTTCCTTTATTGTTTTGCTTTTCATTATGTCTTTAGCTGTGCAACAAAATTTCCTGTAGGCCTTTATTATTCTCTTTGGAAGTGAAGAAATGTCACGTAAAAGCAGTCAACTGACCTTCGTAACACCGCTCCAGTCATTGTAGTTGTTTCTATAAATGTAATAAATAAAGGCCGTAATAAAAAAAAAAAAAGGCCTTGAAAGTGAGTTTATTTGAAAGTCGTATTTTTTTGTCTTAGTATTAATACTAATATGTAAAAGCCAAGTGAAAATATTCTCGGTTTTAGAAAAACAAAGATATTCACGGGAAACAAATTTGTCCAAAAAAGAAAATGTAATAGTTTAAAATATTCCTTTTGATACCAAATTGGGGTATTACAATGCTTTATCTCTTATTCTATCACAACTGGCATCATGGAAAGACAAATTTAGAATTATATATTTTCTAGCCATTACATAAGTATGATGAGGGAAAAAGTTCATTTTTTCATATTATGGAATATCGCTGTTTTAAAAATGTACTTCTAGTTCCATCAACCACACATTCAGAAATATTACATAAACGTCTGGTTCAAATGAAAGTTTATATTAAGAAAGAATAGTCTGTAATTAAAGAAGCAATTTAAAAAGCCTTGATTTACTACAGTTTCCAAAATCATATCTCCATGACTTAGATTCCAGTGTCTTAAAAATATTTAATCTATCAATTATATTCCTTAATGAAATACTTGGTATTGTTATATTTATAGATTTTTGTTAATTTTAGAATAAAAAATAAAAAAATAAAGTTTTTAAAAACTTGCCTTTTAAAAACAATTATCAAGTTTAAAATATGCTATAATTCTAATCATTTCAAGCATACCTCATTATATTCTAAAATTTCAAAATATGCTTGGGTCACAAAAACTTTGATATTTACTGTATTACCTACATTAACCAAATATTAATTTATTATTCCTAGTGAAAATTGGTGCATCTTTAACAAAAGATTCCTAGTAGATGGTTAGTGAATACTTTTTTTTCTGTTTAATTTTCTTCCCCTTTGTAAATACAGAATCGTAATCAAGAAATCTCTTGCATGGAAATTGTTTGCTATTGGGAAATAAGAGTATATCTTATTATCCTGAAATTTACTAACGGGAAAGTAAAGGATTATTATTTTGTTGGTGAAATGGATAGCTCCAATACCCTGACACAGTGTAAGAAAAAGTGTGGGAAAAAATAAATCTGTATAATATGTTGGTTTTGTTTGTTTATAGTTTTGATGGTAATAACTTGCTTTATTTAATTTTTAGTTTCAAGTTAATCAACTCAAGGAATTAAGTATTTTTAAAAATATCATTATACATTTGCACACCTATATAAGAGGACCATCAAAAAACTTATCACAATATATTATCAGATTTGAAAATAAATATTTTATTAATATCCCTAAACATCAAAACTTTAAAAAAAATTTGTAATTGGGATCTAAATGAGATCAATGTGTTCAAATTTTGAATTGCTTATGTTTAATGATTGATATTTAATTATATATTTTTATACTATCTGTTTTTCTTTTACAATTTATTTTTTGATAAAAATGTGAATTGTTTGCTTGGTAGAGTTTCCCAAAATGTGGATTTCCTAATTGAGTCCTGTCATTTTATTGAAAACATTTCTTCAAACATTATATTACCTGAAAGTTGAGCAGGTAAATCTTGAGGCTTAATCAGATTTTGGGTGAGAGGCTTCATAATGGTAGGGTATAATTTTTAAATATAACCGTAAAGTAGAGTTGGGGAAATAGATAGTAAATCATCATGATTATATTATCCTTATGAGTGAGAGCTGATTGTTACTCTCAGTGCTAATAAAGTTTTTTTTTTCTTTCTGATGAGAATCACTGTAAGTTATCCTGTTGCAAGTAATTTGGAGGAGACACAAAATTTTCTTCTCTTTGGGGCTGCCATTGTTTAGATGCCAAGATGCTGTCACTGGGGAGACTTGAGCAGAGCTTTGACCGCTGAAACCTGTTAAGTAGTGAGTCACAGTGAGCAGTGCTAAGCTACACTTGATATTGTCTCCTTAATTTTTTGGGTAATGTTTGTTTCATGCTGTCATGTAATAAACTTTCAGGAATTAAAGACAAACCTTTGTCAACTCTTGGTGCAAAGTAGTATTGGGCATTCCTTTTGTCATTTCCCAACTACTAACTGAGTTTCTATAATGAGCTAGGCACTGTGTTAGGAACTGGTAGTTTTTAAGAATTAGCGAAAATGGGCAGGGTTCCTGTTTTCATGACATTTGTGTTCAAATGAAGAAGACGGATGTTAGTCAAATAACCTTCCTAATTAATGTATCACTACTAGTTGAGAGAGTGCTGTAGAAGGAAAATAAAAATATTATTTAATGAATCATTAAGTGAAGGAACTAAATCTCAAGATAAAGTAAGAGGTAATGAAGACAGTCCAAGGCTGGACACGTTTTGGAGATGATAAATTCCCATTAGGATATATTTGTAGAACATGCAAATGTTTCCCAAGTTATTTCAGACACTAGTTGAAAAAGGAAACCCAAAAGAAAAGCTGAAAAGACATCTGTGAGATGTAGGCCTCACAATCTTTGCATTAGACATTGAATAAAAGGATCACCCCTGAAAATAAGAAGTAGAAGCTATTCAGTTGCTATTTCAACACTGTAAAGCACAGGCAATCTCTTCCTTCTTGTTTGCCCTGATGGTCCACACAGGAAACAATATGTAAACAGAGAACTACACCTAGTTACACAAAGTTTTGACTTCTGGATGGGTGCCGATATTACTTTAACTGCTGTCTGCAATACAAACCAAATGGTATATTGATTGCATGAATTTCACCAGTATGAGGCCAACGAACTTGCTTTGTCTAGAAATACAGAAAAAGAGGCCACATGTAAGGTAACCACAAATAATCATGTACAAAACTATGAACACAAGCTGAATAGACTTAAAAATACAATTTTCCCTATACTATAAAGTATTTCTCTACATCAGCAATTCTTTATGTATGAGAGAGAGCCATCAAAGGCACTTTAATAAAAAATCATAATTTTGGGACGCTAGGGGGCAATAAATGGGAAACAGAAGAAATAGGAAGACAAAACATAGGAAATAATTTATGGAGAAAAAGAAAACAAAAGAACAACTTTTTACTTAGAAAATTTTGCAGTCTGATATTTGCCTTGCTCACATGGACCATTATTCAGAGAAGATCAGTGATGACAGATTTGTCTTTATTATGGGCAGAACGTAATGTCAAGCAGCTGAACAACTACACTTCTTTTTTTTTTTAAATTTTATTATTATACTTTAAGTTTTAGGGTACATGTGCACAATGTGCAGGTTTGTTACATATGTATACATGTGCTATGCTGGTGTGCTGCACCCATTAACTCATCATTTAGCATTAGGTATATCCCCTAATGCTATCCCTCCCCCCTCCCCCCACCCCACAACAGGCCCCAGAGTGTGATGTTCCCCTTCCTGTGTCCATGTGTTCTCATTATTCAATTCCCACCTATAAGTGAGAACATGCAGTGTTTGGTTTTTTTGTTCTTGTGATAGTTTGCTGAGAATGATGGTTTCCAGCTTCATCCATGTCCCTACAAAGGACATGAACTCATCATTTTTTATGGCTGCATAGTATTCCATGGTGTATATGTGCCACATTTTCTTAATCCAGTCTATCATTGTTGGACATTTGGGTTGGTTCCAAGTCTTTGCTATTGTGAATAGTGCCACAATAAACATACGTGTGCATGTGTCTTTACAGCAGCATGATTTATAATCCTTTGGGTATATACCCAGTAATGGGATGGCTGGGTCAAATGATATTTCTAGTTCTAGATCCCTGAGGAATCACCACACTGACTTCCACAATGGTTGAACTAGTTTACAGTCCCACCAACAGTGTAAAAGTGTTCCTATTTCTCCACATCCTCTCCAGCACCTGTTGTTTCCTGACTTTTTAATGATTGCCATTCTAACTGGTGTGAGATGGTATCTCATTGTGGTTTTGATTTGCATTTCTCTGATGGCCAGTGATGATGAGCATTTTTTCATGTGTCTTTTGGCTGCATAAATGTGTTCTTCTGAGAAGTGTCTGTTCATATCCTTTGCCCACTTTTTGATGGGGTTGTTTGTTTTTTTCTTGTAAATTTGTTTGAGTTCATTGTAGATTCTGGATATTAGCCCTTTGTCAGATGAGTGGGTTGCAAAAATATTCTCCCATTTTGTAGGTTGCCTGTTCACTCTGGTGGTAGTTTCTTTTGCTGTGCAGAAGCTCTTTAGTTTAATTAGATCCCATTTGTCAATTTTGGCTTTTGTTGCCATTGCTTTTGGTGTTTTAGACATGAAGTCCTTGCCCACGCCTGTATCCTGAATGGTATCGCCTAGGTTTTCTTCTAGGGTTTTTATGGTTTTAGGTCTGACATGCAAGTCTTTAATCCATCTTGAATTAATTTTTGTATAAGATGTAAGGAAGGGATCCAGTTTCAGCTTTCTACATATGGCTAGCCAGTTTTCCCAGCACCATTTATTAAATAGGGAATCCTTTCCCCATTGCTTGTTTTTGTCAGGTTTGTCAAAGATCAGATAGTTGTAGATATGCGGCATTATTTCTGAGGGCTCTGTTCTGTTCCATTGGTCTATATCTCTGTTTTGGTACCAGTACCATGCTGTTTTGGTTACTGTAGCCTTGTAGTATAGTTTGAAGTCAGGTAGCGTGATGCCTCCAGCTTTGTTCTTTTGGCTCAGGATTGACTTGGTGATGCATGGTCTTTTTTGGTTCCATATGAACTTTAAAGTAGTTTTTTCCAATTCTGTGAAGAAAGTCATTGGTAGCTTGATGGGGATGGCATTGAATCTATAAATTACCTTGGGCAGTATGGCCATTTTCACGATATTGATTCTTCCTACCCATGAGCATGGAATGTTCTTCCATTTGTTTGTATCCTCTTTTATTTCCTTGAGCAGTGGTTTGTAGTTCTCCTTGAAGAGGTCCTTCACATCCCTTGTAAGTTGGATTCCTAGGTATTTTATTCTCTTTGAAGCAATTGTGAATGCGAAACTACACTTCTTAAAGAAAATTAATCCTGACCTCTTCTAATTGGACTCCTCTCCTCTCTCCTTCTTAAATTCTTGTCTGGAGCTTGCAGTAAACGATAGCAGCCTTTATGGGATCTAATGGTCTGAGTCATTTTACATTCTCAACTCTTCCTGCTGATAGTGTTCATAAACACCTTTTGTAAGCATCAGTGTCTAGAATGGGATGATTCATCTGAAAACATGGTCATTTATTTCATTAAAAGCAGCTTAGGAATGATATATTATCATTTACCTATAACTGTTCCTTTCTATTACTACATCTTTTCTTTCCTGTCATACATTTCTCCAGGAATAATGGATGATGTTGGTATTACTAGTAAGGCTAATTTATCATAAATGAAAAAGATCATTAATATATATTATATATCTAACCACAAAAGTAGACATTCCTGTAATATGAAGGTATAATTCTGGAGACTGTGTGGTGGAACAGTGTTGCATTTCTCCTGGTTAGAGCCCTTATATTAAAATCTCAGGAAAATATCCACAAACAATAAACAATAGCAAATTGCAAGTATTCTGGAAAAGATATTTCAGAAGAAGAAAATCAGCAATCAGCTAACAGTATGTATTGGACAATAGGAAAAGTATAGGTATTTAATCTTACCGCCCCATGAGTATACTCCAAGTGACACTGAAGATATCACTAGGTGATGATAACGATGAAGTGCCGGAGAAAGATGGTGAATTTTATTTTGGAGGCTGCTGCCAGCTAGAGAGCTGCTACAGGAAAGATTGTGATTACAATGACGCTTCTTTGCTCTGGAATGACCATATTCCATGTTCTAGTAAAATGGTTCCTCCTCTTTGGGGTACTGATATAATTCATATGCACAGCAGTTCACTAGGGTGGTTTCCTGTTTTCCTGTCCATTATCTTCTCACAAGATGGTCAAAGCTCCTCATAGCATTCTATATGGATGTTGTTCAAGAGAAATATTATTCATGCTATGTTTGAAATTCTAAATTTTCTAGTAGCCACACTAACAAAAGTAAAAACTGAAGAAATTCACTTAAATATGTATTTGATTTAAAATAATATCTAAAATATTATTTTAACACAAAATCTATAAGGACATCATACATGATTATTTTATATTCTTTTTATTTTCATGCTAAAGTTAAAAAATCTGGTATGTAGCTGGCACTTATTTCAATTTGAACTACCCACACTACAGGTGTTCAATAGCCACATGTGCCTAATGGCTACCACACTGGAGTGCACAGCTCTAGATAATAGCAGCATATCTGGTTATTTCTCTCCTTCATGTGACCACAGTCCTAAATCTAGCAATTAGGTATTTTGTCAAGGACTTCCTCCATTTACACACACTGAGAACCCTGGAAGTGAATGTCCATGTCCCCTAAGTCAAATACAATATATTCTATTAAAGTCCATTCCAAATTTTAAAGACCAAATTTACACCGGTATTAATGACTCAATTCTTAAATAAGTATCTGAAACTTCATTTTAAGTTTCATCTCACTTCTATATATTAGGCTTCTGCATTCTTTCTCCTTGAAACTGCTTCTTAAATATCTAATTGTTGAAAAAGCTCTTGAAATGCCCCTATTTTGCACTAGATAGAATAAATGAATCAGTAGGAAACAAAAGAGAATTCCAAACTCAGTGAGGTTGTGAATCATACAAAGCATATTGTCCATAGGCAATTTTTATGCTCATAATGAAAGCCATAAACATTTTTTTTTCAAACAGAGGTAGGTTCCAATCCTGCCTTCTGTTATTTATCTATTTATGTGTCTAACTTCTCTATCCATGATAATAGGAACTACTTGCCCTCTGAGACAAAAGGAACAATATTAATAGTACTTGATATTAATCAATATACTTGCTATCATGCATTGAAAAGTTGCTTTGGGTCAGATTATTTGCTAAGGATTTCACAGTCATTAATTATTTTTTAAATTAGGTAATATAATATTTGCAATATTGCTATATTTTTATCAGCATGGTTGCTATAATAAAGCAATAACATTAATGACAATGATTATTACTTTCCTATTTTTCCTAGTTTTCTGCCTTACCTTGATTGATAAAATATATCTCAATATTTTTATATTAATAGAATGAAAACTTCTAATGACAAAACAACGTGTGTTATCCATTATATGAATATCCAGGGTATAGCATGTTTATTGCTTGGAAATCTTTGGTGCTCGAGTACTTAATAAATAATGAATTAATAAATGAATGAGCCAAAACAGGGCACTTATAATTTTCAGTATTGCTGTGGCAAAGCAGAACTGTATCAAGTATGCTTTCTATCCCATTTGAAGAGCCATATTTACTGGACAGCCCCCAAAATTTGTTAAAGCAAACCAAAAGAGACATGTTGTTTAGTCAAAGAGCCTCAGTGTTTATTGAAATGAAGGAAAAAGAACTGATTTGATTTCTCATATTCCTCCCCTGCTGCCCCTCCCACTGAGGACTAAGCCCATAGGTTTGTTAACAGCTGAACAGACTGACATACACAGTGACAAACCTGTGGGTGCAGATCCATCAAAAAGCTGCTCTGCTATTTGCCTGTGTTCAGAGCCGGGAATTCATTGAGTTGGCTTACTTTTCAAAAATTTACTTTCAAAAGTATACAAAACATTAAAGTTTTCTGTATACCATAGGCATGTAGGTTACAAACAAACTGTACCAAATCAGGAATAAATGTTAATGCCCTTTTATGTACAAAGTTCTGTATAAATTCTAATTTAAAAGTGTTCATCAAAATTAATTGAAAAAGATAAACAGCATTTTGTATTAGATGCCATTTTGAATGACAATCATTGCCTTTAACTTTCCCTTTTCTTTCCAACTTTACTTCAATGTAAGTATTTTTTATGTAGCTGCATTTCCTATTTACAGTAAAAGCAATGTAATTGCTAATTTGGATGTGAAAATCTATGTCAGAGATCCATATCATTATTATACATCTGGAATGTTTATTTAATGAATTTTCATCTTATAAAGAACGAAACCCATTAAAGGGTAACATTTTTATTGTAATGACTCAGGAATTCCGGTCTAACATTTTCAGGAGACTTCCAAAGCCAGCATTAGAGCTTCTGTTGACAGGCTTATGTCAAATAAAAGAGATTATAATTCTTTACACATGATCATCTGGGAGAAATTTTTGATGGAGTTTTCTCTTAAAGAGATAAATAAGCTCCAAGGTTTTCCCTGAATGGGAAATGGTTGTACAATATGTCTCCATCTTGTTTCTTTCCCTCTTTGTTTCCTTCTTTCTCTCTCCCTTTCCTTCCTTTCTTCTTTTTTTTTTTTTTAATAGCAGAGAAAGGAAACTTCAAAATTGATGTCATGTGAACAGAAGAATTGAAACCATTACTTTGGAGCCCTAAAAGATGAAAGATTACTGCCTGAGGGGAAGTGAGCTTGTTTCTGAAGGTGCTATAACTACTTCCTCAGAGTAAAAGGTTTCTACAGTCCAGCTAAAGAGATTCCTGGGAAGCCTGTCCTCTGTCTGATCACCAAGCTACTGGGAAGATATCTCAATGTAGGGATGAAGGCACAAAATTCACAGATACACTGCCCTGCCCTTCTCTGCTGCATAAAGATTCAGCAGGCATAATTTGTGTTATGCACAACAGTTAATGGAAATAGCCCATGACTAACCTTTGAGGGAACTAATAGAAAATTTAGCTTGAAAATACACTGAAAGACAAAAGCACTAAAATCATTAAGGAAATCACCAAACTCATGAGTATTATCAAATCATTCTAGTTTTGGTGACTATACAGTTCAAAGTTGAGTTAGAAAACTCTAGACAGACAGGTTTATAAATTTCAGATTTTTTCTTCAACTTGTTTATTTCAACAATTTGCTAAAGGACATTTACAGAGCATTAGGATAATAATAACAATAACAATAATACTAATCCCTTCTTTGGTAAGCACTATGTATTCTCAAAGAGTTACCTATGAAGTGCAAGGACCTGGTGGAATAAGTAAATGTTAAGTCATCAAGAGCAAGACCATTATTTTCTCATTTCAAAAGATCTATAAAAGGGCAGAGTGCAGCCCTTGCTGTGTTAATTCACAAGCATAAATATTTGAAAATAAAAGCTTGAAATGTGTGTCTGATCCAAAGTTACAAGAATAAATGACAGCTAACTTCTCTTCCTTTAAATCTATCTTTTCTTAGAGCTTTAGGCAGACCAAATATTATTTGTACTGCAAGGAACCACATATTTAATTTGTGTGACACCTAACTTATCCGTCTAAATAAATAGAGATTGTTGCTAGTAGTTACTCTCATTGGTTTTACTCATGTCCATTATGATGAGTTTGACATATGTATATATTAACTTAAACCCCTTACATTAGTTAGCACTGCAAATATCTATTGTAAATACATTCTACTGAACCTGAAGAAACTTGTGTGTAATTTTTGATGAGTAATTTTAACCTTCTGGACCTCAGTGTCATTTTTTGTAAAATAATTGATTTGAAAAAATAAATAAATAAGGTAGAACTCGATGCCTAAGGAAGAATAATTTTTTTAGGAACAAAGAGAAAAATAGTCAAGTATGTATGTGTATTATTCTACTCTTTCCATTACAAAAAAGCTAATTAATGATTTGCTTATTTTCTTAATATTTAAAGAGATAAATTATTAACCAAATTTTTCCTATCCTGCTTTTTGCTCTGAGGGGCTAGTTTGTTTTATAAGAAGGTATTAAGTATTTCTGTGGAGCTGTTTTAGAAATAAAAATAAATCAAATTTATAAACCAATTTCATAAAAAGGTTCAATAATAAATGCACGTCTTTGGCTCTTTCCTTTATCTTTTGAACTATGTATAATATTATAACTGACTGATCTAGTTACCTTGAAATTCAGTTTGTCCCCATTAGGTTGTAGACAATTATCTGTTTGGATGAAGTAAAGAAATAAATCATCTCCATTTTATATGAGGTGTTGACATTTATTGATTTAATGTTCTCTTAAAATCTTTCAGGAAATGTTTTTAAATTGCAATAATAAGTGGACAGAAATTAATGGACCTACCTCAACTAGAGTAACGTGTTAACATGTAATTGATTGTCAAAGTTTCGTGATTACATTTTTAGTAAGAAAGTGCATTTATTTTTCGCTTTTATTTTCTGTTAGTAAATAATATGAAGGCTAAGAGTTGATATGTATCTCTCATTCTGTAATATGTACTGCTTCTTCTCTGAGAGTGGGTGTTTGAAGATACTGTTCTATTGAAAAATACAATTATTTCCTTTCAGATACTGACCATGTGTTATACTCTCTGGATTCACTAAACTAAAAGTCCTTCAAAAAAAATATTTCAGAAAAGATTTAGCTCTAAATAATTTAGGAAGAAGTAGATAAACTATTGTGAATATAATAAATGATTAACATTCAGACACTTCTGCATTAATATTTAATAAAATGTGTTGCAATGTAACGTGCAATATAAACTTCACTAGATATATAAAAACATGAAGCATGAATCATTCAAATCATCTTTCTTATCAGTCTGCAAGATGGTTGTAAGTACACATAAATGGCATCTCTCTACAACTACATGATTACATCTTTATCTTTCAAGTCATAATTCTTTTTATGTTCTTCACCTTGCTGCTTTATCAGCTTTCCCATGTATTAATTATCTATTATCTTTTTCATTTTTGTTTGTCTTTATCTCTAAAACAAAAGGAGTGTGACTGTTAATCAACAGGTAAATAAATTGCATTGAGAAATTATTACATTTTATTTAGATATGTTTGCATGTGAACATATGAACTACACATAAATCCTATAGGTTTGTGGAGAAATATGTCACTTTCTTTATAAAATCAGTTTTGTATTTAAGCATTTTTAACTACATCAGGATTTTTCTAAAATCCTGTCGGTGTTACTAAGGCTGAATTAAAAGAACAATAAATGGATCATAGAGGGTTCACTCAAGAAAGCAGGTGCATTAATTATCACCTCAGAAGAAAACACATAACTTGTAGAAAAGTTCTAAAAGTCAAATTTTACCCTAAGTTATTTTCATTTTTTGGTGAGAAATATGGTTGAATTATCTGAATTCTTGCTTTATGTAAAATCATACTGAAGGACTGTATCTTTGTAGACAGAGTCTGTTTCTAACCCTACTTTTTTATGTGAAACTATTTTTCTTATGTTACAGAAGTCTATGACATAAAGTTAAACATGAAAAATCTGAGGTCAAAGACTCTAGCATCACCTCCTGTTGGATAGTCCATAAATGGCATTCCTACATACTTCTGTCCCCAGGGTGCTTGATGTGCTCTTATGAGTTTTCATAGCTTAGTGCTCTTAAAAGCTAAGACAAAGAAGGCAAATGTGAGGACAGAACATGGGGTAAATCAACTTTTACACTCTTAATACTTCAAGAAATAAACCTTTAGGCTGGAAATTTTATTTCAAATTGATTAGGCAAATGATGCTTGAGAAAGCTGATGCCACTTCAAAATCATTGGCTTTTGAACAATGTGCTCAGTTTGACTTTTGAAAAACCTTTCTTCCCTGCCAATTGTGTTGTCTCAAATGGTTTTTTGGCATTATTTATCTGTTGGGTTATTGTATTTCATTGTATAATCTTAGTGTACCTGAAATGAAAGCAGCTGAAAAACCCTATGTTCTATTAAAGGCATACACTAGTTCTTACACGGGAGGAGAAAAAATCTTAATGGAAGTTTGAAAATCATTCCAAAGAACGTACAAACCTGACTTAACTTCGCAGGTTTGGAGTTACCGCGCTAAACAGACTATTCAGCTGGAGAGTGAAGTTCAGGAAATACAATCATTGTTGGAATTATATTGGCGCCTCTTGGGAATTGGCCTTTAAAGTTGTTCTCTTACAAAACTTTCACAGTACATCTATGTAAAAATCTTTCCTTACTTTTCTGGGGTATAGGTCATGACACTAGCCATTTCCTACTGAATGTCCACGAAACATTATTCTTTTGCTTCTTTTATAGATTTAAAGTCTCATATTTCCAACAGCACACTCATCCAAACCCCAACAGCTCTCATCATGAGTCCTCTCATTCCCACCATGATTACTTCAATCCCTGAAGCACAGAGATGAGCTCACCTAACTAACTGCGTGATGGAGTGGAAAACCCATAGCAGGACCAAAGCCCATTGATTACGCTGAGGAAAACACTCATTCATTCTCATTTCACCTTAGCTTAATTAAGGTAAAATTAACAAATAAAAATTGTATATATTTTTGTACAATGTACAACATGGTGATTTGATATGTATACAACGTGAAATAATTAAACAGAGCTAGTTAACATATCATCACCTTACATATGTATCATTTTTTGTTGCAAGAACATTTAAGATCTACTCTCTTAGCAATTTTCAATATACAATATTATTAATTAAGTCACCATTCTGTACAATAGGTCTCCAGAACTTATTCTTCCTAACTGAAACTCTGTATCCTTTGACCAACATTGCCACATCCCTCACCTAGTCTCAGTCTCTGGCCAGACTCACCATTCTGCTCTTTGCTTCTATGTGTTCAATTTTTTAAATTCCACATATTAGTGAGATCATGCAGTATTTTTCTTTCTGTGTCTAGCTTATTTCACCTAGCACAATGTCTTCTGGATCCATCTATGTTGCCACAAATGACAGGATTTCTATATTTTTAAAGGATAAATAGTATTCATATACGTGTGTGTATATATATATACATATATATATATCTCACATTTACTTTATTCATTTACCAATGAACTCTTAGCTGATTCCATATCTCAGCTATTGTGAACAATGCCGCAATAACATGGTAGTACAGATATCTCTTTGACATACTGATTTAATTTCCTTTGCATTTACATCCAGAAGTGGGATAGCTGGATCACACGGTAGTTCTATTTTTAATTTTTTGAGGAACTTCCATACTCATACACATACATCCACACACAATGGCTCATCTAATTTACATTCCCACCAACAGTGTACAAGTCTACCCTTTTCTCCAAATCCTTGCTAACACTTTAGTTTTTGTCTTTTTGACAAAAGCCATTCTAACATGTAAGGTGATGTATGATTGTGGGTTTCCTTCTCATTTTTTTCTAGTGCATGTTCTCATAATCACTAAAAATCAAGTAATATTTTTCTTTATTTTGTTAGTAGAAAGGCTACACTGCATTCAGATTATAATCCCCTAAATACCTTAGCTGATATGTTTCATAAATCACCTAATAATAAGAATGATAGTGATTCTATAGAAGATGTGTTTAGGGAGAGTATTTTTTAAAAATTCAAACGAAATTGGCATTTGAAATTTCATTTTATGATTTTATTTTATATTTGGATTTATAGGCCATACAATTTTAACGTGATTATTGTTAGTATATGTATTGAGGTATGTTTGATGGTTTCTAATAGAAAATTCAAGATGACTATTATTTTTCTGTTTAATGATCAGCAGTGCCAGAAAGGCAATGGTTTGATGTTGAAGACAAACTTGAAACCTCACGATAACATTCACATTAACATGCTCTGCATTTAGAGTCTACTCAAATTAGTATACCACAAGATGACAAAGAATTACTCAATCATAAGAGACATATCTATGGTTCTGAGTTATATACTATGGATGATACAAAGCTGAAAGAGATTGGAACCTTTTTTCAAAGCCCCAAGATATAAAACTGCATGACACTGTATTTTTCATGTCATTCCAAGAGGTTCACAGAGTACCTAGGTTTCACATTAAACATTATTAACTTATAGGGAGAGTGTTAAGAAAAGTCTTGGAGGGAGGAGCCAAGATGGCCGAATAGGAACAGCTCAGGTCTACAGCTCCCAGCCTAAGCGACACAAAAGACGGGTGATTTCTGCATTTCCATCTGAGGTACCGGGTTCATCTCACTAGGGAATGCCAGACAGTGGGCGCAGTTCAGTGGGTGCCCGCATCGTGCACGAGCCGAAGCAGGGTGAGGCATTGCCTCACTCGGGAAGCACAAGGGGTCAGGGAGTTCCCTTTCCTAGTCAAAGAAAGGGGTGACAGACGGCACCTGGAAAATCAGGTCACTCCCACCCGAATACTGCGCTTTTCCGACAGGCTTAAAAAATCGCGCACCAGGAGATTATATCCCACACCTGGCTCGGAGGGTCCTATGCCCACGGAGTCTCGCTGATTGTTAGCACAGCAGTCTGAGATCAAACTGCAAGGCAGCAGCAAGGCTGGGGGAGGGGCACCCACCATTGCCCAGGCTTGCTTAGGTAAACAAAGCAGCTGGGAAGCTCGAACTGGGTGGAGCCCACCACAGCTCAAGGAGGCCTGCCTGCCTCTGTAGGCTCCACCTCTGGGGGCAGGGCACAGACAAACCAAAGGCAGCAGTAACCTCTGCAGACTTAAATGTCCCTGTCTGACAGCTTTGAAGAGAGCAGTGGTTCTCCCAGCACACAGCTGGAGATCTGAGAATGGGCAGACTGCCTCCTCAAGTGGGTCCCTGACTCCTGACCCCCGAGCAGCCTAACTGGGAGGCACCCCCCAGCAGGGGTAGACTGACACCTCACAGGGCCTGGTACTCCAACAGACCTGCAGCTGAGGGTCCTGTCTGTTAGAAGGAAAACTAACAAACAGAAAGGACATCCACACCAAAAACCCATCTGTACATCACCATCATCAAAGACCAAAAGTAGATAAAACCACAAAGATGGGGAAAAAAACAGAGCAGAAAAACTGGAAACTCTAAAAAGCAGAGCGCCTCTTCTCCTCCAAAGGAATGCAGTTCCTCACCAGCAACGGAACAAAGCTGGACGGAGAATGACTTTGACGAGCTGAGAGAAGATGGCTCCAGATGATCAAATTACTCTGAGCTACAGGAGGACATTCAAACCAAAGGCAAAGAAGTTGAAAGCTATGAAAAAAATTTAGAAGAATGTATAACTAGAATAACCAATACAGAGAAGTGCTTAAAGGAGCTGATGGAGCTGAAAACCAAGGCTCGAGAACTACGTGAAGAATGCAGAAGCCTCAGGAGCAGATGCGATCAACTGGAAGAAAGGGTATCAGCTATGGAAGATGAAGTGAATGAAATGAAGCGAGAAGGGAAGTTTAGAGAAAAAGAATAAAAAGAAATGAGCAAAGCCTCCAAGAAATATGGGACTATGTGAAAAGACCAAATCTATGTCTGATTGGTGTACCTGGAAGTGATGGGGAGAATGGAACCGAGTTGGAAAACACTATGCAGGATATTATCCAGGAGAACTTCCCCAATCTAGCAAGGCAGGCCAACATTCAAATTCAGGAAATACAGAGAACGCCATAAAGACACTCCTCGAGAAGAGCAACTTCAAGACACATAATTGTCAGATTCACCAAAGTTGAAATGAAGGAAAAAATGTTAAGGGCACCCAGAGAGAAAGGTCGGGTTACCCACAAAGGGAAGCCCATCAGACTAACAGCGGATCTCTCGGCAGAAACTCTACAAGCCAGAAGAGAGTGGGGGCCAATAGTCAACATTCTTAAAGAAAAGAATTTTCGACCCAGAATTTCATATCCAGCCAAACTAAGCTTCATAAGTGAAGGAGAAATAAAATACTTTACAGACAACCAAATGCTGAGAGATTTTTGTCACCACCAGGCCTGTCCTAAAAGAGCTCCTGAAGGAAGCAATAAACATGGAAAGGAACAACGGGTACCAGCCACTGCAAAATCATGCCAAAATGTAAAGACCATCGAGACTAGGAAGAAACTGCATCAACTAACCAGCAAAATAACCAGCTAACATCATAATGACAGGATCAAATTCACACATAACAATATTAACCTTAAATGTAAATGGACTGAATGCTCCAATTAAAAGACACAGACTGGCAAATTGGATAAAGAGTCAAGACCCATCAGTGTGCTGTATTCAGGAAACCCATCTCATGTGCAGAGACACACATAGGCTCAAAATAAAAGGATGGAGGAAGATCTACCAAGCAAATGGAAAACAAAAAAAGGCAGGGGTTGCAATCCTAGTCTCTGATAAAACAGACTTTAAACCAACAAAGATCAAAAGAGACAAAGAAGGCCATTACATAATGGTAAAGGGATCAATTCAACAAGAAGAGCTAACTATCCTAAATATATATGCACCCAATACAGGAGCACCTAGACTCATAAAGCAAGTCCTGAGTGACCTACAAAGAGACTTAGACTCTCACACATTAATAATGGGAGACTTTAACACCCCACTGTCAACATTAGACAGATCAACGAGACAGAAAGTCAACAAGGATACCCAGGAATTGAACTCAGCTCTGCACCAAGTGGACTTAATAGACATCTACAGAACTCTCCACCCCAAATCAACAGAATATACATTTTTTTCAGCACCACACCACACCTATTCCAAAATTGACCACATACTTGGAAGTAAAGCTCTCCTCAGCAAATGTAAAAGAACAGAAATTATAGCAAACTATCTCTCAGACCACAGTGCAATCAAACTAGAACTCAGGATTAAGAATCTCACCCAAAACTGCTCAACTACATGGAAACTGAACAACCTGCTCCTGAACGACTACTGGGTACATAACGAAACGAAGGCAGAAATAAAGATGTTCTTTGAAACCAACGAGAACAAAGACACAACATATCAGAATCTCTGGGATGCATTCAAAGCAGCGTGTAGAGGGAAATTTATAGCACTAAATGCCCACAACAGAAAGCAAGAAAGATCCAAAATTGACACCCTAACATCACAATTAAAAGAACTAGAAAAGCAAGAGCAAACACATTCAAAAGCTAGCAGAAGGCAAGAAATAACTAAAATCAGAGCAGAACTGAAGGAAAC
The DNA here is from genome assembly GCF_000001405.40 of Homo sapiens. Taxonomy (NCBI): domain Eukaryota; kingdom Metazoa; phylum Chordata; class Mammalia; order Primates; family Hominidae; genus Homo; species Homo sapiens. Next base: position 106,625,775 of record NC_000005.10, on the reverse strand, counting down.
AGAGACACAAAAAACCCTTCAAAAAATTAATGAAACCAGGAGCTGGTTTTTTGAAAGGATCAACAAAATTGATAGACCGCTAGCAAGACTAATAAAGAAGAAAAGAGAAAAGAATCAAATAGACGCAATAAAAAATGATAAAGGGGATATCACCACCGATCCCACAGAAATACAAACTACCATCAGAGAATACTACAAACACCTCTATGCAAATAAACTAGAAAATCTAGAAGAAATGGATAAATTCCTCGACACATACACTCTCCCAAGACTAAACCAGGAAGAAGTTGAATCTCTGAATAGACCAATAACAGGAGCTGAAATTGTGGCATTAATCAATAGCTTACCAACCAAAAAAGAGTCCAGGACCAGATGGATTCACAGCCGAATTCTACCAGAGGTACAAGGAGGAACTGGTACCATTCCTTCTGAAACTATTCCAATCAACAGAAAAAGAGGGAATCCTCCCTAACTCATTTTATGAGGCCAGCATCATCCTGATACCAAAGCCAGGCAGAGACACAATCAAAAAAGAGAATTTTAGACCAATATCCTTGATGAACATTGATGCAAAAATCCTCAATAAAATACTGGCAAACCGAATCCAGCAGCACATCAAAAAGCTTATCCATCATGACCAAGTGGGCTTCATTCCTGGGATGCAAGGCTGGTTCAATATACGCAAATCAATAAATGTAATCCATCATATAAACAGAGCCAAAGACAAAAACCACATGATTATCTCAATAGATGCAGAAAAGGCCTTTGACAAAATTGAACACCCTTCACGCTAAAAACTCTCAATAAATTAGGTATTGATGGGACATATCTCAAAATAATAAGAGCTATCTATGACACACTCACAGCCAATATCATACTGAATGGGCAAAAACTTGAAGCATTCCCTTTGAAAACTGGCACAAGACAGGGATGCCCTCTCTCAGCACTCCTATTCAACATAGTGTTGGAAGTTCTGGCCAGGGCAATTAGGCAGGAGAAGGAAATAAAGGGTATTCAATTAGGAAAAGAGGAAGTCAAATTGTCCCTGTTTGCAGATGACATGATTGTATATCTAGAAAACCCCATTGTCTCAGCCCAAAATCTCCTTAAGCTGATAAGCAACTTCAGCAAAGTCTCAGGATACAAAATCAATGTACAAAAATCACAAGCATTCTTATACACCAACAGAAGACAAACAGAGAGCCAAATCATGAGTGAATTCCCATTCACAATTGCTTCAAAGAGAATAAAATACCTAGGAATCCAACTTACAAGGGATGTGAAGGACCTCTTCAAGGAGAACTACAAACCACTGCTCAAGGAAATAAAAGAGGATACAAACAAATGGAAGAACATTCCATGCTCATGGGTAGGAAGAATCAATATCGTGAAAATGGCCATACTGCCCAAGGTAATTTACAGATTCAATGCCATCCCCATCAAGCTACCAATGCCTTTCTTCACAGAATTGGAAAAAACTACTTTAAAGTTCATATGGAACCAAAAAAGACCGTGCATCACCAAGTCAATCCTAAGCCAAAAGAACAAAGCTGGAGGCATCACACTACCTGACTTCAAACTATACTACAAGGCTACAGTAACCAAAACAGAGATATAGATCAATGGAACAGAATAGAGCCCTCAGAAATAACGTCACTTATCTACAACTATCTGATCTTTGACAAACCTGAGAAAAACAAGCAATGGGGAAAGGATTCCCTATTTAATATATGGTGCTGGGAAAACTGGCTAGCCATATGTAGAAAGCTGAAACTGGATCCCTTCCTTACACCTTACATAAATATCAATTCCAGATGGATTAAAGACTTACATGTTAGACCTAAAACCATAAAAACCCTAGAAGAAAATCTAGGCATTACCATTCAGGACATAGGCATGGGAAAGGACTTCATGTCTAAAACACCAAAAGCAATGGCAACCAAAGACAAAATTGACAAATGGGATCTAATGAAACTAAAGAGCTTCTGCACAGCAAAAGAAACTACCATCAGAGTGAACAGGCAACCTACAGAATGGGAGAAAATTTTCGCAACCTACTCATCTGACAAAGGGCTAATATCCAGAATCTACAATTAACTCAAACAAATTTACAAGAAAAAAACAAACAACCCCATCAAAAAGTGGGTGAAGGACATGAACAGACACTTCTCAAAAGAAGACATTTATGCAGCCAAAAAACACATGAAAAAATGCTCATCATCACTGGCCATCAGAGAAATGCAAATCAAAACCACAATGAGATACCATCTCACACCAGTTAGAATGGCAATCATTAAAAAGTCAGGAAATAACAGGTGCTGAAGAGGATGTGGAGAAATAGGAACACTTTTACACTGTTGGTGGGACTATAAACTAGTTCAACCATTGTGGAAGTCACTGTGGCGATTCCTCAGGGATCTAGAAATAGAAATACCATTTGACCCAGCCATCCCATTACTGGGTATATACCCAAAGGATTATAAATCATGCTGCTGTAAAGACACATGCACACGTATGTTTATTGCGGCATTATTCACAATAGGAAAGACTTGGAACCAACCCAAATGTCCAACAATGATAGACTGGATTAAGAAAATGTGGCACATATACACCATGGAATACTATGCAGCCATAAAAAAGGATGAGTTCATGTCCTTTGTAGGGACATGGATGAAATTGGAAATCATCATTCTCAGTAAACTATCGCAAGAACAAAAAACCAAACACCGCATATTCTCAATCATAGGTGGGAATTGAACAATGAGAACACATGGACACAGGAAGGGGAACATCACACTCTGGGGACTGTTGTGGGGTGGGGGGAGGGGGGAGGGATAGCATTGGGAGATATACCTAATGCTAGATGACGAGTTAGTGGGTGCAGTGCACCAGCATGGCACACGTATACATATGTAACTAACCTGCACATTGTGCACATGTACCCTAAAACTTAAAGTATAATAATAATAATAATAATAAAAGAAAACCAGAGATTAAAGTGAAAAACTGAGAACGAGATATAAAGATACAAAAAAAAAGAAAACTAGATTTTAAAGTGAAAAACTGGGAACAAAATATAAATAAACACACACACAAAAAAGAAAAGTCTTGAGCCACCATAAAAGATTTAAGAAGGCCAATAGCAATCACAAGGACAGGTATAGCTGAATAAGAGAGAGAGGTTTTCTTCTTGAAAATCTCTTCTAAAACCTCAAGTCATAGAGGATTTAGTATTCTGAATGATTCTATCAAATTGATCATTTTTTAAAGTTGATCAAGTGAAAAAAAAAACTAGAGAAAATTCCTGTCCAGTTTTTGAATAAATGCAATTGAGATAGATGCTGAGCTGTAGTGAAAAATGAGTATCTTGTTACCTCAAATCTGCAAGTAAATAGGACAAAGCCATGATTACTTCAATAGAAGTTGGAGATAGAATAAGGAATTTTTTATCATATCCAGGGAGGGACAAACAACAAAGAACAAAAAAAATACAAACATTAAAAATTATCGCATTAGTGGATTTTGTCAAAGATCAGATCAGAATATTATCTGTTCTATGTCTATGGGGACCTGTGATTTATGTGACTTGCTTCCCTTTCGTGTTTGTGATTCATGGTCTTGGCTGGATTCTTGGATTAACATAGTATTAATGGATATTCTGTTAATTAATCAAGTAATCAATAAAATACATCATACATTATGTAGTTACTGTTTTTGTTTTTTTCTATAAATTATAAATTATTTGACTTTCTCAGGTTTCTACGAATCCCTCTTTCCATATTCAGTTTAAGAAATATCTAACTAGTTGAATGGCATATCTAACTAACTGAATGGCTTCACCAGCCTGTAATGAAATAGAAGTTTTCTTTTTACTCTCTCAATTGCTCTTTCAAAGATCTATTTGTATTTCCCTTCAAATTTTCTCCCATAAAATACCTTAATAAGTATTAATTTTATCTGTTTTTAAAGATGTATTATGTCATTTTTATAAGAAAGATCAAGTTTTTGCCTTTCATGGAGCTTATAGTTTATTTTGTTTTTATTCTTTAATTTTTTTTTTTTCTTTTAGAGATGGAGTCTTGCTCTGTCACCTAGGCTGGAGTGCAGTGGCATAATCATAGCTCACAGCAGCCTCAAACTCCTGGGGTCAAGCAATCCTCTCATCTCAGCCTCCCAGATAGCTGGGACTACAGACACATGCCACCACACCCAGCTAAATGTGTTACTTTTTTTGTAGAAATGGGGTCTCACGGCTGGGGGTGGTGGCTCACGCCTGTAATCCCAGCACTTTGGGAGGCCGAGGCAGGCAGATCACGAGGTCAGGAGATCAAGACCATCCTGGCTAACACGGTGAAACCCCGTCTCTACTAAAAATACAAAAAATTAGCTGGGCGCGGTGGTGGGCGCCTGTAGTCCCAGCTACTCGGGAGGCTGAGGCAGGAGAATGGCAGAACTCAGGAGGCGGAGCTTGCAGTGAGCCCTGACCACGCCACTGCACTCCAGCCTGGGCGACAGAGCGAGACTCCGTCTCAAAAAAAAAAAAAAAAAAAAAAAAGAAAGAAAGAAATGGGGTCTCACTATTTTGCCAAGACTGGTATTGAATTCCTGGCCTCCCAAAGTCAAATTGGATATTAAATATCCAATTATAAATATCAAGTAGTTGGTGGCATCTATGAATTTGAACTCATGCAAAAAAGATGGAGGTATAAAGGGAAATCATTAGCATAGAAACACCATTATCTTACAATATCCAGTAACCATGTGCTAATGGATTTGGGGGTCTTGTTCCCCACTCGATTGTACAAGAACATTTTGAGTTTATTCTGTACAAAGTTGCCAGTTCTGCTCACATTTATTTCTTGGAGAGAAGACTGGGATTGTGATCAGTCCTCTGGTTGACCCTATTTTCTGGTGCTTTTGTTCTTGATGTTTCTACTTGTAACTGGTGATCACCAGCGGCCTGGCAGGTTTGTGATGCTACTTTTACCTACTGTCTTAATGATACTTTTGAAGGTTTTAAGGGGAAAGAGTTTTTGAAAATGGAAGTCTATTTTTCTCATTTTTACTTTCAGCTACAATTTGTTTCCAAAGCTTGTAAAATTTTACTATGCATACAAATCAGCTGGAGATAAGTTTTTAAATGCAGAATTTAATTCAATGAGTTATCTAAGAGCTCATGTTGCTAGCCCACAGGACACTCTGAATAACAAGGCATTTCACCATAATACACTGGGCTTCCTATACTTCATACGTTTCTGCTGTTTCAGAATAGCTGGTTGGAAAGGACTTTTGGTTTGAACGAAACACTGAGCCAAAATCATCCATTGCCTACAAATATTTCGGTCCTAATTTTGAGTCTGAATCATCAATTCTGACTGCCTCTTACCCTAGAATGAGATTCTGGGAAGTGAAAAAGTTAAGTGGGATAGGGTCTTGTTAACTTTTTCTACAGTAAATTTTTTTTGGAATTGTCTTAATTCATCAGAGAGATTCCAGTAACAATGAAAATGCTTGAGCTCTCAGTCCTTTCGCTCCAGGGAGGATCCTCCTCAGGACAATGAATTTAGGGAGAGGAACCTTTTGTTGATTCATAAGAATGAGCTAGTCATACACTTTCTTCAGTATTACTAATGCCTGTGAGAGTCTGCATGTCACTGCAAGGATTGGCTTGATGCGCTATTGATTATTCTTGATACTTCAAAGTTTTGAGGCAATTATAGGTAAAATCAGAGTTATACAGTCAGTGGTGAAACTTCTGGTTTTCATCAATCTTTCCATTAATCCTATGCTAAAGATTACACCATTATTAAGTAGTTATCAATTGGTTCTTTGGTGCCATCAGACCGTTATGAACAAGCAAGGCTCTTAATTTGGCAGGGTCAGGATTAGCAATAAGAACAAAGTAGCTATTCTTGAACATTGTACAAAGGCAGAGACTTAGAAGTTAATAACTGCATGACACTTGAAAAATCATTCTCAAGCTAGACCGCCCAAAATCGTTCCAAAGATATTTTTCTGTGAGAGCTATAATTGCCTCTGGAAGAAAGTTTACATAGGAAATGTACAAAATGTACAACCACAAAATGTTTGGACCCCTTTATTTGATTTTGATCCTGAAGGAGTCTCCTGGAGTTGCAGGCTAGAAATTTGACTCTGAAAATACCATTTTTGCACTCCTTTTTGTTTTTAACCAGGGTGTCAAATGTACTGACTTCTACATGTCCCTTTGAATTACTTAAGAAAGTCAGTTAGGTAATATTTTTAGCCAGTAGATTAACACTGCATTCCCACGGCAGTATTATATTTTGCCAGAAATCCTAGAAAGCAAGTCTACCAATATATAAAAAATAATAATTTTACTGAAAATTTGCCTCAAAAAACTATGTGTTTGTAGCATTTTTTTCATTGTCAGGAAAGATCATATTTTGCTGTAATTTTGTCTTCACCCGCCTTTGTACAGCTACACTCCCATCAGATGATTCTCATGCATCAGGAACTTCACGAAAGTAAATGACTTTAGGCATAGGATATACATGTTTAAGTGCTTTCTTCATGGTGAGACAACAGTCAAGCTGAAATTCCCATTTACTGTTAAAAACTATTACAAAAATAAAAGTTTTATCTAAAGTTATAAGTATACCATATTTGATTCAATGTCCACAGATGTTATTTGAACCAACTATAATAAATGTTTCTTTCATTAGCTGCCCAGCATCTATTTCTGCTGGTTTGGTTCAAGTGATCTCAGTTTCTTTTTTTGGAATTACATCCATCCCCACTGTAGAAGGTTATGGTGTCTTTAAGACAGGATATCCTGGGTTTCTCATTAGTGAAAAGGTGAATTCATGACTACATCTAAATGAATGGAACTCGGCAGGGCACAGTGGCTCATGCCTGTAATCCCAGCACTTTGGGAGGCTGAGGCAGGTAGATCACTGGAGGTCAGGTAGATCACCGGTCTGGCCAACTTGGTGAAACCCCGTCTCTACTAAAAATACAGCAATCAGCTGGGTGTGGTGGTGCATGCCTGCAATCCCAGTTGCTGGAGAGGCTGAAGTGGGAGAATAGCTTGAACCCGGGAGACAGAGGTTGCAGTGAGCTGAGATTGCCCCACGGCACTCCAGCCTGGGTGACAGAGCTAGATTTCATCTGAAACAATAATAATAATATATTAAATAAATAAATAAATAAATAAATAAATGGAACTTTTAGTACTTTGCACTAATAATAGAGTGCAAAAAGGAGGATAATTTAGACTTTTTTTTTTTACTTTTTTCCAAGAGAGTGTCTTAGTGAAAATCTTGTGTGGTCTCTAACTTCCAAAAATACATCTTGACTTTCTCAATCCTAGTTATTCAGCTATTACTTGTATTATTTGTGTTTCTCCATTTTCTTCAAATAAATGCCTTTTTAATCTAGTTATTAATATTTGGTTTATAAATTCCATAGAAAATGAACTTTAGAGATGCAAAACTATTTTATCCGAAGAATTATAATACGTACTTCTTATACTGTCAATTTTTGATTTTAAAATTATAGTTTGCATAATCATTTTCCATAGTTTTATTTTCAGCTTTTCCGACTGCTTATATTTTGTATGCCCCTTTTAAAGAGCATATAATTATTATTTAACATTTTGTTTTTACTCCAGTCTGAAAACATTTTTTAAATTGGAATATTTAGTCCTTTTATATTTACTACAATAATTGATATATTTGGGTTTTGATCCATTTATTTTCCATTTTATCTCAAGTGATCCGTGTTCCTTTTCCTTACTTGTGTGCTTTCCTTGGGCTAAATGAATGCTTTCAAAATTTACTTTACCTTTTAAAAGTGTATTACTCATTTTTTTCTATTTTAATGGTTATCATAGAGATTAAAATTTTAATGGTTAAGGTCTAACATTAATATATATATTAATATTTCTTCAAGTTTATTAGAACTATTCAACTGCACTTACGTCTTCAAACTATTTTTGTGTTATGATTTTGTGCCTTTTAGTTCTACAGATGTTTTAAATTCTATGAAGTATATTCTTTGTATTTATCTTACTGAAGGATTAAAATATACCTTGATTATATTGCTTGATATCTTTCATCAGCTGAAAAAAATCTTGACCATAATCACTTAAAATAGTTGTGCTACTGAGTTTGAATCCCTAAAGTTTTTCCAAATCTTTGAGTACAAATGAAAAATAGGATTTTTGGTAATTACTAAGGCAAAGGGTAGAGGGGTTTAAATCCTTTCACTTAAAGAAGTCAGGTTTTATTGTGTTTGTCCAAGGCATGACCTTAGATAAGAGCAAAAGAGGTTGTGAGATTATATAAGGGTCAGCCAGTGTAGAAAAGTTAATAATCAAATGTCTAAAACTATCAGCGTAACCAAGGCATCTTCTAAGTTGTGCTACGGTAATATGCTAGTAAAAGTCATAAATAGCATTCAGTCTTCAAGGGATGCACTTTCTAATTTCTGTAACATCATAGCTTAGATCAAAGGTTAGCAAACATTTTCTCTAAAGTGCCAGACAGTAAATATTATTGGTTTCTCAGGTCATCTAGTTCCTGTCATGACTATTCAATTCTGTCATTGCAGTAACAAAGTAGCCACGGAAAATACATAAATGAATAGTCATAGCTACGTTCAAATAAAACTTTATTTGCAAAAACAGACAACAGACCCGTTTTGTCCCATGGACCATATAATAAGTCCTTTCTGGAGGTATACAGATATGATGGATCACAATCCTTAAGTAGCCTCCTTTTAAATTTAGTATTTGGCCAGTTTTCGTAAGGGCATAGCTAGACCAATTCAGATCTTTAAGAAATTCTCTTTTATGTTTCCCACATCTGAATTATCTTTGACCTTGAGGCTATTGGGAACATATTCAAGGTCTGAGAGATTTCAGGAGATGAATCAGATTATTAATCTGTACAATCATTAAGTTATAAGCCAGGAATTTTTCTCCTCTTGGCAGTTCCAGAAAGAAGCTGCCTCATTCACACTTTATAATGGTGTCTTGCTTACACAATTGTTTTTGTCCCAACAGATTCCCAGGTGAGAGATTGCACAGAGGAACTCAGCAGATAGAAGGTAGCTGAGGCAAAAGCAGAATCTGAGGAGTTCACACTCCTACTCTGAGGGAGGGATGATGGGATAGTAGTAGAGCTGAGGATAGAGGGTCAAATAGAGCATTCTGTTTTCACAATTGCATGGATATTTCTTGCTTATATTACCAGCAGTTATGACAGGAATATCATTCTGTTATATATAGTTTTCATTTGTCATTTTGCATTCTGTATTTTGTGCTAAAACAGAAAATTTCCTCTGGTGTGCCTTTTATTTAAAATATTGACAAATGATAAGACAGGACAATTGTAAAGTCTTCTCCCTCATTGCAAATATTCTCCTAAGATAGTGATATGATCTAGAAAGTCTAGGACAGATTTATTGTTTCCTCTTTTAGGATCGGAATTTTTATACTCTACTTTGTAATTTAGGACAGTTTTGTATTTACAGAAAAGGTGAGTATTCAATACAGAGAATTCTCATGTACTCTGTACCCAGATCCCTTAATATTAACATCCGACATTAGTATGGTACATTTGCAGCAGCTAATGAAGAAATATTGATGTATTACTAATTAAAGTTCATACTTTATTCACATTTTCTTAATTTTTACCTAATATGTTTTTCTGTACCAGAATTCCAGATAGGGTACCATATTACCTTTATGTATCATGTCTCCTTAGTCTCTCCTTGGCTGTAACAATTTCTTGGACTTCCTTTTCTTTTGATGACCTCGACAGATTTGAGGATTACTAGTCAAACATTTTGTAGCATGCTCCTATATTCAAAGTTTATGATTCTTTTCTCATGATTAGACTGGGGCTAATGGGTTTTAGACTTCAGGGAGAAACACCACAGGAAAAGTGTGATTTCCATCACATCTTTTTAAAGGTACATACTATCAACATAATTTATCACTGTTGTTTCCCTTAATCACCTGGCTGGGGTCATTTGCCATATATCTCCGCTATAAAGTTACTTTCCTTCCCCCTTTCCACGCTGTACTTTTTGGACCCTATACATAGCCCACATTTAAGGAATGGGGCATTATATTCCTCCTCTTGAAGGCTAACTACTTAAATAAATTATTTGGAAACCTCAGGAGATTTATCTCTTATCTCATATTAATTTACTTATTCAATTATTTATTTATATAATGACGAGAGACCTATGGATATTTATTCTATACTTTGGATTATAATGGTTACAAAGAAATACTGTTTTTATTTTCTTGCTCAAATTATTCCAGCATTGGTCATCAAGAACTTTTTGTTCTCAGTCCTCATCATACTCTGTGTGTGTGTGTGTGTGTGTGTGTGTGTGTGTGTGTGTGTGTGTGTGTGTGTGTGTGTGTGTTTATATCTTCTTTTTTTTCTGGCAACACAGCTGCTTCAGCATCATCTTTTATATCTTCTGCTTTGGTCCTAGAATATGGTATTTCGTCAAGGAGCTCTGGTTCCTTGGATTGGAGAATGGTCCAGACAGCAAGATCTGGGAGCTAGGACTTGGATTTTTTACTAATCAATTTTGATGGGAAGAACCTTGGGGAAAGCTCTTGGCTAAATTGCTTTAGTCTATCTACAGTTCTGCAGAATAACCACCAATGTAAATTGTTCCTGTTAAAATATTGCCAGAGTTTGAAATATTTAGTTATAGTCACATCTTAACATTTGTATATGTAAGAAGCTGGATAATAAATCAGAGGCTCATTGAATTATTGACAAATTCATATACAAATGATAAACAACAATAGGCAAATAATAGACAAGGATCTTGGCACTATACCCTGTCTCATTCCTGAGTGCCCTAAGTAATCAAATTCCAATCAAGGGGCTATTCCAAGGACCCCCCCCCCCAACAAAAAAAGAAGAGAGAGAGACAGAGAGAAAAAGAGAACACAAACTTAGGCAGTACTTGAAGCAAACAATTGCAGTGCTCATCACATTAGAAATTATTCAACTGTCCAGGCCAGGACCCTGAGGAGGGTGATATCAGTAAGTCCTGTTAGGCTATCCAGGAAGGAATCTGGGGTTAATGTGAGCTGAGTTCCAGCACCAAAAACTATAGAACAAAACCAACCTGAGCACCCTTAAGGGTAGCCTTTTATCAAAAAGTGTTGCAATGGTTCAGCTTTGAAAAAGTGCTTTATCTTCAAGGAGAAGAGCAGAGTTTTTGTACAGTTTTTGCAGAAGGAGTCAGATAAAGTTAAGTTAGTTTGGGGTATTTTTAGTTACAAACCTGTGTTGGGGGAGGGAGAAAATATCTTGCAGTTTAGAAGATGATGGCTTAGAAACTTTGATTTAGCAAAAATGGTAGAATGAAAAAGTTAGACGCTAAGTTCCCATCAAGAGTAGGCACATTGGGAGGCCGAGGCGGGCGGATCACGAGGTCAGGAGATCGAGACCACAGTGAAAACCCGTCTCTACTAAAAATACAAAAAATTAGCCGGGCGCAGTGGCGGGCGCCTGTAGTCCCAGCTACTCCGGAGGCTGAGGCAGGAGAATGGCGTGAACCCGGGAGGCGGAGCTTGCAGTGAGCGGATATCGCGCCACAGCACTCCCGCCTGGGCGACAGAACGAGACTCCGTCTCAAAAAAAAAAAAAAAAAGAGTAGGGGAACGGTTTTGGGGACTGAGAACATGAGAAAGCCATAGTGGAAAATTTTCAATCATTTAGGGTTTCTCACACATGACTATATCAATCATAAGTGTTCTTCAACTTTAGAATAAATGCAAGTGTGTTACCCTCCCACACATTATTTTTTTAATTAAATTAAATGTTTTATGTAAATTAAAGATAGTAAGAAAGTTATATGAAAGAATTTTGTATTTTCTATATTGCATATTATCCATATTAGATCCTGAAGAAGTATTTTGAGAGAAACTCAGGATTTAAAATGGAAACATTTATGATTTATTATTGAGGAACCACATGCTCATCAAAATTTTACAGAATATAGAACCAAATATAATCCTCCATTCTCTCTCCATCCCTACCGCTATTTCCACCATCATATCATTTCTTAGGAGTGGCTATCATTAGCATATTTTGTGTATCTATTAAGCACAGTATATAGAAACATAAATGTGATAATAATATTATCTAACATTTATTGAGTAGGCTTAGACAATGAGTTAAGCATTTTCCATATCCAGTCATACTTATGTTTTATAAAAATCCTTTGAGGTAGTGTTATTACCACTCCCATTATAACAAATAAGGAAGTAATCTGAGCCCCAAAAGAGTAAGGAATGTCATCAATGTATGACACTAAATAACAGAGTTTACTTTCAAACCAGGGATTCTGACTCCAGAGCTAATATTCTTAACAATATGCTATTATCCATTCCAATTTTTAAACTTTTCCACAACTTGCTTTCGTTGCTAAGCAATATACTTTGCATCTCTATGTTGGAATATATTGATCTTCCTAACATTTTGAACAGTTGCACAGAGCTCAGTTTTATACTGTGACTATATCACAACTCAGAATATAGTGTGATTTATAAAACCACAATTTTATGGATGTGCATAAATGTTGTTAATGTTTTTTATAGTAAAAAACTTTGTAGGAATAGTTCTATACCTTTGTGCTGTCATAAGTTTAGGATAAACTTATAAGATTACTTAGTCAAAGAGTTTCAGCAGGTGTAAGATTATATCAATTCATACACACTTGTTCTGGAGAAGTGATGGGTTTCTTTTCAAACTGTTGCCAATATGAGTCATTATCAAACTTTAATCATTGTTAATCTGATAACTAAAATATCTTATCATTTTAATTTGTGTTTATTTCATTATAGTTTTGATTGTACTTTTGTTTGTTGGCCATTCATATTCTTTGCCTATTAACTGTTTCTTCATGCTGATTGTCCATCTTTCTATTAAATTCTTAATCTTTTTCTCACTGTTTTTAAGGGTTGTCTGTGGCTCTCTCATGTTTTCAGCCCACAAAATAGTTCCTTTCACCCTTTGTGAGGCATTAGTATCCAAGTCTTTCATTCCATCATTTGCGCTAAATGCATTAACATTTATGTCAGAGGTGTAACTTTATTGTCAATTAATGTTAATATTTTGAATTTTCTCACTTAGAAATTACATATTTCAATAGACTTGTCTTAATTTTTCATATAATTAAATTTATAATACATTTTTGGTTTTGCTTCTTTTTTTATATGTTTAGAACTTACCCAATTCATGAGCATAAGCAGAATCCACACATTTTGTCTAATATTCTTTCAGTTGATTTAATTTTATTTGTGTATATTTTATTCATTTGTAACTTATTTTCTTGTGATGTATTTTTTCTAGACAATTGATCCCAACAATTTATTGAGTAGGGCTTTTCTTCACTGATTTGAAAGGCTCCTGCATAATATATTAAATGTTTATGATGAAAATTAAAAATAGAAACAAACATTGTACAATTGTTATAGCATCTGGGCTTTAAAAATTGAAGGAATATTTAACTTTCAGAAAAGTGGAGCTCCATATGAAAATTTTGCTAGAAGGCAAAGAAGTTAAAACTGCAAACAGTGAAAACCACGCCATGTAAAAAGGATTAGAAACACATGAGGATAAAACATAAACATAACTCTCAATTTTCATTTTTAAAAGTCACAAGTTCTACATGTTTTTGTGTATGCAGGGAAATATCATTTTTCTTTCCTATATAATTTTGGCCCCTAGATGTAAAATAAACTTGGAGACTTTCTTGGTGTGTTGTACGGTCATTTTAAAAATATTTATCAAGCAAAGCTGCATAATCATAGAGTAGATCCATGGCCCATGTTGCTATTAGACATGGGTATCAAAACTGAAATATCAAATTACTTGTGATTTTCTGATTCTATTTTGTAATCTTATCAAGAGTTTTTCTCTTGGAGTTTAGAAAAATAGTATCATACACTTTTCATTCAAATCTAATTTGGGAGAAAAAAACCTAGAGAATTTGTCAGCCTCTCTAACTTTCCACAGAGGTAGTTGGAGGATTAGGCAGAAAAGTATGTTTCGCTCCAGGCTGCATGGCCCTTATCTCAATGAACCATACACTAGACATGGAATTGTTGCTCCTCTAAATGGATGATCAACTCCAGCCTTGAAAGTTTATATGATTTTCTTATGCCTCTGCAGGAGCTAAGCCATAATTCCTGAGTTCATATCATGCATACAACCATCGGTCTCTGTGTTTACAGGCACACATGGTGCACTTATTTATTGATTTTTAGATGTAGTGCTCCTTTGAGTATGAATGTGTATAAACATGAATCAGGAAAAAATGGAATATGATGGAATTCTGGAGGGCAATATTTAATTTTGCTTTAAAAAATGAGCTCTCACGTATTACTCATGTGTTGAAAATGAAGCTTTAATTTCCCAAAGGTGTGCAGTGGGAAACAGATAATACTGGGAAATTCAACAGTGGGTTTTCCCTTGTAATGAAAAATACGGACATGAAAAGAAAAATTGTTTCTGCTAATAATGGCAGCATTTAGGAATGTACAGAAAAAGGTCTTAATAGTAAACTGAACTTAAACAAATGCATTATTAAAAATTCAGTAAGCTCATTTCTCTCTCAGTTTCCAGCCTGACTGAAACACAGAAGCACATATAGAATAACTGGATCAGAGGGACAGTGGCTGCATTTTCCCTTTCACCTCCCAGCATTGTAGGCTGACTTTTATTCCTTAAGAAAAGGGCATGAGAAGGTAAGAATGAAGAAATAAAAGCATACAACAGTGACTTTTGGAAGAACTCTGATCAGAAACATTCCCCTCAGTGAATGTCTTTATTTATTTATTTAGTGGGAGATTTCTGTCTGGACACCAGGGTATTTATTATTTACCATTGAGTTTTTGCTGTGCCTGATAACTTCAGTAGGGAGTAGCATCCAAAAAATACATAAGAAAAGCTGATTAAAAATGGCAAGTATAGACTATTTATTTTGAAAATTAAAAAAAGATCAATTGTTGTGTTATTTTGGTTACACTGTAGCCATTTGTCAATATTCTTTTTCTTTGCCCTTAAATTCTTAATTGAGAATAATTTACTCCATTTCCCTGGCCTTTTAACATCCCCTTGTGTAGAAAAACTGAAATTATTTCTATGATTACACATTTGCAATTGCTTTCCAGTGATACTATGTAATAATTAAGCATGTGTAAAATAGAGAATCTATATTTTTATATTGCATTCCATTTCACTATGCTGGCAGTGAAATGATGTGCTGCTATTTAAAAGTAATGAGAAAGTTACATAACAACATCAAAAAGCAGGAGAGACTCCTTAAGGTATTCTATCATTTAATTTATTCTTCTTTTTCTCCCAGAAATATACCTGTCCACAGCTAAATTGTGGCTCAAACATTAGATGAGTCATTCCACTTATTAAGAATGGACATATTCAGTGAACTGGGAAATCAGAGCGGAGGGAGGCAAAGTACAGACTGAAAGTTCGATGAACCAGACCACAGTAGGGAAAGACATGGTGAAAGATGATTCAAAGAAACACCTGCTCTGCAGATGACTGAGGCTCCAGAGCTTGCAAAATTAGACCAAACACACTGTAAAGCTGCAGGCTGCTATTTTTAAGTAACCCTTGGAAGACTGGGACATGGCTAAGGGTCGGAAAGAAAAATCTAGGTCTACTTCACCAATTTGGGCATTTGGAAGGAAAGCATCTGCGGATAATTTTACAAGTTCTCTCAAAAGTGAAGGGCACTGAGACATTTTCGGAGACATACAAGCTACTTTTACCACTTTTGTTTGGTGTAAAAAAAAATTCTTAAAATCCAAAAATAAGCCGAAACATTCATTTTGATCTCTGAATGTTTTTGGATTCTCCTCTCTCTCGTATTATAATAATAAATGACCTCAGAATACACAGAATAGGCCTCATAACCATTTAGATTGCACACAGTAACTTGAGAATAATACAATAATCACTATTTTAGTAAACTATTTTCCACCTGGAATTTAAAAAATTATCTAACTTCTTGCTTCTGAACTCTTGATAGTTAAAAACATTACAGCTGTGTTTAATTTAGAGCAAGTTGCTAAAATGAATATAAAATCTGCTTACCTTGTATCAGTGCCTTTTTGACTGATTTTATAATTGGCTTACATTTGGGAAGAAAAAATGGCTTAAACTGCTCTTGCAGCTGCTGTGCTCGTATTGCTACTTGTGCTGTTAATAATTGCAGCACATCAGGAAAAAGTCAAGGGTCTAGAGCTCCTGTCTTTAGTGCTCACTGAGGTGGGCAGGCCATATGCATGGCTCAGTGAGAGGTAATTGTGTGCCATTCTCCACTGTGGAACCCTAGATTGACCCAAACATTACTATAAATTCAAGCACAGACTTGCTGACTCTAGTACCCTAACATTTACTCAGCGATATTCTCTACGACAATGTTGGAGACGACGGATATATTCAGTGACTGACCATGAAAACACAACATAAAGCTATCAAAGTTCCACCTCCGTCAATCCACAAAAGCAACAGAGATAGCATGAAAACTTTCTGCTAAAAACAACAAAAAAACAAAACAAAACAAAACAAACATGTATTAAAATTTTCACCAATTTTGTTAACTTAAAAATAATAAATAGAAGATTTTGAAAATAAAGTATTTTCTGTTGCAACTGAAAAGAGAATACCTATGCAGTAATGTTTTCCTAAGCTGATTTTTTACACTGGAGATCTTGATGTGGCAAAAGAATACCTGGATTCCACCAATGATAGTAATTTGATAAAAAGTGATCTCAGAAAATGAACTTATACCTAAACCCAAAATGAAGTTAAGACCATACAATTTGAACATCTGTGATGTGCTTAGTTTCTTTTTCATGCCTGGCAAAGATGGGGTTGGAGCTCGTTGTGCCATTTGTGACAGTGTGATAGAATATCAACTAACTTGTGATAAAATATCAAATCATTTATGTACAACAAAATTAATCCAGAAACAAGTTGATTGTGAACAAAGACATATTTGATGTTATTTTTTAATAATGTCTTACCTTGTTAAACTAAGAGTACTGTAGGGACATACAGTTTTATGTACTTTTGTATATTTAGAAAGATTTATGTTATTATGAATTGAAACAGATACATGCTAAAAATTAAAATAGTACAAAAGGAAATACAGTGAAATGTGAATCTCATGGGAACATACATTTCATATTTCCATGTCCATTGACCACATTCCCACATGTGTGTGTCTGTGTGTGTGTATCTTTGTATGTGTATGTAAGTAAGGGAGTGTCTCTCTTCACATAATTTCAGAAATAGGCAAGTAATTATTAGAAAAAGGAAAACATAGCTTTTAACACATGAAAACATATCCATCTAAGTAATAATCAGATGCAAAATAAAGGAAATTAACATTTTATCTATCAAATTAGATAATGTATACTCAATTGTTTAATAGCATTTAGCAAGAGGGTGGGGATCCAGCAACTCTTATAAATTATTGCAAGAGTTAATAATTTGGCATTACCTATTAATATTTTAAATATGTGCAATGTGACAAATTTTTATATATTTTTCTTATCGTACTACTTCATTTTCACACTGCTGATAAAAACATACTTGAGAATGGGCAATTTACAAAAGAAAGAGGTTTAATGAACTCACAGTTCCACATGGCTGAGGAGGCCTCACAATCATGGTGGAAAGTGAAAGGCACGTCTCACATGGCGGCAGACAAGGGAAGAGAATGAAAGCCAAGTGAAGTGGGTTTTCCCTTATAAAACTGTCAGATCTCGTGAGACCTACTCACTAGCATGATATTGGTATGGGGAAACCATCCCCATAATTCAATTACCTCCTTCTGGGTCCCTTCCACAGCACAAAGGAATTATGGGAGCTATAATTCAAGATGACATTTGAGTGGGGACACAGACAAACCATATTACTTATTGACTAGCAAGTGAGTTTTCTGTAAAATAAATTCATCATCCTCTTATGTTCCTGCATGTCAAATTTTTCAACTTATTGTTTGTCCTTTGACTCTGATTTTAGTATTGATTTTTCAGGTAATGTTAGAATTTTTATCACTTTATGTCATCAAATTAATTAGCTCATCTCCTTTAAGACTTCATAGATTTTTGTCTTGCCAGTTTTGTGTAAGGGTTTCCTTACACAAAGAACATAAAAAAGAAAGAAAGGCTTACTCCATTTTCTTTTTGTTATTTTATGTTTGTCTTTGTGTATTGGTTTCAAATTTTTGTTATCGCACATTAATCATAAAGTAGATAGAATAGTATGATAATCCTACATATAATTCTATAATGACTAACTTTTGTTGCATTTGCTTTATCTATTTTTTAATTAGACAGCTTAAAGTAGGTTAAAAATATCATGACATTTCACCTATCTTTTTTACCCAAACACTGCGGTATACATACCTAGAAAAAATCAGTCACTGATTTATTGAATTGTCAACCTTTTGGTATTGAATATTTCTTTCATGAAATATTAAAATAGAGTTTGAAATGGGTCCTAAAATAAAAATTAAAAGACACAAAATATATGTATATATAAACTTTTACAAACTATTATAAATATGAAGTCCTTGGAAACCAAAGCTACCTGTCTGTCACATACTTTTATTTTCTGACCTAGTTTAACAAAGACAGTTATATTATTTTAGAGAGATTAACTATTTTTCCACATTCAGATTGAACCTGGTTAATCAATTCTTTTGTATGATACAAGGAAAACTGCAGACATTCTGACTACACTTGTCTCTTTTCAATTAAGTTATATATTAATGGGGGAGACTTTAAAGCATTATCAGCAAATATTACCAACAGGATTGTCATGATCAGCCAAATTCATGATAATCAATGGAGGTGATTGATGGAGCCTCTTAAATAAAATTATGGCATTCAACAGAATAACATTATTTAACTCTGAAACAGCAGGAAAACACTGTGCAATTTGTAATACAGTATGGAAAAAGAATTTTTTCAGGTCTTAGAAAAAAATCTATTACAGTTGTTAATGATCCTAACATGGTCTTAAAAGAGCTAAAATAGAATTTAGATATATCAACTTTTAAAGTACTGATTATTTTTGTTTTCCAAAACTGAAGGTAGAACAATCTCCATTTATTTTAAACCAAATTTACCACACAATGAAATAGCGGCATTATGCTCATCTGAAAGTTTAGTAAATTGAACTTACAGCTTTTACCTAATATGTTCTGTTCTTTTGTCTCAATAGTCTCTCCATCCAGTCTTTTTTCAAAATTCATAGCTCTCGGGATGTTTTAAAATTATTTTGCCATGAAAGTTCTAACATTATCATTTTTCTATTACAAAAGCAAAACCTTCAGTGCATAACTTTTACCTTCTGATCATTACATTATATTTATTCTTTTGTATTCCGAAAAGTATTTTCACCAAAGAGAGGGTGAAAAGATAAAATTGTAAAGTGGAACAAAAATGTACACAAAACACATAAAATACAAAATAAAATTTTCACATATCATAGGTTAAATAAGAGACAAATCATTTTCGGCCTAAAGCAAAATGATGTGTCTCTTCATGAAAAAGATTTTATATCTCATTCAAAGGAAATAGGAAGAAAGCCCATTGACTGATAATGGTAAACATCATAAAGAGACATTTTGATAAGTCACTTTACCCTTCCCTCATTGAAAAGGATAGATAATGGTGTGTTTGTGATGTCAGAAAAAGACAAGGAACTATAGAAATGAGGGAATAACTAAATAATATATTATTCTTAAAGAATACTAATTATGCCACTTAGAGGCTGCCTAAATATTGTGATGTTGTGCTTTTTCAAACTTTTTTATTATATTTTAAATTGTCTTTATCTCAAACACAAAAATAATTGAGACAATATTAATGTCAACGTGTATTCAGCAAACACATACACACTCATACACAAACCCACACACACTCTGTACTTGTATGATTGGAAGTTAACTTGGACTTAAGAAAACTTCTGTTGCAGTGAGCTGAGATTGCGCCACTGCACTCCAGCCTGGGTGACAGAGTGAGATTCCGTCTCCAAAAAAAGAAAAACAAAAACAAAAACTTCTCCTAGAATCTATCAATCTGATATAGAGAATAATTCAATTTCTGTAGTTTCAGTAAGTTTGACAAGAAATTTACATTAAAACTAGAATATCTAGTTATAATGCTTCAAATATTAGCACAATTTTCAAAACATGTACATATATGCTGTCTCTTCTGCTTAAGAAGCAGGTAATATTTGAATCCAAATATTTTATTTTACATTAAAAATATAAATATTTCACTTCATAATAGTTTTTCAAAATATATTGTAAGTATTGTTGATAAAAATGAAGCAAATTAAACTGGTATTCTTATTGTAGAACTTCTCAGAACCTTCAATATTATACAGGCATACCTCAAAGATACCACAGGTTCAATTCCAAACCACCACAATAAAGAGAATATTACAATAAAGAGAGGCACACAAATCTTTTGGTTTCTGAGTGCATATAAAAGTTATGTTTATACTACACTCTAGTCTATTAAGTGTGTAATAGCATTATGTATTTTAAAAAGTACATATCCTAAATACAAATACTTTATTGCTAAATAGAATCATTTGAGCCTCCAAAGATTTATAATCCTTTTGCTGATGGAGAGTCTTGCCTTGAGCCTTGCCCGATTTCAATGGGTAAAATTGAAGTCAGTCCTCTCAGATCCTGCTGCTGCTTTATAAACTATGTTTATATAATATTCTAAATATGTTGTTGTCATTTCAACAACAACGGTCACAACTTTTTTTTTTTTTTTTTGGAGACAGAGTCTCGCTCTGTCACCCCGGCTGGAGTGCAGCGGCGCGATCTTAGCTCACTGCAAGCTCCGCCTCCCGGGTTCACGCCATTCTTCTGCCTCAGCCTCCCAAGTAGCTGGGACTACAGGCGCCCACCACAACGCCTGGCTAATTTTTTGTATTTTTAGTAGACACGGGGTTTCACCGTGTTAGCCAGGATGGTCTCGATCTCCTGACCTCTTGATCTGCCCTCCTCGGCCTCCCAAAGTGCTGGGATTACAGGCATGAGCCACCGCACCCGGCCACGTTCACAACTTCTTAACCAGGAGTAGATTTAATCTCCAGAAAGCATTTTCTTTGCTCATCTATAGGTAGCATCTCCTCATCATCTGTTCAGGATTTATCATGAAATTGCTGCAATTCAGTCACATCTTCAGGCTCCACTTAGAATTCTAGTTCTCTTGTAACCCCTACTGCACCTGCAATTCCTGCCTCCACTGAAGTCTTGAATCCCTCAACGTAATCCATGAGGGTTTAAATAAACTTCTTCCAAAATCCTGTTAATGTTGATATTTTGACAATCCTCTGTGAGTCATGAATGTTCCTAATGGCATCTAGAATGGGAAATCCTTTCCAGAAGGTTTTCAATTGACTTTGCCCAGATCCTTAAGAAGAATCTATGGCACCTCTAGCCTTACAAAATATGTGTCTTAAATAGTAAGACTTGAAAGTCAAACTTACACCTTGATCCATAGGTTGTAGAGTGTATGTTGTGGTAGCAGGCATGCAAGCAGCATGAATGTTATATATTTCCATCAGAGCTCTTGACTGACCAGGTATACTGTGAATCAGCAGTACTATTTTGAAATATATATATATATATATATTTTTTTTTTTTTTTCTGACCAATAGGTATCAACAACAGTGGGCTTAATCTATTCAGTAAACTGTCTTGTAAGTAGACGTATGGTCATCCAGGTTTTGTCGTTCCACGTATAGAGCACAGGAAGGGTAGATGTAGTATGATTCTTAAGAGATTTAGGATTTTCAGAATGGTAAATGAGCACTGGTTTCAACTTCAAGTCACATGGCTGCATTAGCCCCTAATAAGCAAGTCAGTCTCTCCTTTGAATCTTTGAAGCCAGGCACTGACTTTTCTCTCTAGCTATGGAAGTCCTAGATGGCATCTTCTTCCAATACAAGGCTGTTTCATCAACACTGAAACAAAGGCTTTTGTTGAATGTAACCACCTTCATCAATTATTTTAGGTAGAACTCCTGGATAATAATCCACTGCAGGTTTTTCTCTTTCTTATAATTCGTAGGTTCACTGAAGTAGCACATTTAATTTCCTTCAAGAACTTTTCTTTCGCATTCATAACTTGACTGTTTGGCACCAGTGGCCTAGCTCAGCTTTCGACATGCCTTTCTCACTAAGCTTAATCATTTCTAGGCTTTGATTTAAAGTGCATAAAACTCCTTCTTTCACTAAAACACTTAGGAATCATTGTAGGGTTATTAATTTGCCTAAAATAAATACTCCCCTGTCTCAGGCAATAGGGAGGCTTGAGGAGAGGGAGAGCGGTGGGGAATGGCCTGTTGGTGGAGCAATCAGAACACACACAGTATTTATCCATTTACTTCACCATCTTATGTGAGCACTGTTACGGTGCCCCCAAACAATCACAATAGTAACATCAAAGATTTCTGATCACAGAACTTCATAACGAACACAATAAGAATGAAAAAGTGTGAAGTATTTTGAGAATTACCAAAGTGTGACACAAAGAAGAGGTAAACATATGCTGTTGATAAAAGGGCATTGATAGACTTCCTTGATGCAGGGTTGCTACAAATCTCTAATTTGTAAAAAAATGCAATATCTAGGAAGTTTAATAAAGTGCAATAAAAAAGTGTATGTCTGTAATGTCTATTATCAATTTGCAAAAGGGCAGTATGATATACCCCATTCTAAGCATAATGACAAGATAATTTCTTTGCTCCAAAAGGGACTTGCAGAAATGTTTTACAGACACTGAGATTTCTTTTGAAAAATTTCCGATCAATCTATTCTAGAAATTTCAGCAAGTATTTTTTAATAAACATGACTGTATTATAATTTATTTAAAACTTACAACTGTGATTTAATACAGATGGGGCCCTGAGAAGAGTTCCTCGCATACAGTGAGTATTCAATAAGAGGCATATTTATTTTTCTAGTTTTTATTTTATTATTATTATGTGTGTTCATTCTTACTAAGTTAATGAAACCATTTAGAAAGCTTCTAACGCACAATAAAAATAAATGAGAACCTCAGAAAACACTACTTCACTCAAGTGTTATCAGAGATGCTTCTCAGGATGCAGAAGTGAAATTTTTTATGGTCACGAGTTTTTTAGTGTCAATATATGTTAAGATTATCTGACCCATGACAACAAATTATGTATTTACCTTTAATAACACAGGCATTTGGTGGTGATTTTTAATTGTTTACTTTCAATGGCACATCTGCAAACTAATTAGCTGCTAATAAATATACTATTCAGGAAAATGAATGAGAGGCAGGAAGTGAAAAAATAAACCCATGTTTTTGGTTTAATGTCCATCTGGTAGGTCAGTGCTTCCCAAAGTTGAATGTACGTAATGATCCCCTGGGGTCTCTTAAAAACACAGCTTCCTAGGTCTCCAGAGATTCTGAATTAGTATGTTTGACACTGGATCATAGAACTAATTTTTTCAAAAGGCCCCACATCATTCTAAAATTTTTAACCCATGGGCCATATTTTGCCTGACATTATAATAATTATTATGTTAGGAAGAATTCACAAACTTGGCTGATTACTTTTTTCTTCTACTGAGATAAAAGTTCAGCATTTATGCATTGTCCAGTATTGAAGTGTGCCCCTAGCCTGTAGGCAAAATGCACCCTCTGTGACTAACTGAGGCACTCAAGGTTAAAACAGAACCAGGCGGTTGTAGCCGTGTGAATGAGCAGTCACATACTCTATGTTCTTGAAAAGACGTTGTAAAAGTACGAAAGGATCTCCGTTTCTACAATCAAGCCAAACCAGTTCCTGTTGGTGTTGAAATACATTGCAGCTGGAAATTCTCTAACTGACACCAACAAACCACCTGAGGTCAGCCAATAAATAGAGACCTGTGATGTTTTGCTTAAAGGTCATCCAATCTGGGCCCTGCACCCACGCCCTCACCCCTCCTCAGAGCTCACTTTCATTTGACACTGAAGGCTGCATCTCCTCAATCTGCAGATTGCTTTTAGAAAATAAACTTTTTTCCTCTGCAAATCTCACTGGTCTTTTGTTAACAACAGGAACAGAAAATAACTCGATTCTATTTTAATCATAACAGAGACTAAAAAACTGAAAACAATTTACCATAAGTATGTCATATTATTTACTGACAGCCAATATGCTCTAGCAGAGAGTTAGTAGCATCTTTTTCTCATTCATTAAAAAATTCATGGCTGACACTCTTTTATCAAAAGACAGGTTAACAAGAGAAAAACATAACAAATCTATTTTGTAAACATTGTATGTAACATGGGAGCCTTTAGAAATGAAGGCCCAAAGACCATGGGAAAACTTTGCATTTTTATGTTGTTTGGTGAAAGAAGTGGATCCTTGTGAGGAAAGATGACTGGACAAAAGGGGTATGATCTAATGATAATACATTGGCAGGAACTAAGCAAGACGTTTTTGTTCAGACTTTTTTCTGTTGCTCTGTATGATATTCCTTATCCCAGCTTTGAGGCAGGACATCTGTCACATGAGGGTCTTCAAGGAACAGGAAGAGCTCAGAGAGTGACTTTCTTAGGTTTTATGGCTTTCTGGGGTTCAGGAGGATCTAGTCTCTATGACTTGCTTCAGGGAAGAAAAGGGGGCAGGAGAAAGGAAGACAGAAAAAGATCTGAGAAAAAGTCTTGCTTCTGTGGTTTTCTTAATTCTCTAAAGCTTAAAATACTCAGTATGAGAAGGTGCTATATTTTGGGGGGTGGTGTTTCCTGAATTCCATCAATGCTGAGACGTTAAGGGCCAAAGAAATGCAGGCTATTTTTCCCCCTGCAAGTATGCCATTCAAGAAAACTAAAGTTTGAAGGGTTTAACTTGTGTTTCCAAAATCTCGTTATTATTCATTTTCACATATGTTTACACATATTTATTTAACAGATAGTAGATATAAGATGTTGTGTTTCATGCTGGGGTACAAAGATGCAAATGAGAAATTTCTACCTTCCAATTAATTATAGTGAAAATTGACTCTAAATTCCAGGTCTGCCCTAGTAGTATAGTACTCTGAGGTCCAGTGAGCTAATCGGTAGGGTGACTAATGACCATTTTCTGACTAATGAACATTTAATAAGTGAATCTATATTTGCTTGTATGCCCATTTTGATTTCTCACCTTTAATAAACTATTCTTAGGTTTTCATTCTTATCAAAATATTGGTATCAATTTAAGGTTTTTTTTTTTATGTTACATTTTAGTATTCCTCAGTGGTATTGGGAGAACCTGCCTTAGAGGCATTAAAGTGCCCTTTTCTCTAACTAAGGAACAAAAGCAGACCTTGATTTCACCAGGTAATTGTGTTATGTTACCTGCCTTTCACTAAGGCATTATAGGCCTAATCTTTGTCTTTTGAATTAGAAATTGGTATTTAAAAGAGAGCTATTTACTTCTAAGGAACAGGAAATTCTGTGGAAAATAGATTGCTGCAACATTATTGTAATCTCATATATGTCAGCTGTACAAATTAAATTCACATATCTTGACATTTTATATATGCATTGTTAGTTTCCAGAAAGACAAAAATAAAGGGACAGAAAATCACTACAATAGAAGTGATTTCAATATTAGCAATATATGTTGCACAATGGTTCAATATGAGCTAGAGTTATTTATGGAGCTTTTCCTTTCAACTTCATAGGTGTACTTTGCAGCAAACTTTTGTGCAATTATTATGATTCTGATATGTAATTAGAGGTAGTAAAAACATATATACATGTACCTATGTATACGTATGTACATATACATACGTGTGTGTGTATTTGTAAGCCCTTAGAGTTTATTCATATAAGATTGTTTTCTTCATCCCTTAACCATTCCTCACAGTATCCTTACTTACACTGGGTAAGAAAGTGTACCAAAAAACAAAAAATAGCAGCATAAGAAAATCACTTACTTGATTAGAGTCATTCAATTCTTTTTCAGGAATGTATTTGATTTGACATACCTAACAAACCAAACACAATTTCTAATCTTTGTGTTTCCAAAAGGCTTTATGAGTTTTCAAATTTACTGTTCAATAACATACAGTTTCTATAGAGACTGTATAAGAAAATACAGCATTTGTGTTATAGCACTTGAAGAAAGAGAAATGCTCTATAGTAACTCAAATACATTTTTAAAATTAGATAATAACCTGTCTTTCAGTGAGTAGTATACAATGTTATACACACAAATGGTACTTCACATAGTCTATCCTGCAGAATGATTTTTATCTATACTTATATTTATATACCAGTTAATTTTCAAAGATGTTAGCTAGATACAAAATGTACACCTAGTGGCAAATTGTATTACTTAATAAGTGACTTCTCTTCTTGGTCAAAAGTCTCTGTTACTATTATTTTATTAATCAATTGACTTATAAGCACCTACTACATGTAGGAGAACTTACGAATATACATGAAAAGAATGAAAGGCAAGTTACCAATCATTTAATTACCTTTTGAATAAGTAGTTCTAGTACAAAATCATAATGATGGTAAAATGATAGTGCTTACAGTAATCTATAGATTTGTTCAATATAATGGGAGGGGCCCGGCGCGGTGGCTCACGCCTGTACACCAGAACTTTGGGAGGGTGTACTAGGTCAGAAGATGGAGATCATCCTGGCTAACACGGTGAAACCTCATCTCTACTAAAAATACAAAAAATTAGCCAGGCGTGGTGGTGGGCGCCGGTAGTCCCAGCTACTCGGGAGGCTGAGGCAGGAGAATGGCGTGAACCCGGGAGGCAGAGCTTGCAGTGAGCCCAGATTGCGCCACTGGACTCCAGCCTGGGCGACAGAGCGAGACTCTGTCTCAAACAAATAAAATAAAAATAAAAAATAAAATATAATGGGAGGAAGAGGGTCAAAGTAGATAAGTTTATAGAAAGAAAACAATTATATATAAATTATAAACTTCACAGAGGAATCAAAAATTTGGATATACTTTAATATGTTTGACTTTTTAAAAATAAACTTTACTTTTTAATTTTTCTATGTTTTTGTTTATAGAAAAGTTAGGAGGATAGTATACAGTTTCTGTAAGGACTTTTAATGAACCAATATTGACATTAACTAAAGTTTACACTTTATTCAGTTTTATTTAGTTTTTATTTAATATCATTTTTGTCTTCTAGAATCCTATTCAATTATCACATTAAATTTAGTTGTCATGTCTCTTTACTTCCCTCCTGGCCATGACATTTTCTTAGATTTTCCATATTTTTTATGATGTTGACAGTTTTGAGGAGTATTAATCAGGCATTTTATAGAATGTTCCTCTGTTGAGATTTGTTTTCTTTCATGATTTGGTTGAGGTTATACATTTGGGAGAAAGATCACAGATGTCAAGTGCAATTGTCATCACGTCATATGAGGGACACACACTATCAATCAACATGACTTAACACTGTTGAAGTTGACTCCATCACTTGGCTGAGGTAGTGTTTGTGAGGTCTCTCAACTATAAAGTTATTGTTTTCACCTTTTATTCATAGTACTGTAGTCTTTGAAAGAGTCATTATGAGGAGGCTGTACTCACGGAGTGAGGAGTTTTTCTTAAGAGCAGAGTATCTATATACATTACTTGAAATTCTTCATGCAGGAGATGTGACTCTTTCCCCCTCCTCCATTCTTTTTTACTTGTTCATTTATTTATATCTGTATGGAATCATGAATATTTATTGTATGTTTTGTGTTATAATCCAAGTACTTTATTTCCTTACTTTTTTGTTGTTGTTGTTCAAATCATTCCAGATTTGGCTATTGTGAGGGTTTTTTTGTTTGTTTTTTTTTGTATTTTTTTTTTGAGTACCTCTTAACTTTCTAGCACTACAATATACACCAGGCTCATCTTTTATATTTCTTGTCCCAGTTTTGAATCAACTAGTTCTTTTAATTAGAGAACGGTATTAGAAATTAAAATCTGAGTGCTAGGTGTGCTTATTGCTACTGGGGTGTTGTTGCTTTTAGGTCTGTTGCTTTTATGTCTTAGGTTGTGACAGAGCAAGGACATATATGTGTTTATTATAATATATGCATAAATACACATATAAATATTTCCATATGTAATCATCTGCATATATATCAAGTTAAACAGGAACTCATACTGATATCTTCAATTCTAATCCATTACTACATAGATCATTCTAGCTTTCTCCTTTTGCTTACCTGTGAACTCACACTTCAAAAGTGAAAAACAAACTTGGCTCCTGTCATTCACCATAAACTTAATTTTGTAATTCCAGTATACATGTGATGTAGTAACAGAATGGTTATCCTATACCTCCTTGGGAAACAATTTTACCAACTAGAGTTCAGTATGTATGTACATTTTCCTTTACCTTTAGTCCTACAGACTTCAGTCATTTCCAAGGTTAGTTAGTACAGGACCTTTCCTCTCCACCCTCTTCAGTAAGGTTGTTTTAAACATTTTAATATAATTAAAATATTTTAACACAGTATAAATCCCATTCTGGGATCTCTCGGCCTCCTACATATTATTTTAAAGTTGTCATATGTTAAGGGTCACTCTTTGTGCTTTAAAGTTCTATGAGTTTGACAAATGGATGGTGTTATTTGTCCTGTGGTACCATACAGAATAAATTCATCCCCTAAAAAAATCCTCTGTGCTTCACCTATTTAACTCTGTCCCTCTCTCTTTGGGTACCTCATAACCACTGAATATTTTACTGACTCTATAGGTTTTCCTTCCCCAAGATGTTATATAACTGCAATTATATAATATGTAGACTTTTGACCAGTTACTTTCAATTACCAATACATGTTTAAGGTTCTTTTATGTCTTTTCATGGCCTAGTAATTTCTTTTTATTACTAAATAATATTCTATTATATAGTTGTACCACAGTTTTTAAAAAATTATTTCACTTATTGAAAGCCATTTAGGTTCTTTTCATATTATGGTGATTATGAATAAATCTGCTATAAACAACTATATACAAGTTTTTATATGGACATAAGTTTTCAAATCAGTTGGGGAAATGCCTAGGTTTATGACACCTGTGTTGTAAGGTAAGCTTATGTTTAGCTTTGTAAGAAATTGTGAAAGTGTATTTTAAAGTAGCTGTACTACATACCTACTAGTATACTTTTTAGGTCTATCTTAATTAGCAATAACCTAATGACAACTTAGGGTTAACCATCTTTTCACATATTTTTTTTTTTTTTTGAGACGGAGTCTCACTGTCACCAAGCCTGGAGTGCAGTCATGTGATCTCTGCTCGCTCCAACCTCCACCTCCTGGGTTCAAGTGATTCTCCTGCCTCAGCCTCCTGAGTAGCTGGGATTACAGGTGTGCACCACCACACCCGGCTATTTTTTGTATTTGTAGTAGAGACAGGTTTTCGCCATGTTAGCCAGGCTGGTCTCGAACTCCCAATCTCAAGTGATCTGCCCACCTCAGCCTCCCAAAGTGCTGGGGTTACAGGTGTGAGCCACCACGCCTGGCCCTTTTCATGTTTATTTGCCAAATGTACTAACTTTTAAAAAATTTAATGCAAGTTCTTAAACAAATTTCTGTAATAATATCTGTATCCTGGCATTTTCCTTTTTAATAAGTGCTGAATAATCAGAAAGATGAAAGTATCATATGGAGATAGGATGATATAACATTGGACTAAGTTTAGCATTCTTTTTAGTCTTTGTCTTCACCATTGTAAATCAAGAATAACAACAATAAACCCCTTTATGCAACTGGTGCATGTATAGACAAAGGAAAGAAGAAAAAGGAGGAGGAGAAGGAAAATGAAGAAAAGGAAGAAAAGGAGGGCAGGAGAAAAGGGGCAATAGAAAGAGAAGCTAAAAGGAATCAAAAGGGAGCCAACTTTTTTTTTAATTGTGAGAAAATATATGTAAATAAAATACTATAAATATATAGCATTCCTTAAGTGAAACTCCATATATAATGCCACTCAGAAGTAGTAAAGAGAAATGAGATTTGTATTAGGTACTTGAGTGTCATTAATTAGTCGACAAAAATGTAGCAGTATTTTTCATCTAAGTAGCTACTCAAGTTTTCTTCCTTTTTCAGAGAAAGTTGTAAATGGTTCAAGACTCAAGATTGCAGTGGTGGAAGAGGAGGAAGGGAATATAGAAATGGAATGAGTACAATGTACACATTAATGAGCACCTTGGAATAGTACACACTCAATTCATACTTGTTGAACTATATTGAAATAAACAGATCATAACAGGGAAGAGTTTTGGGACTAGAGATACAATTTTCTAGCTTCATAGAAGATGAGGAGAAGGAATAAGAAAATAGGTGGTGCTATAGAGACCTCAGGATAAAAAGGAGGGACAGGCCCTGTGAATGCAATAGCATATTTTTTGTTTGCCAATCTCTTTTTTACTTTGTGTGTGTGTCGGAGTCTGGCTTTGTCATCCAGGCTGATGTACAGTAGCTCACTGCAACCTCTGCCTCCTGGGCTAAAGCCAACCTCCCAACTCACCTTCCCAAATAGCTGGGCCTACAGGTGCATGCCACCTGTAATTTTTATAGAGACAGGGTCTCCCTATGTTGCCCAGGATGGTCTTGAACTCCTGAGCTCAAGCAATCCACTGCCTTGGTTTCCCAAAGTGTTAGGATTACAGGTGTGAGTCACCGGGCTAGTCTGCCAATTTTTAAAAATTATTTTTAAGTTCCAGGGTACACGTGCGGGACGTGCAGGTTTGTTGCATAGGTAAACGTGTCATGGCGTGGTTTCCTGCATCTATGAATCCATCACCTAGGTGTTAAGCCCAGCATGCATTAGCTATCTTTCCTAATTCTCTCCCTCCCCCAACCCCACCCCGACAGGTCCCAGTGTGTGGTGTTCCCCTCCCTGTGTCCATGGGTTCTCATTGTTCAGCTCCCACTTATGAGTGAGAACATGTGGTGCTTGGTTTTCTGTTCCTGCATTAGTTTGCTGAGGATAATGGCTTCCAGCTCCATTTATGTCCCTGCAAAGGAAATGATCTCATTCCTTTTTATGGCTGCATAGTATATGTGTGTATATGTACTACATTTTCTTTATCCTGTCTATCATTCATGGGCATATGTTATTCACAATAACAAAGATTCCATGTCTTTGTTATTGTGAATAGTGCTGCAATGAACATATGCGTGCATATATTCTTATAATAGAATGCCTTATATTCCTTTGGGTATATAGCCAGTAATGGGATTGGTGGGTCAAATGGTATTTCTGGTTCTAGATCTTTGAGGAATCCCCACACTGTTCCACACTGGTTGAACTAATTTACATTCCCACCAAGAGTGTAAAAGCATTCCTATTTCTCCACAACTTTACGAGCATCTGTTAATTCTCGACTTTTAAATAATCACCGTTCTGACTGGCATGAGATGGTATCTCATTGTGGTTTTGATTTGCATTTCTCTGATGATCAGTGATGCTGAGCTTTTTTTCCATATATTTTTTGGCCGCACAAATGTCTTTTTTTGAGAAGTGTCTGTGTGTCTGTTCATGTCCTTTGCCCACTTTTTAGTGTTTTTTTTTTTCTTGTAAATTTGTTTAAGTTCCTTGTAGATTCTGGATATTAGACCTTTGTCAGATGGATAGATTGCAAAAATTTTCTCCTAATTTGTAGGTTGCCTGTTCATTTTGATGAAAGTTTCTTTTGCTGTGCAGAAGCTCTTTTGTTTAATTAGATCTCATTTGTCAATTTTTGCTTTAGTTGCGAGTGCTTTTGGTGATTTTGTCATGAAATCTTTGCCTGTGCTTATGTCCTGAATGGTATTGCTTAAATTTTCTTCTAGAGTTTTTATAGTTTTGGGTTTTACATTTAAGTCTTTAATCTATCTTAATTCTTGTATAAGGTGTAAGAAAGTGGTCCAGTTTCAATTTTCTGCATATGGCTAGCCAGTTCTCCCAACACCTCTTATTAAAAAGGCAATCTTTTCCTCATTGATGTTGTCATCCATTTTGTCAAAGGTCAGATGTTTGTAGATGTGCTATCTTATTTCTGAGTTCTCTATTCTGTTCCATTGGTCTATATGTCTGTTTTTGTACCAGCACCATGCTGTTTTGGTTACTGTAGCCTTGTAGTATAGTTTGAAGTTGGGTAGGTGATGCTTCCAGCTTTGTTCTTTTTCCTTTTCTTAGGATTGTCTTGGCTATATGAGCTCTTTTTCATTCCATATGAATTGTAAAATAGTTTCTTCTAATTCTGTGAAGAATGTCAGTGGTAGTTTAATGGGAATAGCATTGAATCTACAAATTACTTTGGGCAGTATTTGCCATTATCTTATGAGTAATTTAGATTAAAAAGTAGCAGGCAAAGGAAAAGGTGTTTTTTTTTCCTTTTGTTTATTTTAGGTAGAAAGACAATAAACGAACATGTTGAAAAATAGGAAGTCAGTAAATCAGCAAATGTAGAGATTCTCAGCTTCTGCATATTAAGATTACACATATAATGTAATTCTATAGATTGACACCTGTAGAAATATCTCCTAAGAGTCACTTCTGAATGCATTTAAGTACTTGGGTTTAGGTGTAGTGACAATATTGAAAAATGGAAAATAACTAGACTGTGAGCTCAAATTATTGAATTTATTCAATGCTTAATAGCCTAAAAACCTTGAATAAATCTCAGAATATTTGAGTTTCATATTTAGAATTGAAATAACAACATTTCATAGGGTTAACATAAGGATCAAAGGAAGTAATTTATAAGTGAAAATTTATAAGTTATTGTATGTATTTATATAAAAAGGGGCAATATTAAAATTGAATAATTTTTCTTGGCTCTCAATATATCTGATATTTCAGGTTTGTATGACTCAGGTCATACAAACTCATAAACACATATGAATTATTCTTTTTAGCTATCATACATAATTCACCATTTTCTTCCACTTTGTTCCATGTTATTTGTTGATGCGGTATCAGCTGTCTTCAGTGTTGACAGTAACAACACTTCTTCCTCCAGCATTTGCTAGACTTTACTAGTGAAAAATCATCTGGTCTTGGAGCTTTCTTTTGTGGAAGAGTATTACTTTTGTTTTAATTTCTTTAATAAATATGATCTTATTCAGGTTATTTTTTCATGTGTGAGTTTTCATAGTTTGAACATTCCTACGAGTTAGCTCATTTTATCTGTTTCCAAATTTGTGGGCAAAGAGGTGTTCATATTGTTACTTACCCACTTAATGACAATTAAATCAGTAACAACGACCAGTCTTTCATTTCTAATATGAGTAATTAGTGTATTCTCTATTTTATTCTTGGCTATCTTGGCTAGAATTTATCAGTTTTATTAATCTTTAAGGATAACCAGCTTTAAATTTTGTAGTATTTTGATTTTGCATTTCATACTTCAATAGTAATGTGTTTTTTACTTTAATCAACTTTATTATCAAATATATACAATAAAAGGCAAATATGTACACCTAGGTGACTAGCCCCACAATAAAGTCATAAAATATTTCCAGTGCCCGGAAAGTTCCTTTGTGCCCTTTCTTAGAAAAACATCATCCCTTCTCCTAGAGAATACGTGCTTCAAGTTAGCCATTGATCTGTTTTACCATCATCACTTAGATTTGTTTTTTCTAGAGTTTCACAAACATTGAAACTTGCAGAATATAATCTTTATACCTGGCATCTTACACTTAGCATATCTGATATTCATTCATGCTGCATAAACAATAGTTCATTGCTTTTTATTGCTGAGTCGTATACAATTGTACAGATATACTCACAATTTGTTTACTCATTCACCAGTTGATGGTCATTTAGGTTGTTTCTACTTTGGAGCTATGAATAAATATATGAATATTAGCATACAAGTCCTTACACAGCTATTTATTTTAATTTCTCATGGGTAAATTATTAAGAGTTGAATTTCTGGGTTTTATGGCAAATGTATGCAACTCTATAAGAAACTCTAAAGCTGTTTATTTTCCAAAGTAATTGTTAACATTTTATATTCCCATCAGTAATATATGAATGTTGTGGTTACTCTAAATCCTTCACTGTGTATTTTAAACTTTTAACATTTAGATATTTTGTTGAATGTGTAGTGATATCTTATTGTGAATTTAATATGTGTTTTATTGATGACTAATGATGTTGAACATCTTTTCATATGCTGATCAGCTAGCTATTCTTATATCATTTTGTGTAAAGTATCTATTCATGTCTCTTTTCATTTGGGAGTGTTTGTCTTCTTCCTTTTGATATGCTAGTTTTTGTTAGATGTAGAGATATAAAGATTTAGAGAGATATAGATGATAGATAACAGAAAGATGCAATTTCTCTGTCAAATACACACAGGGAAATATTTTCTCCCAGTTTATGGTTTGATATTTTTCTAATGCTATCTTTCAGAGATCGTAAGTTTTATTATCATTATTATATTATTGGTAATGATTTTATATGTTCAAAGTAAAAGATGTCTTACATCCAATTTGGAAATATCCTCTTCTATGTGTTCTTTTAGAAATTGAAGAGTTTTAGTTTTAACTTAGGTTATGATTCATTCCAAATTAATGTTTGAATATGTGACAAAGATTGAAGTTTGTTTTTTGCATACATGGATAGGGACTTGTTCCAGCATCATTTGTTGAATAGGAAATCCTTTTGAGAGAGGAGATAGGAAAAAATCCAGTCAGGCAGGCAGGCGTGCACACACACACACACACACACATACACACACACACACACACACACAATGCTTTCATTTTGTAAAGGATTTATGACCATGTTCATGAGAGATATGTTTTCTTACAGTATCTTTAGTTCATTTAATTATTAGAGTTATGCTAGCTTCATTTTACAAAAATGAGTTGGAAACTATTCTTGCTTCTTCTATTTTTGGAAAATGTTTGTGCATGATTGAAGTTACTATTTTTGGTTTGTTTTAAATGTCTGAGAGAATTCTCCAGTGGAGCTGTCTGAATTTTGGGTTTTCTCTGGGAAAAGGCTTTTAATTATGAATTTTACATAAAAAATAGATGCAGATCTAATTAAGTATTCTATTTCTTGAAAAGTTTTTGAAGAGTGAGTAGATTTCATTTTCTCATTTTTGACTTTCAAAATATTTGTTCCTTCAATCTAATTTTTCAGATACATTTGCATATAATTTATCATAATATTCTTTTTAAAGTTTTCATAATCTATAGTGATATATACTCTTTTATTCATGAAATTGTTATAATCTGTCTTCTCATTCTTGGTCATCCTATCTAAAAGATTATATATTTTACTGATATTTTTAATAAAAATGAGCTTTTGGTTTAATTGATTATTCTCTTGTTTTTCCACTGTCTATTATATTATTTTGTACTCCCACCTTTATTATTTCCTTTTGTTACCTATTTGGGTTTAATTTTCTTTTTGTAGCTACTAAAGGTAGAAACTTAGACCACTAATTTAAATCTTTCTTCTTTATCTTGGAAAACATCTAAAGCTGCAAGTTCTTACTGTGTATTGCTTTAACTATACTCACACATTTTGATCCATTGTGTTGTCACTATTTTTTAGTTCAAAATATTTTCTGAGTCGGTGATTTCCTGTTTTAGAAGTACATGTGTGAGTGTGTGTGTGTGTGTGTGTGTGCGTGTGTGTCTTTAAGTTTCAAATATTTGGAGCATTTCCAGATATTTTTGTTATTTATTTCTAAATCAGATCTGTTGTGACCTGTAAATTTTCTATATAATTCCAATCATTTTAATTTTTTTCAGACCTGCTCAATTTATTATTTGGAATTTCTGTGAGTTTTCCTGATGGGCGTTTAAGAGCTCTTTATTTTGGAAGTAGTTTCTCTTACTGAATAGATGCAGAGTGTTGCTGAGTAATGTTATTAGATTTCTGCACCTGGACATCTTTCTTTTCAATCAAACTGCTCATCTTTAGGGACATGGAACTGTTCAGTGTGCCAATAGCAAAATTCATTTCTAAAAATTTGATCCTGTGTTACTGTGAAAAAAATTATTGCTTTCTGATTTTATCACAAAGAACATTTTTATTCTTTTTATCAACTAATAAAATGAACTGAAATTGAACCACCTAAGTCACTTTGCATTAATACAAGTTATCCACTTTTGATCATGTGTAATTCACAGTGGGAGCAAGGTCAAATCTCTCATTTAGTTGTAGTCTTGAACCCCTGTAAGCATCTCATAAATTGTTAGCTAGCACTAGCTTTGGATTCTGCTCAGAACATTGAAAGTATTTACACCTGGGCTAGTAAATTTCCTCTGATGCTATTTCCACTCACACAGTAAGTAATTTTAAATTCTTTTCCAAACTTTGAGAAACAATTGTTTATACTGAACAATAGTTGAAAGTCTTCCTTTTTCTTATTTTTTCTTCGATGACTTCAACATTTATCTTAATCCCTAAACTATTAAAATTATGGGACTTTTCATGACATATTCCTAATGTGGAGATTATCTTAGATAAATATTATCGAGGTCTATCTCCCACTCTTGATACTTTCCACTAAGATTTCCATTTGTTCTCTGCCTTTTAAATTATATATATCTATATACCTTGATTTTCAATGAATTTGTTCATCATTTTAGTCATAGACATCTTCACAAATAACTATATATACATTCAAGCATGAGAATTTCGTGACAGTACTTTCTTGCGTATCTCTCCAGCATCTCTTTTTTATTTAAAAGACCTTTTTTCCTCACTGCTAAGAATTTTTTGGTAAAATTTCTACACTTGATTCTAATGTAATCTTTATCCCCTCAAGTTATTCCATGAATCAAAATTTAGATGATACTATAAACTTAATTTCAACATTAGATATTAAGATACCCATGGTACAAAGTAATTAACCTGAATGTGACAACAGCTAAATTCAGAACAGAGATGTGGCACATATCACACACAATTCCCTCTAAAAATGAAACGAAGAAAAAGGAAAAAGAAATGAAGTTGAACTTTTAATCACTTGGATAAAGGGAAAGATTCTTATAGGATCAAATAGGACCTATTTGCCAAAATCCTGATCCATACTTATGTGAATATTTTAGGGTAACAACTTCTATGAGTAATACATATTGAAAAATGCAAGCATGGGAGAATGAAGACCTTCATTCCAAAAGAGTATTTTTGGTTATTCTTAGGGAGTAAATTCTCAATTATTTTTCAGACAGCTGCTTGCTGACTGGAATCATGTTAACTCTATAAGAAATTTTAAGTTAATATATTTCTCTGGCTGGAAAAGTTTTCAGTTTTGAAACAAGAACACAAAATTTCTTCTGCAAAATAACCTTGAAGTCCAAAGAGAAGTTAGTACATAAGTGATGATGGTACAAGTGTGGGGATGGACAACCCTATTCATCACTATGACATATAGGTAAGAGCAGAGGTCATGCTATCCTTTTGAAAGGTTTTATTTACATATATTTAATGAGGTTCTCTCTTTTCAACTCAGGATTGAACAATGGATTTTAAGTAGAATAAAGGGAAAAACATGTTTTTTAAAACTAACACGTTTTTCTTACGTACAGTGCAACATACATAAAAATTTTAGGATTCTGTAGGTAGTTCCATATTTATTTGTAAATTAAATTATTTATAACATTTTTTCTTAAAATTAATAAATTTTTATTTGTACCAGAACATTTTTAGATATTTTATATATAACTTGCTTTCTGTTAAAGTAATATTTTCCTAATGTTGTCTTCTTGTTTCTTTTTTTTTTTTTTTTCCTGAGACAAAGTCTCTCTCTGTTGCTCAGGCTGGAGTGCAATGGTATAATCTCGGCTTGCTGAAACCTCTGCCTCCCAGGTTCAGGGATTCTCCTGCCTCAGCCTCCTGAGCAGCTGGGATTACAGGCGCACAGTACCCCACCTGGCTAATTTTTGTATTTTTACTAGAGATGGGGTTTCACCATGTTGGCCAGGCTGGTCTTGAACTCCTGACCTCAAGCAATCTGCCTGTCTTGGCCTCCCAAAGTGCTGGGATTACAGGAGTGAGCCACCATGCCTGGTCTTCTTTCTTGAGATAGATGTTTTCTGTAAGATGATTATTTTCTGTAAGATGATTTTTTGTGTAACATTATTTTCTATAAGATGATTATTTTTAGTCTTAGCTACTCCCATCAATTATGAGTTCTATTCACTGCAGAGGCCAATGAAACATCAACATTAAACACTCATTTAAACAATTATACTGAAAACTTATTTTATTCTCACCACAATACCTATCTAGCAAA
Organism: Homo sapiens; assembly: GCF_000001405.40. NCBI lineage: Eukaryota > Metazoa > Chordata > Mammalia > Primates > Hominidae > Homo > Homo sapiens. Next base: position 106,587,452 of record NC_000005.10, on the reverse strand, counting down.
ATGGATACTTTTTTTTGCTCCAAATATGTAGGCTTACATTATTTCTCCAGTGTTCAGAATACCTGAAACAATAATAGCACTGTACTTGAAATAGTAATCTCCATTCTCCTCTAAGGAGTTATATATTTAAATTTGATGTTTCATAGCGGTGGCAATGTTCTAGGAAAGGGGTCCCAATCCAGACTCCAAGAGAGGGTTCTTGTCTCCACGAAAGGGTTCTTGAATTTTGTGTGAGAAAGAATTCAGGGTGAGTCCACAGTGCAAAGTGAAAGCAAGTTTATCAAGAAAGTAAAGGAATAAAAGAAATGGCTACTCCATAGACAGGCCCTGGGGGCTGGTGGTTGCACATTTTTATAGTTATTTCTTGATGGTATGCTAAACAAGGGGTAGATTATTCATGTCTCTTCTTTTCAGACCATACAGAGTAGCTTCTTGACATTGCCATGGCATTTGTAAACTGTCATGGCAGTGGTGTGATTGTAGCAGTGAGGACAACCAGGGGTCACTCTCATCGCCATCTTCGTTTTCATGGGTTTTGGCTGGCTTCTTTACTGCAAACTGTTTTATCAGCAAGGTCTTTATGACCTGTATTTTGTGTTGATCTCCTATCTCATCCTGTGACTTAGAATGCTCGAACTGTCTGGGAATGCAGTCCAGTAGGTTTCAGCCTCATTTTACCCAGCTCCTATTTAAGACAGAGTTGCTCTGGTTCACACGCCTCTGACAGCAACAGTACACTTAACTATAGATTACTATTTTGTTCTGTCTAGTGTGTGTTTGTTGTTTTTTTAAAATTGTCATTACCTGTCAATAGTTTAAAATTTGGATATTTAACATATAATCCAGCTAATTCTCATAACATTGTGATATCTACTACCTTTGTGTCCACTTTCCTTCTTAATCCACTCAAGTTGAGTATTTGTTTCCCGCTTAGGACATGTGTATTGTCCTTCACATACTCAGGATATTGCTTCCACTTGTTATTGACTGACTCACATGGACATATAAGTTTATGATCTTTGACCTGAAACCTGTCTTTTCTTCATTAAATTCCAGTCTAGCTTCTAGTTGCTCTTGTAAGACTTCCTGACCACATCTATAGCTTGGCATTCATTTCTATTTCTGTCTGCCTACTTCTCTTTTTATTTAAAAGGCTAATTTGGAACCTAGCATTAAACATGATATAGTTTAGCTAAATCTCCAATATCCCCAGTGGATTATAAATGCATTAGGAAAAGGGACCATATTTTGCAACTGTCCATATGATTGGCCCTTTAGTATAATGCCCTAAATATGTAATGATTTGTATAAGTGAGTCTTTTATCCTACCCATGCCTTAGTATCTAAGGAGGCACTTAGGATTTTTCAAACAGAAATTCATTTAAAATTTAATTTATATTACACAGGTCTGGGTGCTTCAGGTATACGTCTTTCTCTCCAACATATTATGGCACTGTTTTCAGAAATCTGACAAGAAAACACTTGGTTTAATTTCAGGCAATCATATTTGCGTAATTAGTTTTGGTTCCAATCACTTGAGTTAAATATTTTCAAGTAATTTGCAGGCTGGGGATCCAGGGAAAAAATGTAGAAAATTGCCACAAGTATCGTTTTTGGTAACAAGAATTTGCCTCTGAGTCAGTCAAGATTCATACATACTATGGAAATGCAACTCACAATTCAGAGGGCATGTTATACTCTATGAAAATTTTAGTTTCATTATGTAGTAAATGGAATATGTAAGAGATATAAAATCAGGAATGGAAATATTAAACCACACAGAATGTAGGAGTTCAAAGCCCTTAATTAGAGTTTAAATTGTGACTTCAAATTCTTCAAATGTAGTTTAGGTGCTTTCTAAACCATAAGGAATATATTATATATATGCAAATTAGAGTATATGTGATTGACAGAGTAAGACATACTTTAAGACAAGATTTTCGTTATTCCAAACTACTCAAGAATTACCATAGAATTGTTAGTTAACAATTTTCCTTTTACATTTTCACACAAATACATAGCTTTATATTTGTCTACTGTTCTTTCCATTATTATACAGGAGTTAAAATCCTTATGACACTAACAGAAATAACTGAAGATTCTGCTGTATTAGAGCAACAGAGATTAACTCATTTGGCTATCTTCAATCAATCGTGACAATATCATATTTCGACTCCAATTTGTGTTGTTCATGTATTACACTATTATTGGAAATAAAATAGAATTTTAATAAATATGTCTTGAATAGAAATCACATTGTCCAGACACTAATTATGCAACTTACTGGTAAATATTAGAGTTGGAAAATGCTTCATTGGTTACTTAAGAAAACTTTTAATAACCTTTTCATCATTCCCCTGGCAATATAATACTATTTTACACATTTTAAATTTTGATGAATTTTACAGAATTAAAGTACCCTTTTCGAATTTTTAGAGAAATTCAACTTTAAAACAACATACATTTTTAAACACTCATTGGACAATTTTAAAAGAAAGGAAAACTGCAAACAAAGAACCAGAAAGGAAGAGAAAAAGCCAAGCTAGAAGAATAAATTTGACCTAACTGTACAAAGTCACTGGAGATGGTGCTTCCAAATTTGACTTAGTAGATAACTGCTGAGAGTTTAATTCCTACATTGGGAAGAGGAATGTGGCTTTGCTGTGGAAAGCAGAATTGCCGAATCTCTCGGATAGTTGATAAAAACTTTCTCCCTGACCAAACTGCAGTCAAACTCCCATGAGCCCTCTTCTTGATTAAGCCTCAGCCCTGGTCTGTAAAAACTGCAGAATGTCATTGCAAATAATTTCATCCACAACCCAATCCCCGCCACGCACACGTGTGCTCCCATGCGCGCGCACACACACACACAGACACACCGGAGACAAACACACACGTAGTTTATAACAGCTCTAGGCCACACCCCAGTATGACCTCAGCCCTTCTTAAAATACCTTCTTAAGAAAGCTCAAGTCTGCCAAAAGAATTAACTGTTCTAGTCAGCACTTGCAGATAGGGCCCACCTCCATCTCTGTGGGAGGGGAGGAGCCGAATTTTGATAAGTACCAATTAGCAAACCCCGGTGGCCTAGTCCCACACACAGGCCTCCTTTCTACTTTTTGAAAATGTCCACTTCTCTTTCTCTGCTCTAAGCCCCTGCTATGCCTCCTTCCTATTCCCTCATTCTCTCCTTAAAATCCCCAGTCGTCTCTGTACAAATTGAAGTTTTCAGTTCATGATGAACCCAGTTCCCTATTGCAATAGCGTATCACTGAATAAAATCTGCTCTCACCACTTTAAGTGTCCAGTTTTGTTCTTTGTCTTTGACAAACGTGGTCCGTACAAGAAACCAAGACGGAGGCACACTGCTCATCCCTCAAAAAAGAAGAGGAGATGCCTACTCTTGACTGTTTGAGAGGAAAACAAAGGATAATAAACTAGTAACCCAAACCTTTAACGTGACTTAACTAAAATGAATTACTAATCCAAATTTTATAACACACTTGTTGCATCATTTTTATTACCTAGAATTTATTGAACTAGAGAGAAATTAACCATGCACAAGATGAATTAAATTTTTAAAACTGGAAAAAAAACCATGAAAAATGAAACATGAAGCAAATACGAAGCAAAAGCAAAGAAAAAAAGTGTATTTAAAAATTAAAGTGAATAAATGAAATATAAAGAAATGTAGGACACTATGTAAAAGAAAACTGGAAAAATAATAATGTTTCCAAAATTGGAAACAGAATGGAAAAATTAAACGGTTCAGAATGTAGGAGTTCAAAGACCTCAGTTAGCCTTTAATAACACAACAATTTTGGGTTTTTTTGTAAGCACTATTTTTCCCTTTTTTTTTTCAAAAAGAATTCTACTTTAAATTTTCAAGTATTCATTATGCCACTACTTAGTTAAATACTTCAGTTAAATACCCCACCTTCCAAGGATGGACCTCACTGGTAAAAGGAAAATCCCAGTACATGGCTAATGATTTAGTTCATGAATGGGAATACACGACAATTTGGTGCAAGGAGATATGATAAAAAAAATTCCCTTATTCTAACAGGAAAACAAGTTTATTTTCTTCTACTGAAGTATGTTGTACATGGTTATTCTGCCTATATATTAGATATAATATCATATTACATTGTATACTAGTATGTATTATATATTAAATATTGGGCTATCATTGAAATTATAAAGATACATAGATGACAAAGCAGAGAAATGGAAAGTGGATATTGAAGACATGAACTGAAATGCATAACACACCAATCCCAGAGGCTATACTACCTCTAGACTTTTTTTAATGCAAGCTATGTGATTCATGTTTTCCATTAACCACAGCCCACATCACCCTAACCTGATGCACACTGAAGTATAAAATTCAGTGGATATCTTAACTAGGTTGGGCAAACCTAAAGAAAGCCCAGAGAGTCTAAGGAAAAAAAAATACAAGGATTATCAGCACAAGTTAAAATACAGGAACTGGGGAGTAAAAAATTTATCTGCAAGTTTGTAATAAGAGACAAAACATTGTTACATATATTTTATACATACATATATGTTATATTACATATACTATACCTTTCTTATATTTATATTTGTATAATCTCATATACACACATGCATACAAAAATATGCTGTATATTAGCAATGTCAAACAGATTCATGACAAAATTAGGGACTAAATGCTTGAGAAAGACATAAAGTGAAGTGGCAAATTTTCACTGGTGGATATGTTATCAATTTGCATATCCTTTGTAAAGTCTCAAAATTCACATTAAGAATTATACCTTACTTTTCTCAATTAATTTATGCTTTTCTAATCAATGCCCCACAATCCCTCAATTGTATATGCCAAATATTTTATCATTTTCAATAAAATAAACTTTTGTTTTGAAAATAGGACTAAATTCCAAATGATTGGAAATTGATGTCACTTATTTAAAATGCTATATAGCATTCAATTCTATAAATTTATTTATCTCCATAATTACTGAATTAAAACTGCATTCTCTAACATGGATCCATGTGGGAAAAATTAATGTTAAGTGAGGAGAGTTGCATAGGGACAGTACAAAACATTTATACAAATACACATATTTTATGTAATGTCCTTAGCTATAGGTGTATATCTGCTATTAAAACATGTAATTTATACACCAAGTTCAAAGACATCATTGCTCTAAGAGGTGATAAAGAGAAGGAAAGTTGGGGAGGAAACAACAAAGATATCTGTAATGTTTATTTTACTTATAAATGCATGACTGATTTCAATCTTAACATTGAAAAATTTGGGTAATGGGTACATGGGTATTCATAACATCATTTTCTGTTATTTTCTATGTCGTAGAAGTTGTCAAAACAAAAATAAATACATAAACAAAAGTTACACTTCTATAATTTTGGAAAAGTAAATCCTGAGGACTTATGGCATCCTTGAGTATTACTAGGTAGCAGGATTGCTTGATTGATGGTATACAAATAATTAGATGTGGGGAGAAGTTAGATTGGGAACCTTGAACAATTTACTTAATAATTCAGGATCTCCAGTTTCTTAATAAAAGCAAGCACTAGTAGTGCTTGCCATGTATAGTTGTTTTGAAAATTAAATAAGACAACACATATAAAGTTCCTGATATATAGAAGGCAATATGCAAAGGATAATTCTTCTCCCATCAACAAATACTCAGTTTCTTTTACAAACTATTCCAGAGATCAGGAAGTGTTTCAGTTGCCTTCATGATTAATCATCTGCTTAATCAATTATTTTAAAGATATTCTATGACATCTTGATATTCTGGACAACCATTTTTACATATTAAAATTTTCAAAAGAAAGATTAGCCAGAGTTTGAGAGTAAAAGTTTTCATGCTGTATAGGGATAGCTTATGGGTTTGAGCAATATTAATTTTTTTTAATTTTCTTATTTGATTCCTATACCTCTTCAGCTGCTCATGTTCATTCTAAAAATTTTACCTTCATTCAAATTATATATGAATTTTTCATATTTCTGTTCGTACCATAAGCTGCACGTAACACCCGTAAAAATAGTAAGTAGAAAAAATAAACCAGGCTTCTGAGAATAGGCAGGTTTGTTACAACAGCTTTACTTTTCTTCACAAAATGTTGGAGTTAGGAAATTACTCCATGCCAATTATTTTCAATAGCGTAAACTGGCTTTGAAAATATTTCACCTTTGAGAGGTTTTACTTTTTCAGTCTCATATTCTTTGAATGATATTTAATAATATGTTGCCATGGTGGGAGATAAGAGGTAAAGAGTGTGGAGAAGTGGGATCCAATATTGCATATTAAGGTACTTTCATTCTTATAGGCCAATTTTTATTTATGGTTTGATATGTAACTGTCACATCATTTATACTTCAAAAGAGGTAATATTTTGACAAGGCAGGAAACTGCACACCAAAATTTATTTTACCCACATACACACACATAAATACACTCTATCTCCTTTTCTGAATTTAAAAACTGATTACCTAGAGAAGAATGCTTATATTTTAAATATCTCTATTAGATGCCACCTAATGAATACAAACTTAAATACAAATTGCACATTGTATTGGGGAAATTTAGAACTGTAAATCCACCTCCTAATGCAACACTCATGGTATCCGTATCCCATGGCTTTCTAGTAATTGTAATCTGCTCTGCTCCCTGTGTTAGAGATATAATTATGTTAACAGCTTTCCTACGCAGGCACCATACATTGCCATTATGAAGCCAGCTTCATTTAATTAACATCATGTAGTAAATTAGCAGTTATAAGGACTGCTGGGTACAAGGGGATCTCCATTTTCTCACCATTTACTTAATCCTCAGTCAATGTTAAGATTACTGCTCACTGAATTTCCATGGCAAAATCACCATCACCCTTCTCAGATGTTAAGATTCAGCATTTGTATGGATTTGGAACAAACCCTTTTTTCCGGATGCCCAGAAGTTAGGATTATTGAAGCCCTATCCTGCTCCTGGTTGGAAAGAAACAGGAATGCAGAGAGACAATGCCCATGTGAATGAATTCTTTATTTTCAGCTGGCAATTAAAAAAAAAACTTGATAAAAACTGTAGTATTAACTAGGGAGTAAATGGAAAGGCAGAGTGATTCTTTTAAAAGGAAGTTCACAGATTTTATTAGCATTTTAGAGAGGAGTTTTTTATGCCTAGTGCTGGGTGGCAACACGTAAAATTACATTATTATTTATCCCATTATTAGTCTTATAGTATGCTGTAAAGATGACAAATAACTTCTGTGTTTGTTACAAGTATGTGCTTAGTAATTCGTTATGGCTCAACTTTGTCAGGAATTATTTTCAGAGTAGCAAAAACCACTAGTTTGAAGCAGAAATTATCGTAATTATAGAGCATCAGACAAAAACTTAAATTTATTTATTTGCCTAGTAATTATTTGCCTAGTAATATATTTAAAATCTCATCTCATTGTGGTATTACAAAGTAAGTTAATTCTGTAGCTATATATGAAAAACCTCTATAAATTACTTCCCATTCATATCTTTGTACTGGAGGGTTTAACTAATAATTCTGGCTCTAGAAATAAACAATGAGCAAAATATTCCTAGATTGTCAGAAACAGCCTAAGAAATTCTGTCGATTTTCCTTTTGGTTCTACAAGTGCCCTGGCAAATAATCTAAGAACAGTAAATATTGCACGTGCTTAGAAAGCATTTCATTTATGTTGAAAGTAAAAACTACACGCAAGATTTTTACTGCTCATCAAATAAGTGGAAGCAATGAGAACATAGTTTAGATTATTTGTTTGAGTGTTCACTCACTTAATAAGGACTTAGCATATTTTGATCCAGATTATGAGCCACAGGGATTCCTCAGTTCTGAACATCTATTGGATGCTGTGTCGATCCTAGAGAAAAGGTCACCTAATACCAGGAGCTAGGCCGAAGAGTGTCTTTCTGCCATTATTGGAAGTAGACTACTGGTGTGCAATATCTACCTCTCAGAGGGACCAGTTCTCTCTGATCCTTGGCCTACTTGGCTGGCCTGGCCTTCTGCAGTAGTTGGTCCCATACCCTCATATCTCTCAGGGACACAACCCAATGGTAAGCTGCCACATGCCTTGTTCAAGGTACTTTGGCCTTCTGCAGTATTTGGTCCCAGACCCTCATATCTCTCAGGGACACAACCCAATGGTAAGCTGTCACATGCCTTGTTCAAGGTACTTTGGCCTACTGCAGTATTTGGTCCCAGACCCTCATATCTCTCAGGGACACAACCCAATGGTAAGCTGCCACATGCCTTGTTCAAGGTACTTTGGCCTTCTGCTCTGGAGAGTCTCTGTTCCCATGCAGCCAAGAAAGGAGCAGAGGGCTGCTATGAGCCCACAAAAGTATATTAGCTTGCCAGACCTGGCCCTGGAGGCTGTAAGCTGCTGGCAGAGAGGAATGCCAGTTTGTACCCACTTGCTGACATTCCCTGCACACTGTGGCTTATACTTTGGGTGATACCATGGCTGTCTTGGAACCAGATGTCCCTGATAACTTATCTGAGAGGACAGATGGCACAACTGATAAGTGTGAAGGAATTGACACCGTGTAAGGCAAATGTTCATCAGTGGAAGACAGAAGCCAATGAGAAAATTATTTTGCCATCCTTTCTCTAGACAGATTCTTTGGAGACACAGTTATTCATAGGAAACCATCCTTTCCTAGCCGCCCCACCTCTTCTCTATCTTCCTTCCCTTGGAATTTACTCTTCATCACATATTAGCATGTAAGAAGGTAGGCTCAGTTTTCCAGGCAACTAAATCAGCTAACTACCCAACTGAAGAGAATGCGTAGGTCTCTTGCCAGCCATCTAGATATCAGAGTTAATACATTAGGCTAATGCCCTTATCTCATTAGAAAATCCCCCAGCACTTTAATCAGATCTATATACTATCATATTACATACAATTTAAAAATGCATCATTCCTTGGTTTTAATGCACATGATATTGGAAAGTAGCAAACTTGAAAGAGGATGAGGGATTTTTACATTGTTGTTTGTATCAGAGGACTGTTGACAGACAACAAGGAAAATCATTAAAAAAGAATAAATGGCCAGGCGCAGTGGCTCATGCCTGTAATCCCATCACTTTGGGAGGCTGGGGTGAGCGGATCCCTTGAGGTCAGGAGTTCGAGACCAGCCTGGCGAACACGGTGAAACCCCATCTCCACTAAAAACACAAAAATTAGCCAGGCATCGTGGTGCATGCCTGTAATCCCAGCTACTTGGCAGGTTGAGGCAGGAGAACTGCTTGAACCTGAGACGTGGAGGTTGCAGTGAGCCGAGACTGAGATTGTGCCATTGCACTCCAGTCTGGGCAACAAGAGCAAAACTCCATCTCAAGAAACAAAACAAACAAACAAAGCATAAACAATTAATACAATACCAAGTGCTCTAAACAATTTAATATATTTTGTAGCCCTTACTGCTGTAAAATTCAATACAAAGCCTGATGTTATAATAATAATCTGGATTATAAGAAAAAGACACAAAATTTTCTTACCATATTCCATTTAAAGAAGACAGGAAAGTTCCTTGGAAAATTCTCAACTAAATAATTAAAATAAAAATGTATTCGCACTTAGACTGAATGTTGATGCTTGATTTTTCAGAGCTAGACATTCCAACAAATATGTCCATGTACAACTTTTATTCTCTAAGTTTCCAGATAATATTTAATTTTATGTTTTTCAAGGAGCTAAATATTTCCATTTGGCAATCTAAAAATATGTAGAAGAATACACATAGTAACCAGGAAATAAGAAGTGAGATGTCATATCTGATTTTTCTTTCTCTTCTGGATGTGTGAGAGAGATTAACATTTCTTCATATTTTCCACAAGCCTAGATTATTTATTAAAAATATACGAGTCATATATGAGGCAAGAATTGTGATAAGCACCTCACAATTAATTTCACTGAGAAGCACACAAAGTAGGTCCTAGGATTATCGACTTTAGAGAAAGTGGCACAACCTGCCTAAAGGCTATGAGCTGGTAACTGGTGAGCCTGACTGGAGCCCAGGCAATGTGGCCACACAGTCTGTGCCCCTGGACCATCACATTTACATCTATTCTTGCTAGTTTAAGTTAAAACAAAATGCTTTTATGTGAAAATGTTATTTTTGGTTTTGTTTTTGTTTATGGGGGAAGAAGAACAGTGGTGCATAAATGTAATATCAAGATGTCTCTTTGTGTCACAGAAGAGATTTGAGCCTTAGTTCTCAAAGTTGCAAAAAAAAAAAAAAAAAAAGGGTGAGAAAAGTGAATATTTTAGAGAAAGAAGAGAATGCTAAGAAACGGGTGAGCAGCGCTGAGTGGCCAGAATTTTGGTTTTGGAATGAGCTGGTCTTGTGCTTCTAGATGGAGTTGGGGGAACATTGTGTGCTGAATCCCTTTCTGAGGACTTGGTGTTCACTTTTCATACATGTGCCTTAACTTCATTTTTCACAGTGTGCATCTGCATTATGAAAACCATTATATACTTATCCCTATAATTTTTCTATTATCAAGAATGTGCCAATTTTTAAGTTTTCTTTAAAACATTTTTACTTTGTTATATTGCTAGATAATGAAAAAGCACTGTCTATTTTTAGATTTTTTTTGCTTATATTTGGATTTTATTATAATTCTTGAAATTTTGTTTGGTTTAACTCAATTCATAAGAGAGAGTATAATTTTTAAAGTTAGTTAATTCCCTTTATCTCCATATCTCACTCTAATTTCCATCACAGGAAATTTTCTTTTCTTTTAGATGGAGTATCGCTGTCATCCAGGCTGGAGTGTGGTGGCACAATCTCGGCTCACCACAACCTCCACTTTCCTGGTTCAGGCAATTCTCCTGCCTCAGCCTCCTGAGTAGCTGGGATTACAGACATGCACCACCACACCCGGCTGATTTTCATATTTTTAGAAGAGACAGGGTTTCACCATGTTGCCTGGCTGATCTCAAACTCTTGACCTCAGGTGATCCACGTGCCTCGGCCTCCCAAAGTGCTGGGATTACAGGTGTGAGTTACCATTCCCGGCCCAGGAAATTTTATATCTTGTAATTTGAATATGTTCTTATAAAGTGTGCACTGTTGTTTTCTGTGCACTTTTTCCTCCTGGAACTATCTGCTCTCTCTTCTATTATGGGAAACAAAAATATTCTCTTTACATTAGTAAGAGACTGTTAAGGCTTGAGGGCAATGCTCATAGTTACATCTTGGAGTCCCCAGTCCACTGCCTTGTTTTCACAGAAAAGAAAGGTCTTTTCCATTGCTGGGCTCCCTGGTTCTCCTTACCTTGGTCAATCTGACACATTTATCTTAACACTTCTGCTTGATAACTGATTTCTATGAAGTTTATTTTTTCTCTGTAAATACCATTAATGTGCTTGTTCTTATTCAACAAGTCAAAATAACTAAAACAATAAGTATTGATACATTTAAATTTGAATTCTCAGTCGATCTGTGTAAATGTTTGCCTGCCATTTTTCATGATCGGTATGCACAGGAACACCAGGGAAAATGAGTTCAATCATTACAATTAATATGATATTATTAATCCACTGTCATGTTTGAGCCTGTAGTCTGCTGACTTTAAGAAAGATAATTATCTATAAAACTTATGGCAGAAAAAGAATAGCATATTACTATTGGATGCATGCTGACCTTCTATCTCAGAGTGAAATAGATGTATGACTTATTTCTGTATCAATTAGCTAGAACTTAGGGGAAAGTGCTAGCCAATTAAGATAAAGCAGAAAAATGACCTCTAAAGGCTAATCTCTGCTTCAGAGTATAACTCAAAATATTTTTGGTAATGTATAAAACTCTGCTTTATGATGTAGTTAATTTAGGTTTCAAGGTGAAGTATGAATGGAAATAACCAACTGGACCATTTAGACATAATGACTTGCTTTTAAACTACCTTTGTAAATTGAATCTTTCTGATTAAGTAGGACTTTAATGTAAACATGCATTATTATGCTTAATTTTTATTAATTTTAAAGATTTGGTAATATCTCTTAAGGTAAATTACTTGCAAATGGCACAATTGTGTTAACTGCATAGATAAAAGCATATTAACACTTTGTTAACAACAAGTTTTGAGTCGAATGTTAGACCTAAACTTTTAAGTTGAAAAGACTATGCAACATTAACTAACTAAAATATCTATATAAAATTTAATAAATCTCATCTCTTTCCTCTTAGAAATAATTTTAGAAGTATAAAGTTACTGTAGTACAATTTTTCTTTCTAGACTTCTAGCTCAGTCTAACAAATTTAACATGTATGTGAGATATATATCACATGTATCACATGTATGTGAGATATACCTATCACATGTGTCACATATATGTGTGATATACCTATCACATGCGTCACATGTATTGAGATGTACCTATCACATGTGTCACATGTATGTGAGATGTACATATCACATGCGTCACATGTATGTGATATATATATCACACGCATCACATGCATGTGATATATATGTCGCACGCATCGCATGCATGTGATATATATGTCGCACGCATCACATGCATGTGATATGTATCATATCACATATGTGATCTATATATCATATAGATCACATATATCACATATATATCATATATCACATATATGATATATTATATATATCATATATGTATCTCCTATATGGGAGTTTATTAAGGAGTATAATTCACATGATCACAAGGTCCCACAATAGGCCACCTGCAAGCTGAGGAGCAAGGAAGCTAGTCCAAGTCCCAAAGCTGAAGAACTTGGAATCCAATGTTCAAGGGCAAGAAGAGAAACACACAGCACAGGAAAAAGATGTAGGCTGGGAGGCTAAGCCAGTCTAGTCTTTTCATGTTTTTCTGCCTGCTTTTATGTTCTGGCCATGGTGGCAGCTGATTAGACGGTGCCCACCTAGATTAAGGATGAGTCTGCCTTTCTCAGCCCACTGATTCAAATGTTAATCTCCTTAGGCAACACCCTCACAGACACACCCAGGATCAATACTTTGCATCCTTCAATGCAATCAAGTTGACACTCAGTATTAACCAACACATCATCCTAATCTATCAATTATAAAATTCTGCACAGCCATTCACCTAATGACTTAAACAGTGGTCAATAATGGTTTCCTACCTATTTTGAGTTTACCTTTCAGGAGCCTCCTTTAATATCATACTTCTTTAGTTCTCTATGACAATTAAGGTACCCATATCTTACAGGGATTTAACTATTGAGAACATGCATGTACATTGGTACCTGACCAACTTACCTGTCTACAGAAATATAAGGCTTTCTTAGCTTATGTCTCCACTATCTGCCATCTTGACATTAATATTTTTATCTCTCACAATTATGTTGATGATATATGCTCAAAGAATCAAGTACAACAATGTGGCTGATTATCTTTACTAATATTATAGTGTCAAAATTTCCATGTTGTGTGTGATTGAATATATAGTTAATTTTTGTATTTTTTAAGAGAATTTCCATAGACACTGGATCCAGACAGCTCCCTAGACAAATATTACCCTTATTTATAGTATAGTATTTAATCTCCTTTTAAGATGTCGTTTTCATTTCCCTTATTTAAGAAAAATGTGGATGACTATGTGTTTTTTTTCTCATTTCTATCTAAAATAGATTAAGATCTTTCACTATATAGCAACAGTTCCAGTCACATATTCTAATTGTTTAATTGTTATAAGTACTATACATTAAATTGTATAATTAGGGCATGTAATTAACTAAAAGTTGAGATGCATAATTAATCAGCATCCACAATGTCTATGTTTGTGCATTACTTTTGGTGACAAATGTAATGATAAATCATTTTTATGAAAATATTGGAGTTTTAAAAGTCTTATGCTTTGGACACTAATCACTTCGTGACTTTAGTCATCAAATCTATGTTTCAAACTGCCTCAGGGAGAAACAAATTTGTCATTTCATTTTATAAGAGTACTCCTGAGCAGGAATATATTAATGCAATATTTGATCTTACAATATTTTGATGAACATGTTATAATAGTCCTTGGAGAATTGTTAGCTTTTGCCCTCCTATTCTTTAGTTTTAATTGCAGACACTATAATCTATAAGTTCATTAATCAAATATTTTCAATAAAAATTTTGAAATCTATTTGGTAAATTACTTTTAATAATTATATGAAAAAAGAATAAGCCATATTTTAACTCCATATTCCAAACATTCAAAACATAATTTACCCATGTGCAAATTCACACATTAATGAGTGAAGCATTTTTGACTGATGTTTTATGAATCTGTCAAATGTCCATACTTAGTATCTTTTCTACTTGAACATTGTCTTAGTCTGCTTTGTCCTGCCACAACAGAGTACCTGAGACTGGATAATTTTTAATAAACAGAAACTTATTTTCTTCCCGTTCTGTAGGCTTGGAAGTCCAGGAACAAGGCAACAGCATCTGGTGAGGGCAGTATAACTGTGTTACCACATGGCAGAAGGCAGAAGGGCAAAGAGACAAAAGAGGGCCAAATTCACCCTTTTATGAGGCATTCATTTCACCCATTAGGGTGGAACCCATACCTTATTACCTCCCAAAGGCCCCACAGCCTAGCACCTCCACACTGGCAACAAAACTTCAACATAAGTTTTGGATGGGACAAACATTCAAACCATAAAAACCATGTTATGGTTGTTTCACAAATATTGTAGACATCATATTTCATTCTTCATGAATACGAAACACTTCAAAGGTTCTCTTTATCACAGCTCATTTAAGTACATGCAATACTGTATTTGATATTTTTTCTATGACATTTGCTTTTTTCTAACATTAGCAATCATTCCTTTCTACTAATTTATAAATTTCCTTAGAGCTTCCATACTATTCTGTTTTGAAAGAATCTAAGAACAGCGTCCAGAACATCATATGAAAGGAAGTGTATGAAATGGATTTTTTAAAACAAGAAATAGTCCAAATAAGGCAATTGATGAAAGACATTTTAAAATCAACATTTTAATAGGTTTATTATTAAATTCCACAAAATTCTCAATGTCTTTATTTTCTTTCTCTGTCTCTGTCTCTCTCCTCTCCTGTCTCTCTCTTTCTCTCTCCTCTGTCTCCCTCATCTCTCTCTCTCTCTCTCCTCTGTCTCTCTCTCTCTCTCTCCTCTGTCTCTCTTTCTCTCTCTTTCTTCTTCTCCTCCTCCTCCTCCTCCCCCCACCTCCCCTTCCCAGAGAAAACATTCTAAAGAATGAAAGGGACTGAGGGAAATTATCTACTTAATAGCAAGCTGAGAAGGCTCTGTTTATATTCTGTGACTCAGTTCTGTATGCACTTTCACCACCTTCAATTATTCTCTGAACATAGTCTCTAATTATTTGCATGCCTCTTAAGTCAAGCTGGACTGTGCTTACAAAACAAATTGTAATACTATTTCCTGAAATACAGTTTCCACTCCAGAACAAATTATTCTTGTTCCCATCCCATTTTATATTCTCCCTTCACTTATCACTGTGTAAAATTATCTTGCCACTTTTTGCTTGTTTTATAGCAGTTTAGTAGTTTACTTACTCACACTCAATGTCCTCCACATTCCCAGAGCTCCATACCTGCTCCCCAAAATTTTCATGAGAACAGAGACTGTCCATCTCTTTTTCTACATCTCATTTTCACCAGTCTTTGAAACAATGCTTAACGCAAAGAACCTACTCAGTAAACATTTTCACATAGTTTGGTCCCTGAGATTTCTGCATATTTAGCTTTTTATATTTTCATTGGTATTGTGTTTAGTAGTTTTTTTTTTTTAATTTCCATTTTTACTTTAGATTCAGAAGGTACATGACCAGATTTGTTACAAGGGTATATTGCATGGTGCTGAGCTTTGGGCTTTTGTTGATACCACACCCCAGGTAGAGAACATAGTACCCAATAGGAAGTTTTTCAGCCATGGTCCCTTCCCTTTCAGAGTCTCCCATGTCTATTATTCCCATCTATGTCTGTGTAAACCCAAGATTTAGCTACCACTTATAAATAAGAACATGCAATATTTGCTTTTCTCTTTCTGCTTTGGTTTGCTTACAAGAATGGCTTCTAGCTGCATCCACGTTCCTGCAAAGGACGTGACTTTATTTTTTTAATGGCCTGTGTAGTATTGCTTGGTGTATATATATCACACTTTTTTAAACCAATCCACTATTGATGAACACTTAGGTTAATTCCCTGTTCTTGCTATTGAGAATAATGCCGCAATAAGCATATGAGTGCATGTGTCTTTTTGGTAGAACAATTTTATTTCAAGTGCATAAAATGAGTAATGGGATTGCTGTTGTGTGTTGTAATTTAAATGAAGTGTATCTTGACTACATTTCAAATGTAGTCAAGTTATAGTACAATTGGCATTATTGCTCTTTATATTTTTCTGTTTGTTCTTTTCATGCAGAGGTTTCTGAGCACATTAGTCATGAGCATTTTCTGAGCTACTTCTAACTCTCAAAGTAACAGGTTCTATTAAATAATTTCGAGCATGCCTTACCATTCATTGCCTTTAAATTGCAGGTATAAACTCTGTAAAATTATAAATTGAATGTCTTTTTTTTGTTCAATCCTTTATTTTGTTTATCAAGTCTATCTAAAACTATTTTGAGATGTTGACTACTAATATGTAGCTCTATTAAATGCACAAGATTGTATTTTAGTACATATAAAGAAACATATATGAATAACTTGTTAAACAAGCATTTTGGGGAGCACATTTTTTTCCTAACTGAGAGAGATATACTATATTCATGGATGGAAAGAAGAAAAATGTAAGAATACCTTTTCATTCTCATGAATTACAGGTATGAGATCCAAATAAAATACGAATGAGGTTGCTTTTGCAACTTGTTAAAATTATTCTAGATTTCATTTGAAAAAACAGAAGAGATTAGATAAGACTAATTAAGAAAAATTAATAATATGAAACTTTTCTACCAAAATTAATAATAGATATTCTACAATAATGTATATTACATAAAATACACAAGAAATCTATTTTATAGCTTATATAATAGCTATTTTATAAATATCATATATATTTACAAAAATAGTATTTTTAAAATATAGTGTGAGAATTATCTATTAGGTCAATGGAAGATAATACCCTAGAAAAATCTTAATATAACCCAAAATCATTTAGAAATCTATGTATGAAAAAAACTGAGGAAAAATACACTGATTTCTAGATATCTATTTTTCTGTCTCCCTTCAGAAATATATTATTCTGTCCTTTGGTTATATTATGCCCTTAACAGCTTATATATTCTAATTCAGTTGCTTTCTGCATTCTTTCTCAGTACCAGTTCTGTTCCTAGAACAACAAACCAACTAGCCAACTAATTACTTTAATTTCTTTAATATGGTAATAATCTTTGCATCGAGGAAAACTAAACTAAAAATTAAGTAGATTTACAAAGAACTCGCAGTATCTATTCTCATTGCAAATGTGGGAATGTTTCTGTTTTAAAAACAAAATCAGTATCAGGGCACCATCAACTATCGAAAGTATTAAAAGCAGTTCCTTTCCCTACTGTTGATATTTTTTGTAAAAATTTATTGTTTGTGTATTTCCACAATATTAAGAATGCAAGTACTTTTTAAAAAAAGTGTGCCTCCTGGTGCAAGACCTGTTGAAATTTTTATACTTTCACTTGCAAGCCCTTCATTTGTATGGAGATATCTATTAAAGTCCCAGAAATTTTTGGGGTTAAGCATCATAACTTCCAGTTTCCAAAATGATATGGTTTCTAAAGCAGATAGGTCCAGCTTGACAGAATTCATTTAGATGCTCTGCAAATTGTTACCATGTCTTCCAAACTTTGCAGGTATCCCCGTGTCCCTGTGTATTTTACTTTGTAAACTAACAGAGATCTATGGCCTTTAAACTTTTTCAACATAACCTGCAGTAAAAGAAATACATTTTTCATCCTAATTCAGTACATAGTATTTATTGAGCACACTCCATGTGTGCAATTTTCTACGTCTATGTACTGGGTATTCAGAAGAAATTGGTACAGTCAAAAACACTTCTTCTCATGGAACTGATAGTCATCACATACAAATACACACAAGTATACACAATTATTTCTTTATACACATTGCATGAACAATGTTCCCTTGTTCTTTTTATTCCATTCTAACCTTTTCTATTTTTTTTTTGTTATAACAACTAAAAATAAAACACTTTTCTCTTTAGGATCCACAAAGTGATTCAAACCTCAGTAATATGTCTTGGCTCCAGCTTTGAAAAACCCTGACATAGAGCTATTGCATACTGTTAACATTCTCATTAAAACAACTTAGAGTTTAATATTTTTTAAAATTCTTGTTTCATTGTTGGTATCTATTACCAGCTTCTTCTATCACCAACATTTTCACTCAGCTGCTTTTGAGATAGGACTTTCTGAATCTGTGTTTATGTAAGTTGTTTTTAATCTAAATGGAGAATCTTTTATTTATTTCTGTCAAATTCTTCTTTATTGGTTTCAGTCCATCATTCTAGTATATCAAGATTTGTGAACCCTGCCACTGTCATGAAATATATTAGATAATCCTCCTAAATCTGTGTCATCCACAAATATGAAAAAGGTGGCTTCTATGTTATGATCCAAGTGACTGATAAGAACTACAGAAATTTGCAATATTTTTCTTTAGAAACCTCTCTTGTGAGCATTGGTTTATCAATCTACATTTTAGAGTTATATTTGCATATCAAAAATGAGTTCCCTTAATTATCATATGATCCTGTCTGAATTTTCTCATTATACGAAAGAATCCTAACAGACTCTCAACAATGTTACTATATTCTTGATTTTTCTTTCCCTGAGGTATCAATACCTCATTTATGAATACAGCTAAGTTTCTGATTATCCCAACCCCATCCTTTCACAATAATAGCCTTCAGTTTACAAGTTCAGCATCAGAGCAAATGAGACTCTGATATCAAAGCACATTGTAAGTTATTCTCAGAACTAAGGGATGGTCTAAAATTACCAGTCTCTCTGATGTGTATGTTGCAGGGATAAGCAGTATTCTTAGTGATTATAGTATCATTCAACTATTTCTCCTCAACTATTAGTGATTTCCAACCGATAAGGATTCTGTCTTAGTCACAATGTCTTAATGTCTATGACAGCTCCTGAATAGGACTAAAGTCTGGTTAGCTGAGGCTAGATACTCTTCATCTAGTTCAAAGATCTCTATTTTTCTGGGAAAGCATGTTTCTTTGGATGTAATTTACATTCACCTGATGAAATGTTATTAATAGGATGCATTAAAAGGATGATAGTAATAACAGGATGGTTTCCTTAGATAAGAATATAGGGAAAGGGATTAACCAGTTCTGAGTATGAATCCTTATTTTAATCACAAATGTACTGCAGTACTTTTGGCAATGTCTTTAACGTTTCTAAGTCTCTGTGCCTTTTTTGCCAGAGATAGGAGTGCAAACCTCACTTACAAACAAGGTTCTTGAAAGAATAGATTATGTGGTAAGGAGCACATTCTAAGTAATCACTGAATAATAAGCATAATTATCGATTAGTATATGAGCATTATTTTTAAAATGGGTTACTTTTTTAATAGAAATGTTGAATTATGATTATAATCAGAGGGGAGGGATGGGAACCTTTATTCTTATAGAATTCATGCTAGTGATGCCATCTCCTTTCACCTCTACATAAGACACTTTCATCCCTCAATTTTGTCAATCTTCTCAACTTTGCCAGATCAGAGAGCATATGGGCATTTTATTATTATAGGCATTTATATGCAATGCCTGACAACCACTAGCATTATCTCTCTTTGAGTTTTGGCAAATCGTTAATCTCTCCAAGCCCAATTTTTCTCATTTGTAAAACAACAAACTTTTACTTTGAGGCAGTTTTATAAACAATTGTGGATAATATATGTAAAATACTTACCAAAATAATTGGTACATATCAAGCACTGAGTATATGGTGACTGTTATTATTTCTAGATTGTTTTTCCTATTCAATTAAAGAATGTGATCCCTAATAAATGAGAAAGGGGAAAATGCGTCTTTAGACATTCTTATCTTCTTTCCAACAGGAATATTCTTCTGTCCTCTCACAAAATTACAATTACCTTTCTTCTCTAAGTAACTAACTAATACATCTAGATGAACAGCCAAATTCCCAGTGAGGAGGAAAGTTCCATTAAATTAAATGGCCTTGGCCTAAAGCTGCCTCTGTACAGATTTTAGGTTTGGTCTAAAGGTTTACATAGTAAACTGTAACCCAACTTGTTCTGTAGACAGACCCACAGCAGCTAAACTTCAGGCAACCACAGGCAACCAACTGTTAAAACCAGGTTCAAATAAGGCAAAGGCTCAGATGTAATGAGTCCAGCTGTTTCTGCACCTTGGTTTTGCTGTCTATATGTTACCTTCTTTCTCTGTTCATAAGTGTTATCTGACCATGTGGCAGTCCCAGAGTCACTCTGATCCTATTATAGTTCTGGGGGCTGCACGATTTGTGAATTGTTCTTTGCTCAATTAAACTCTATTAAATTTAATTTGCCTAAAGCTTTTTTTTTATTTTATAGTACAGAGCTAATACTTCTGGCATAGTAGCAGAGAAGGCATTTTACTACGAATAGTAGAGAAGTTAGTAATTAATAGCAGAGCATTTTCAAGCAGGGAGACACAACTAGGTTTGGAACTAACCCTTGCTTAGTCAAAATGTGAAAGTTACTTAACCTTGCTTATTATTTCTTCTTCTATCAAATATGCATAATAGTATTTCTCTGATTATACAGTGGTATACATGAGAAATGTTTAAAATTTCAGTGCTTAGTACATAGTCTGGCAGGCAGTAAATTACTGATAAATGGAAGCTCATTGCTATTTCTTCTACTACTCCATTTAAAACCTACTTTCATGTCGTAATAGTCTTAATTGATGGTGGAGGTCAAACTATTTTACCTTTAGAATGTGAATTTTAGTATTTATTGATCAACATTTTCAAATAAGACCATTTAGATGCCCTGTAGTGTTTCTTATAAATTAGCCATGTAAAGCTTCATATTTTTGTAAAGCTGCCAAGGGTTTTACCTGAGCACAGGATTTATATAACTACTAAGATAGATGAATTATAATCCTGAGAGATAACTAATATCTGTCAGCAATTTTAGTCATGATGAAGACCATCAATAAACCTTGTCAGCGTTTTGCTGCTCTTGTTGATGTGGTTATCACTGAATGGTCTATCATTTCATATCCTGACTACTAGGTTAAATCTAATTTCTGGTGTCATCCCTGAATACTTCAGTGGCATTTCATGCAACTCAAAAGGCATGTACAAGATGGTAGACGTAATTTAGGGATACTTCCCGGTCTCGATTGCAATACGTGAAGACACTCTCCAGTTATCTGGTTAGGAAGACAAGTGTAGGGATTCTGGGTCCTTGATTCAGATTAGTAAGATAATGTGCTGGTCCTATTTAACTTCCTTTCCTCCTATAGTGTTTTAGACATCCCAAAATATATCCCAGATAAATTATTCTCCTACCTGTACTGGGTACCTCTAAAGGGGAAAACACATTTTCTAGTCTATAAAATCCCATTTAATCCATGTTGAAGGTATTCACAGAGAACAAGATTAACTTACTTGAACAGTTGGGAAAATGGGCCTAAAAATACAATTATCCGTCTACAAAATAAGCGTTCATTACAATTCTGCTGTGCTTCACAAATTGTACTAGAGCTAAGGATACATTGGTCCTGCTTTCCAGGGGATCTCTTGGTGAGGAGATGGGGACAAACACATATGTAAATAATTAAGCAAAATGTAATTCTAATTATGCCAGAGTTAGAGAAACCCTATTGAAAGCAAGAGAACACAACTCTTATATCTATTTAAGGCTTTCTCAAACTAGTGACATTTGAGTCATGAGAATAGTTGAATTAGGATAAAGAGCAGGTAGAGAATCTCAACTAAAGAGAGAGAAAAAGAGGAGAGAATTACAGGGGAGAGAAGACGAGGGAAGGAGAGGAGAAGAGAGGGGAGAAATAGAGAAAGTGACCCAATAGCAGTCCCTGGACATTAAACATCCTACCAGTACTGATATTGATGAGATTCTAGTGGTAACAGGTTATTGGTAGAAATAACTAGGCCTTAAATACAGAATCAATATTTCAGTCATTCAGATATATTTTGTAACACTCAGTTCTTATCTACAAGAAAATAAAAATAGTAGTTATTTTTCCAAGATTAATATGTGAAATTTTAGAAATTCTATCCCAAATCCTATTATTATTATTCCAATAATAAATGGAAAGGATATGTTATAAACAAAATCACAGGTTACTTATGTAAGTGAAACATCTGAAACTCTTCTAAGAATTTTTATCATTTTTCTAGCTGATAACAATAATCTACCTTTTGAAATTTTATTTCTGTGATTTAGGTAAACCTGCACTGATACAGTATATGATATATACTTCTGAACAGTACATCTGAACAGTATATCTATCTTCTGACAGTATATATGTCATATATATGATATATATGATCTATATATCATATATATGATATGATATATCATATGATATATCATACATGATATATGATATACCATATGATATACCAGATACATATCATATATGATATACGAGATATATATCATATATGATATACCAGATATATATCATATATATCCGATATATATCATATATATCAGATATATCATATATGATATATCATATATGATATATATCGGATATATATCATATATATCGTATATATGATATCGTATATGATATATCATATATAGTATATGATATATCATATATAGTATATGATATATCATATATGTGATATATATCGTAGATATATATGTCATATATGACATATATGTCATATATGATATACATCGTATATGATATATATGATATACGTCATATATGATATACGTCATATATATGATATATATGTCATATCATATATGATATATATGTCATATCATATATGATATATATGTCATATCATATATGATATATATGTCATATCATATATGATATATATGTCATATCATATATGATATATATGTCATATCATATATGATATATATGTCATATCATATATGATATATATGTCATATCATATATGATATATATGTCATATCATATATGATATATATGTCATATCATATATGATATATATGTCATATCATATATGATATATATGTCATATCATATATGATATATATAACAGGAGATATATATATATATCTTCTATTCTGTTTCTCTAGAGAACCCTAACTAATACAGATTTTGGTACTAGGAATGGGGCAAAATGCAGCAACTTATCCTTGACCTTAGAGGGACTATCTCAACAGGCTCCACACCACTGGACCCCTAGAAATTTTACTGAGGTAGAAGATCCCTGAATTTTAGGATTTATTTCCCATCCTCTGGCATGCAAATGTTTCATAAATAAGTCCAGTGTATTTGTTACTTCTTGCTCACTGAATCCAATCAACATAATATGATCAATGTAATGGAACAGTGTGGTATCTTGTGGAAGTGGAAACCGATCTAGGTATCTCTGAATATGACACAAAGCCAGAGGGTTGATATACTCCTGAAGTAGGATGATAAAGATATATTCCTGGCCTTGCTAGCTGAAGGCAAATGGCTTCTGGTGGGCCTTAGGGACAGGAATGGAGAAAAAAGCATTTGCCAAGTCAATGGCTGCATACCAGATATCAGGAAATGTGTTAATTTGCCTAAGCAATGAAACCGCAACTGGTAGAGCAGCTGCAATTGGAGTCACCACTTCGTTAAGCTTACGATAATCCATGGTCATTCTCAAAGATCCATCTATCTTCTGAACAGTACAAATAAGAGAGTTGAATGGGGATGTCATGAGAATCTTGACTCCTGCATGTTTCAAAGCCTTGATGGTGGCATGAATCTCCACAATCCCTCCAGGGATGCAATATTATTTTTTATTTACTAGTTTTCTAGGTAGAGGCAGCTCTAATGGCTTCCATTTGGCCTTTCCCACCATAATAGCCCTCACCCCACCAGTCAGGGAGCCAATGTGGGTGTTCTACCAGCTGCTAAGTATGCCTATGCTAATTATGCATTCTGCTGTTGCAGAAACTGAGGACCAGAGAGACAAATATGAAGACCAGGAGGACTGTTTATTTTAGGTATGCACTGGCTCAGTGGATTCGCATCCAAAAAGCTTTGGATGCCACTGCCACTGAGGAAATTACCATAGGATGAGCCTGGAGACCCACTGGACCCACTGTAAGTCAGATCTGAGCTAAAATTTCATTAATTACCTGACCTCCATAAGCCCCTACTTTAACAGCGGGACCACAATGCCATTTTGGCTGCCCTGGAATCAATGTCAGCTCAGAGCCAGTGTTCACTAGTACCAGAAATGTCTGATCATTTCCCTTTCCCCAGTGCACAGTTACCCTGATAAAAAGCCAGAGGTCTCCTTGGAGAAGGATGAGAGAAGAATAACAGCATAAATTGTTGGTATTGTAGTGGGATCCTTCCTCAAGGGGACCCAGCCTCCCCTTCATTCAACGGGTTCTGGGTCTGTAAACTGGCTCAAGTCTGGAACTTGATTGATGGGCTGTGATTCTTCTTTTGTAATTCAAATTATTCTTTTGTCTGTTCGACCTGGAAGATTTCTGCTTATATAAATTAAGTAGGAATGCGGTAGACTTCCAATCAATTTCACTTCTAGGAACATCATGATTAATTAGCCAATGCCAGAGCTCTACACAAGTCAGACTATTCTGATTGCTGCTGTGCCTCTGCTGTCCATTCCCATTGCTAGGCCTACCTTGCCTTTGATGGTTGAGTGCCTACACTTGGCCCCTGCCACCTCAGGATCCAATTATTCTCACTGTATTTACATTTTGTAGTTGAGTGACTGTGATTCCCACTGTTAGATCTGACATACAGAGGAATTACAGGGCTCTTCAAAGATGCAGTGCTGCCCTCACAAATCTATTTCACAAGGCATTTGTCAAGGGTATATCTTCCAAACCATCCTAGCCAAGATGAGTAGGTATAAAGTGACTAATCCATTCCACCATCACAACCCTACGTCCCTAAGCCTTTGGATCCCTTCCTTTACATTAAACCAAGGGAGAGCAGGCATTTCCAGCTCACTCACAGTGGGCCACCTTTTAATCCATATTTCAGCTAACCAAGCAAATAAACTATTATAACCAATTTTAATTCCCCAAGCTGCAATATTAAATGCAGAATCCCTACATCGTGGGTTTAAGTCAATAAATTCAGCTTGATCCAACTCTATGTTTTTTCTACCATTATCCCACACCCTTAATATCCATTCCCATGCCTCTTCTCCAGATTTCTGCTTACGTAAATTAGAAAACTCAAGCAGTTTGAGTGCAGTGCACCTCCTCATGGGCCACACTCAACTTCACCTCTAGGGGCATGCCAAGACTTTAGTCTAGTTATAGGTCTAGAAGTAAACAGGGGTGGTGGGGGTGGCTCTGGAAGAGAATCAACATTATTTTGCCTGGCAACTGCCTCTCAGGGGAAGCCATCACTGTTGCCTCAAGTAGTGCAGGGTTTATCTCCTCAGACAAAGATAGAAAGGCTGATGGCAGCATGGGTTGGGGAGGGGATGTTGCCCCTACTGGGGATGGGGAAACTGTTCCTTCTGGCAAAAACGTTTCATCAGAGTTTATAAACTTAGTGTCCTCAGCTTCATCAGGGTCCTCCCACACATCCCAATTCCACATTTCAGTGTCCCATTATTTTCCAATTGCTGGCTTCACTTTAGCAGTAGACACCTGGTGAGGCTGTGCATGCACCTTCCATGGCAGGGCAGCCACTTGCATGATAAGAGCTTGTGTCTGATTTTCCACAATTTCAATTCATTCTCTGCAAGAGATAAGACTCTCAGGGCAATCTTAGCAGATTTGAGGCTCAGTATCTGCTTCTGAAGCTGGGAAGCTGGGAGGTAGAATGGTAGCATCTCTGCGTACATCTTTTTCTTTCATCACTTTGTCCAGTAAACTTAGGAGCAACCAACCAACTTCATTATGTTCCTTGGTTCTCCACATATAGTCAAATGTATTACTTATACAGTCGCTAACTCCTTGCCTCTCACAAGCAGTGAATCAGTAGTGTCAAATGTACTTATTTTGCATAAATCTGTAAACAGTTCATGCCAAGGACTATCAATGTTCTTCACACTTAGAAGTAGAGTGCTCAGCATTTTTGGGTCACTCCACCAGGAAAAAAGCCACAACCTGCAGAGCCACTTGCTGAAGGCAAAGTGAATACAGAATGGGTAGTAGAAGAATAGGTAGTCATTGATACCAGCTATGATGACGTGAACAGCTGCAGAAACAAGGACTGTAACTGTCACGAGTATTTCCTTCTTTTGTGAAAAATATGTTTGTGTGTGTATACACTTGTACTAAGAAAATATCTTCATTTTATTTCCTTTTTCCTTTATCATGTGACATAAGATTTATTGACTTAATATCAGGATTTAATTATTGTTAACTTTATGTAATAGCATTCAGTTTGGGGATTGGTGTGTTTCCAGTTGTACTTTGTTAGGCATAATTATGACATTATTGCCTTTTTTGAAGATTATATATGATCTGAGGAGATGTGTATGGGTTCGAATTGACAACGGATGGACTTGTGATGGTTAATATTGAGTGTCAACTTGTTTGGATTGAAGGATGCAAAGTATTGATCCTGGGTGTGTCTATGAAGGTGTTGCCTAAGGAGATTAACATTTGACTCAGTGGGTTGGGAAAGGCAGACCCATCCTTGATGTGGTGGGCACCATCTAATCAGTTGTCAGTGAAACCAGAATATAAAAGCAGGCAGAAGAACATTAAAAGACTAGACTGGCTTAACCTCCCAGCCTACATCTTTCTCCTGTGCTGGATACTTCCTGCCCTTGTACATCAAATTCCCAAATTCTTCAGCTTTGGGATTCAGACTGGCTTCCTTGCCGCTAAGCTTGCAGATGGCCTATTGTGGGACCTCGTGATCGTGATCGTGTGGTTAAAATTCCTTAATAAACTCATATATATATATATAATGAACTGAATTTTATATATAATATATATTATATATAATATATATTTTATATATAATATATATTTATATATAATATATATTATATATAATATATATTTTATATATAATTTATATTTTTACATATAAATATATAAATATTATATATATTTATATGTAAATATATTTATATATATAATATATATTATATATATTATATATATTTATATGTAATATATATTTATATATAATATATATTATATATATTATATATTTATATATAAATATATATTATATATGATATATATTATATATAAATAAATATATATAATATATAAATAAATATATATAAATATAAATATATTATATATAATATATTACCAATAAATATATATCACCAATAAAAATGTCTGTGTGTATCTCAATGGATAAGGACATTTGTTTAAACCTAACCAAAGCAAAGTAACACCTTAAAAATAAACAATAATTCAATAATATCATTTAATACATTACTTCTAAAGCTTTCTAATTCTTTTACAAATGTCTTTTTTACCATTTTTGATGGAATAGGGACCAAAACAAGATTCACATATTTTAATTGGTTGCTGTGTCTCTTAAACTTCGTTTAATAGTTGATGCTACATAATTGTATATTCTAGAGTTTTCTAAAGTCCAAATTTGACTCATAACTTCATAGCATCGTTTAGCATGAACCACTATACTCCATATTCTCTGTAAACTGGTAGTTAGATTTAAGAATGTTTCCCCTAAGAGTACAAATCATATTTGTATCTATCATCTACTTTTCTCTATCACCATATTTCTCTCTTCACAGCTATATTTATATATCATTTTGTATGTATAGAAAAGATCACTGTTCCTATAACTAATGTAAACTCATTTGAACACTGCTTTTTCAGTTAACAATGCATGTTGTACACTTCAGCATATTTTTTTCTATATGTCTATTTTTTTAACTATTCTTCAGTCTGTGTATGCCAAATACATAATGATGAGGACTGGGATGTTCCAAGTTTTCATAAACTATACTAGGTAACTTTTTTACAATGTATCTATATATGATTATTACTTTAATAAGAATTCTTTGAAATTTTCTTAAATTTTAAAATTCTTGGAAGTGCGTCATTCAAAAATTATAAATATATTAAGCCTTTTAAAGGCATGTAGCTAACATTCTTTTTAAGTTCTACCCAATTATACTTTGACCAGATATGTAGAGGAGCAATGGGTTTGGAGGTAGATACAAATCTTTTAGAAATAAGTAAATATTCATCTAAGCCATCAAAATGGAGATGTCTCAGAAGGAAAGTTCAGATTAGACATTAAAATGTTGATGTCCTTAACATATGGTTCATAACTGAAGTTATTAGGGCAAATAATATCATCTAAGTAGAGAGATTAGCCTAAGGGAAAAAGATAATTTGGGGTAAAGCTCTAAGGAATTCTAGGAGGAAGAGTCTATGGGGAGACAGAGGAAGGACAACCCATAGGTATAGGAGGAAAATCAGGAAATTGCAGTATCACAGAAATCAAAAAAACTCAAAGAATGGTAAACAGAGCAGCCAATATTTACTCAAATTGTAGAAGTCATTATATATTAGGTTGGTGTCAAAGTAATTGTGGTTTTTGCTATTACTTTCAATGGCAAAAATGACAATTACTTTGGCACCAACCTAATACCTGGAAAAATAGTGTAAAAGAGATGACCATGACAGTTGTGACTTAGTGGACAAAATAAGGAAATAGCATTATGAGATAAAGTGATATACAAAAATGTATTGTGCCATTAAAATTGTCACAGGCCTATACATTTATATAAGGTTTATGTTTAATAATTTTTGATATTCTAGGAATATATAGAATGAAAAACATTCATTGGATTTGGTGACATGATGTTGATTGATTATATTTATGAGAACGTTTCCAGTAAAGTGTTGGGATTTAGGCTTGATAGGAAGGTGTTTGTAGAATTAAAGAGAATAAATGGGAGATAAATATATAAAACTTATTCTAAAAATTTGGCTGTGGAGAGAAAAGAGAATAAAAAACAGAATCATTTGTTGGTCTTAAGTTCCGAAAGAGATTATAAAAGATCTAGTAAGGATAACAAATAAAGTAATCATTGCCATTGAGATTTAGAATTAGTGGAGAGGGTGGTCCTTGTAGATCCTGAGATGATGGACTTGAGAACTGGTTATCCATTCTTGCAGAAAAGGAAATTATGGGTGGGTAATGTAGAACGTGGGACACAGACTGCAGGAAAGTGTGAAGTCTGAAGTGAGTGAGTGAGCGTGTGTGCGTGTGTGTGTGTGTCAAGGGTTGAAGGGGATTGTTGGGATAGTGGTGGTGGTGGTGCTGCTGCAAGAAATTAAAATTGACAACTTGGGCAAATAATAAAAAATACTTTAGGCAGATATATTTATTTTTAGTGGTAGTAATATTTTTTGCTAACTCATTTGCTCTATGCTAAATTTAGCTTTTCTGAAAACAACAGTGTATAATATTCTATTTTCTCCATAAATCAAAAGAATTGCACAGAGATAATACCCATGGGGAAGATATATTATAAAGCATACAGTGGTTAAAGATGATCTTGGATTCATCATTCACGAGTAGTGGATGTACTTTATTAAATTGAATATTGGACAAGCCTAGAGTAAAGAGTAAACACTTAGTTGGAAATATGTTGCTTCTTAATAAATATCCCTATTTAACTTTAATCTTGACTTGAAAAGTATTATAATCACCAATAATTATATTTAAAAACCCAGAGCATTACCTTTTTAAACTCAAAATCATCCTCATTATGGTTCAGATATTGGGCAATATTCAGTTTCTGTCATCACTACAATTTGACAGCAAAGAGACTACAGAGGCAGATATAAAGCTCTTCATTCTATTATTAGACACAGCATAGAATTTTATTATAATGTAAATAATTGTCATTTCTGATTTAAAAACAATTTTCTCCCTAAGTTGACATTAATGACTTTTTAAATTAAAAAACATTCTACTATTTTATATGATTAACTTTTCAAAGAAATGCCAGAGTATACAAAAATTATACACATTCACCTTCTACAAACTAGCTTAAGACACACAGCACCTAAAATATCAAAAGTCTTAGTACACCCTAACTCATTTCCTTTCCTCTTCATTCTTCCCTGCACAAAGGAAATTATCACTACATCTATCATTTCCATACATATTTTTAAATTTTTAAAACACGTGTACGTATCTATAAACATTTATAATTTTGTATTATAGGTTTTAAAGTTAAACAAGATTGTAAAAGAGGTACAAAACAATTATAATAATCATTTTGAACAATTTGTTATTTCTGTTAATAACTTCATTACATTCATCTTTGTTGATAGCTAACTTCATAATTTTTATTATTATTACTATTTCATTGTACTATTACATCACATTTCCATCAAAACTTTTTGTGGCATTGGACATTTTGGTTTTCTCCCATTTTTTTCAGTCCTGTAAAAAATGTTGCTATAATATTGCTATGCATGTCTACTTCTGCATATAAGCAGATTTTTCTTTTGGGCATATACCTAGGAAAATAATTGCTACGTTGTGGAGGAAGTACATCTGTCTTTATTAAATACATCACTTGTTATGTTTTATTTGGGATACTTATCTATTAATATACTAACACCAAAAGTTTTTATGTTTGTGCAAATATCTTCTCATAGTTTCTTGGTTATTTTTTCTTCTTTATTTGCTATTTATAGAAACACGGAAAGTTGCTTTTCATTGTGGTCATATTTATCAGTTCTTTTCCTCCTTCTTTTTACTTAGGAGTGTGGTTTTTAAAATCTTTCCTAAAACAAGATTTAAAAAACTGTACACAAGCTTTAAATTTTGCTTTATTCAAGCCTTGAATTTGCCTGAAACTAATTTTGTGCTACTAAATAACTTGGCTCTTCATATAGCTAACTAAGCACAATTTATTAAATTGTTCAAACCTCACTCCAAAATAACCTTTGTTACGTAACAAGTATTCATATATTTGTAAGCGAAATTCTAGGCTTTTTATTTTGGTCATCAGGATTTTATTTACCCCAGTGTAATACAACACTGTCCTAATAACTTAAATGCAGTAATGTCTTGACATTGATTAAAGTAATAATTATGAACAGGATTATGGAGCCAAACAGCCCAGGTTCAAATTTAGTCTCTACCACTGTGAAATTGGGCAAATTGTCTAACCTCTGTATGCTTCTGTTTCTTCATTTGCAAAGTGGGGTTTATATTACTGACATAATCGTTGTGAAAATTAAAATATTTTAAGCATAAACATTTAAAAATAATGGTGGCAGACAGCAAGTCCTAAGTGTAAACATTATTATTATTTGTTACAACGCAAATTTCAACTTCTCTAGTTCCAAACATGTCATTTCTTGTGTATTCCACATATAGTTTACCATAAGCTTTTCAAGTTTCATCTGTGAAACCAGTGGGTATTATAAGTAAAACTACATTAATTGTATAGATTAATTTGGAGGAAAAGATATATATATATATATATATATATATATATATATATAAATAAATATAAAATACTGGGTGTTCACATACATGACATAGAAAACCTCTCTTCTGCTTCTTTCCTCTCCTCTTTCTTCTTCTTCTTGTTTTTCTGTAATGCCTATCCATAAAATTTTATATTATTCCTCAAAAATATCTTGCATATGTACTTCAGATATTGATAAAAAATTAATATTTCCACTTCTTTTCTAAATGCTATTTTTCATCTATTATATTGCCTCTATTTTTGCTTCTGGTTTATTGGCAAATAGTTTATTTGCATAACGATGATACAATTTGTTACATGGTGACCTAATGAATTCCAATAATTTGTCTATAGAAGTCTAATTATTTTCTGAAAATATCTGTAAATAATTAGAGGTTTTTTCTGTAATTTATTATTTTTATTCCTTTTTCTTGTCCTTTTTCACTAGATAGGTCCTCAAATAAAATATTGAATAATAGTAATGAAAACATCCAACCATGTCTTTTCACTCCTGATTTTAAAAGAATACTTTAATCAGGTTGTGACTGTTTGCTGATGGATTTTTGGAAGATACATGCAATTAAATTTGGAAAACTGACATATATTCCTAGTTTGCTAACAGTTTCTTTTGTTTTATAAAAATTAAAATCATGTGGTGAATTCTCCAATTACATTATTTTACTTTGAACCACAAATTATTCTATTATTTTTCATGTTTGCTTTTGAAAATATTTTTTCCAGTTATCTTGTTATGCATTTTTAACTGAATGGAATTTTGATAGCAAAATGTGGTCTGTAAAACAAGTCCTTAATAATCACTGAGTCTTGTTTTAATTTTTAGTATGTGGTCAATTGTATTTATTTATTTGATACTAGTGAGCTTGATGCCTAATTTATCAATATCTTATTAAATTATGTCTATTTTTTTCTTTATGTATTTTGAAACTACATTAGTTACATATATCAAAAAATCAAGAGATTCAAAGGACATCATATGCTAATAACATTTATAACAAGTGCCCCAAATTATGTATATTATTATAATGTGATGATTCTACCTAAAATTATACTTTGTCTAGTATTAATCCGGCTATAACACTTGGCTTCATCACTATTTAATTAGCATAATTTCTTTTGTCTATTTAGTTTCAGTCAGTCTTTGACATTAGGGTTTATGTTTACAAACAGCAAAATGCTGGTTTCTTTTTAATTCTATGATTTTTGCCTTTTAACTAGCAACTGTAAACCACTTGCATTTATCACAATTATGAATCCTTTTAATGTATTATCAAAACTTTATTTTGGGCTAAGCACAGTGGCTCATGTCTGTAATCCCAGCATTTTGGGAGGCTGAGGCAGGTGGATCTCTTGAGCTCAAGAGTTCAAGACCAGCCAGGGCAAAATGGAGAATCCCCCTCTCTACAAATACACTAAAAATTAGCTGGGTGTGGTGGCACACTTCTGTGGCCCCATCTACTTGGGAAGCTGAGGTGGAAAGATCCCTTTAGCCAAAGGGAGAGGTTGTAGTGAGCCGAGATGGCGCCATGCACTCCAGCCTGGGTGACAAGATGAGACCCTGTGTCTCCAACCAAAAGAAAAAAAAAAAAAAAGGAAAAGGAAAAACAAAACAACTATATTTTGTAGCATCCTATGACCCTGCTTTTGTTCTTAATGTTCTTAATATCCTTTACTGCCTTCTTTGGGTTTAATGATTTTGTATTCTTTTTTTTTTTTAATCTCCTCTGATGGTATTTAAACTATGTAATCAATGTTTTAAAATTGTAGGTATTTATGCTTAACACACTTACATTTTATATATGTGTGCGTGTTTATGTGTGTATCTATCTATACATCTAAATTCACCAGTACTTCCATTAACCTCAAAAAGTATGGGAGGCCCTCGAACATTGGAATTTCCTTTTTTTTTTTTTTTTTTTGAGATGGAGACTCACTCTGTCGCCCAGGCTGGAGTGCGGTGGCAGGATCTCGGCTCACTGAAACCTCTGCCTCCAGAGTTCAAGCGATTCTCCTGCCTCAGCCTCCCGAGTAGCTGGGCTTACAGGTGTGCACCATCACACCCAGCTAATTTTTGTGCTTTTAGTAGAGATGAGGTTTCGCCATATTGGCCAGGCTGGTCTCGAACTCCTGACCTCAAATGATCCGTCCACCTCGGCCTCCCAAAGTGCTGGGATTACAGGCATAAGCCACCACGCCCAGCCTGAACAGTGGAATTTCTAAGTGGAAATTATGACATAACGCATATGTCATTATTCTCGCATGGACTACAACCACGACCAGTGATATGAAAAACCATCGTTGTATTTCAACTACAAGAACACTAATGAACCCAACACGCAAAATCAACCCGTTAATAAAATTAATTAACCACTCATTTATTGACCTCCCCACCCCATCTAACATCTCTGTTTCTTTCTTACATGTTTTCTCCAATATTTTACTTACGTATTACATACCATTCCCAACATTTTTGGATATTGTTTGCATTCTGTATTTAATATTTTTAGATTGAATTCATATTTACCAATACCTTTCCTCACCATTCATTTTTATATTTCGATTCTTCTTTTTTTAGTTTACATTTCTTATGAAGTAAATACTTTGAACATTTATTTAGTAAGGGTTAATTAACTTTCAATCACTATCTGAATTACTACCATTTAACTTTTTATTCTTAAAATAATATTAAATGGGTATAAAATTCTGGATGGGCAGTTATAGTTTCTCTGCATTATTAAGAATTTTTTTCCACTATTCTTGTTACTGTCTATTTTTGTTATTGATAGTCTTCTGCCAATCTAATCATCACACATTTCTGCTTAAACTACCTTTCCGTTGGGGCTGATTTAAAATATTGTTTTTGTCTTTGGTACTTCTTTGAAGTTTTATTTCCATTCTTATAAATGTTTGTTAGGTATTCATTGCACTTTTTTATATATTAGATATCATTATTTTCCATCTGGAAGATAATGATATATCTGGAAAATTATTACTCTCTTTAAATACTGTCTCATTTTTTTGTCCATTTTTCTGAAACTACTGTTGGTATTCTTAAAAAAAACTTTTAGGTTCAGGGGTACATGTGAAGGTTTGTTATATAGGTAAACTGGTTTGACAGGGGTTTCTTGTGTAGATTATTTCATCACTCAGGTATTAAGTCCAGTACCCAATAGTTATCTTTTCTGCTCCTCTCCCTCCTCCCACCTTCCACCCTGAAATAGATACCAGTGTCTGTTGTTTCCTTCTTTGTGTTCATAAGTTCTCATCATTTAGCTCCCACTTATAAGTGAGAATATGCAGTATTTGGTTTTCTGTTCCTGCATTAGTTTGCTAAGGATAATAGCCTCCAGTTCCATCCATATTTCTGCTAAAGACATGATCTCATTCCTCTTTATGGATGCATAGTATTTCATAATGTATATGTACCACATTTTCTTTATCCAGTCTCCCATTGACAGACATGTAGGTCGATTCCATGTTTTTGCTCTTGTGAATAGGGCTGCAATGAACATACCTGTGCATGTGTCTTTATGGTAGAATGATTTGTAGTTCTCTTGGTAAATATCCAGTAATGGGATTGCTGGGTTGAATGGAGTTCAGCTTTCAGCTCTTTGAGGAATCGCCAATGAGGAATCCACAATGGTTAGGCTAATTTGCTCTCCTACCAACAGTGAATTAAGTGTTCCTTTTTCTCTACAACCTCACCAGCATCTGTTATTTTTTAACTTTTAAATAACAGTCTTTCAAACTGGTGTGAAATGATATCTCATTGTGGTTTTGATTTGCATTTCTCTAATGATCAGTGATATTCAGCTTTTTTTCATATGCTTATTGGTTGCACGTGTGTCTTCTTTTGAAAAGTGTCTGTTCATGTCCTATGCTCACATTTTTTTTTCTTATAAATTTAAGTTTCTTATAGATGCTGGATATTAGACTTTTGTCAGATGCGTAGTTTGCAAAAATTTTCTCCCATTCTGCAGGTTGTCTGCTTACTCTGTTGATAGTTTCTTTTGAAATGCAGAGGCTTTTAAGTTTAATTAGATCCCATTTGTCAATTTTTGCTTTTGTTGTGCTTGCTTTTGGGGTCTTATCATAAAATCTTTGCCCATTTCTATGTCTAGGTACTGCCTAGGTTGTCTTCCAGGATTTTTATAGTTTTGGGATTTATATTAAAGTCTTTAATCCATCTTCAATTTATTTTTGTGTATGGTATAAGGAAGAGGTCCGTCTTAAATTTCCCAGCACCATTTACTGAATAGGGAGTCTTTTCCCCATTGCTTTTGTCAATTTTGTGGAAGACCAGATGGTGGTAGGTGTGTGGCCTTATTTCTGGGCTCTCTGTTCTGTTTCATTGGTCTAGGTGCCTGTTTTAGTGCTACTATCATGCTGTTTTCATTACTGTAGCCCTGTAATATAAGTTGAAATCAGGTAATGTAATGCCTCTGTTTTTTTGTTTGTTTTTTTTGCTTAGGATTGCCTTGGCTATTTGGGCTTTTTGATTCCATATGAGTTTTTAAATAGTGTTTTTTCATAGTTCTGTGAAAAATGGCACTGTTAATTTTATATAAATAGTACTGAATCTATACATTGCTTTGGGCAGTATGACCATTTTGATAATATTGATTCTTCCTATCCATGAGCATGGGATGTTTTCCATCTGTTTGTGTCTTCTCTGATTTCTTTGAGGAGTGTTTTGTAATTCTCATTGCAGAGATCTTTCTCCTCCATGGTTAGCTGTATTCCTAGGTAGTTTATACTTTTTGTGGCAATTGTGAATAGGATTACATTTTTGGTTTGGCTCTTGGCCTGGCTGTTGTTGGTATAGAGGAATGTCAGTGATATTTGTGCACTGATTTTGTATCCTGAAATTTTGCTGAAGTTTTTTATCAGCTGACAGAGCTTTTGGTCCAAGACTATAAGGTTTTCTAGATACAGAATTATGTCATCTGCAAACAGAGATACTTTGACTTTCTCTCTTCCTATTTGGATGCCATTTCTTTCTTTTCTCTGCCTATATTCTATGACTTTTAATTTCACTTTTTCAAAATTTTCAAATTTCTTCTATCTGTGCCAATCTAGGTAATCTCTCCTGATGCATGTTTGAGCTTACTAATGTTTCCATTATCTCTACCTAAGCTATTTAATCTATCCATTGCATGTATGATTTGAATAATCCTGTTTGTAATTTCCAGAGCTTATTTTTGATAATTTAAATAATATGCCTATTTATTTTGGGGGGGCTTGTTTCTTATCTTTTCTTCCTTTTTACATTTTTATTTTTATCTTTATTCCACTAATTTTTTTGATATATATTTTATATTCTATATCCAAATATTCCATTTTCCAAAGATGCTGGGAGTCTAAGGCTACTCATTTTCCTTTGTTGTGGCATATTTACTTTTGTCTGGACTTATTTTATACTGTGTATCAATATTTGATATGCTTTATATGTAGGAATTTTGTACAATCATTTTACTGCTAAGTTGCCTTTGATCCTGCTTGACATCCCAAGGATCTTCAAAGTATAAATGTAGACAATAAACTCATGAAAAAGCATATCTTTGGTTGTAATTGCATGGGTAGATATTCTCCATCCAGAGCTCACAATAGGCAAACTTTTTTTGCTTATGATATCTCTCTTCTGGCATTATTCTGGCATCTGAGTTTCAGTTCTGTTTTTTGACTTTTTTACGGAATCCTCACGCCCCACTCCCACCAAGCCCTCAATTTCTATATCCATGCAATCATCAAGATCCAAATTCTAGAATACATAGATTAGTGCAAATTCCCAGTTTAGACACAAGTTCACTTTCAACTAACCATTTTAATTTTTAGCTTCTTCATTTTTGATCCCTGGAGATTTCTGTTACTCTCTTGTGAGCTCATTCAGGCAATTCAGAGGATATTTATAATGCTTTTATTTGGCATTTATAAGTGTCTTTTACATGAGACTATTTGCATTATTCATTCCACAGTATAGTTGAATAATATCTTTCTGTGTGTGTGTGCATTTTTTTGATTAAGATAGCTAGCATGAATTTAACTTATAGAAAAAAAAATTACCACAGCTCATGTATACTAACATGTATTATTTGCTCTAAGTGTATGTAGGATATGGATTACATGTGCTACATAAAGAACACACTTTTTCTCAATTGATGCTTTGCAAAAGGTTTAAAGTATAATGACTTCTTCCTTTAGATATAGTTATTCCACAGGAAATTTACAAATTGCAGTGGCTTATAACAAGTATAAAAGACAAATTGACTTAAATGCCACTTTGAATCTTATTTACAGTATTTCAAAGATAAATTGTTTCTTCATTCATGAATGAATCATTCATGGATTTCTAGGGAAGCCTTTGGTTGGTAGGCACTGATTATCTATGGAGCAACACCTATAAAACGCACAGAAAAGATTACCAGTAATTTGGGCTCCAGGAATAATAATATTTTTTAAAGTCTTTTATGGATAGTATAAAAAAGAGTATCTGAACACCTATGCAATGTCTAAACTCATTTAAAAGAATTAGAACATAAAGTCATAGAAAAAAATTGGCAAAGATTAATATCTTACAATGACTGCACAGAAATTTTCCAAGTGCTCCTTTACTTCTTTTCCATTTTCTGTTACTCTATTTCCATTTTCTTTTAAATCACTAATCACCTAATTTCCAAAAGCCACAGTCAATACTGAAGTCATTTACTAGCCTGATAGTCTGAGTATCATATGCCACATTATATAACTATATATGCCAATATAATCAAAATCTTAATGAAACCCAATTAAATTGTCTGTGCTGTGGCTATTCAGGTACCTTGTCTCTTTATTACAGAAGTCAATCTCATTTCTTAAGCCTTTTATAAATTTGAACTAAGCCAAGCAATATTTAGCTAATAGATGTTTTACTGAGATCTTGAGAAAAAAGCAACCATTTTTTTCTCTATATTCTTAATTTTGTTTTGATTTCATTCCAATCTCCCCTTTTTTGTTCTATATTGTGTTATGTAAAATGAGAGTTAGATTGATTTTTACTATTCTGAGAAGTATTATATGCACACAAGAATAAATAAAATATATGTGTAGCTTAGTTAAGTATTGATAAAAATCCATGTAACTATCACCTTGTTAAAAAGGAGAACATTTCTAGTGCCCTTGAATCTTCTGTGTGTCCCTCTCCCAAATATTACTTTCTGCAGAAATAATCACTGTCATCTCTGTGATAATATTTATCTTATATTTTTTATTTTAATATGCATTCACCATTTCAAAACACTGCTTTGGTTTGCTTGGTTTTAACCCATACCATGCATAATTATGTACCTTGCTTCTTGTGCTATACATTGTAAGGTAATTTCATATTGTTGAATACCACTATTTGTTTTTATAATCTACGTTTTTATGTTGCTTGACTATAATGAAATTTACTCATCCTAAGCTTGGTGAACATAACCAGGTAGATTAATTCGAAAAAAAAAAAAACTGCTAAGAATACTTTTGTACATGTCTTCTGTTACACATGAGCAAATACTATTCTGGATTACATATACATAAAATTGAATTGATACATTACAGAATACAAATAAAATGTTCTACCTAATGTCCTCAAATGTACTAGTTTGTACATATTTTATCTACATTTTCACCTACAATTGGCATTTTCTGATTTGTTTAAATGTTAATCTGGTAGTTTTTAAATGAAATCTAATTGAGTTTTAATTTGCATTTCTTGGATTCCTAAATGAGTAGAATATTTTTCACATGTGTTTGAGAGATTTTGATTTCCTCTTTTCTATAATGCTGTTTTTTAAAAAAAAAATCTTTATAAAGCATATTTGATTAATGTAAAGCTAAAATTGTCTTTCAAATGTAATATAATTTGCTGGGTTTTAGCTACATAATTTGTAGTTAAGGCTTCTTTAAGAAGCTCAGAGCATTTTATAAGGTTTAGTAAATTTAGTGAAGTAGTAAAAAAATAAATTATAATACCTAGGTGAGTGAAACTAGTTGATCTCAGAGAGCATGTTAATAAACTAGAACTGATATTCCATCAACTTAATAAAAATATGAATGATTTTGAATAACAGGCTTATGTAAGTTTATTAAAACTAGTTTGTGAAGTTTTCATAGAAAACATGTATTTTAAGATGGATTTGAATTGGCTAGTAAAAGCATCTCATTGAACACTAGCCCTGAAGTATCTCCTTTGAAGTAGTTAGAAATGGTATGCTTGGGAAAAAAAATTCCAAGATTCCTATCATGCTACCCAACATTTTTAATAAGATGAGATTATCACAAATAATCACAGATAAAGTGATAATAAAATAGTAGTGGAGAATATACATTAACATTTTAATACATCCAGTGAGTAGGACAGGAGTTCAAGAGGTAGTCTGTGAGCAACAAAGATAAGGCGATGGATGTGTTCTTCTTTAAAGATGACTAAGATCTGTACTGTCAAAAAAAAAAAAAAAATCCCTCAAAATGGATTAACATGATGGATGGATAAAGGGAGATTTTGGTACAGGAAAATGATTTATTGAATGCTTTCTCAAAGCAAACACTAAGCTTGAGACTCATGGCATATGCATGAGTCCTAGTTTTTAAATTATTTAAAATTGGAGAAATATTGATGTTAGGTCAATTTTTGTCTATCGTATATGGCCTGATAATACCATAATTGACATATTATCTCTAATGTAATATCTTAAAACTGGAAGTCTCTTTCTTTTTCTTTTCTTCCTTTCTGCCTCCATCCCTCCCACCTGATACCTCCCTCCTTCCCTTTTTCCCTTCCTTCCCTGGCTTGCTTTTAATTAGTTTTGTTATAATCTACCAGGTGTGGGTGGTAGGGGACATTTTCCTACACTTCTCACATAAACTCAAATTTTAGGTTATTCTTTGGAGTAAAACAGGCTCTTCATTGTTTACAAGGTTATTCCTGAGTTGCAGAAATTCTCCTTCCATATTTATTCCCTGTATTCTTCTATTCAATCTTGCCACAACTAGACAAACAGAAAGCACAAGGGTACCCTTTCTTGCATCTAGAGGTAGAAACCTTAGCAGCACACACTAACTGCTCCAGGTCTGTCAAATAGATGCATTAATTGTCTAAATATCCTTAAAACAATTGTTTTAAACATTTCCTTATGTGCATTCAATCCATATGAAGCAAACTTTCTGGCAAATATTTAATTAGTTTTATTCAAAATATCTGATTAAAGTAGCAAATGCTGTGGGGCTAGAATTATATGGCTTTTGTCTTTTTTTTTTAAAGGCATTGTTAAAATGATGTTAGCAAGGTGGCAGAACAGGAGATCAGCTGCTTATATTACTGCACAACAACAAGAATTCTGCATTCTTCCACAGACCAAAGTCTCTTTGTAGAAGCTTTAGTATTTAGGCTGCAGGTTGTGAAACTCTCATGGAGTCCAAGACCTAGGGGGGTCATTTTGAGAGTGAGGACCCACACCCAGGTGATAGATACATTAACTGTGTTTCTGGATTCAAACCTGGAAACACCCCCATTTCCTGAAGGGCTTGGCTAGAATCTAGTTTGGCCTTGAGCCTGCTACCAAATGTTACCAAGGAGTCCAAAAGGAGTCACAATAGTTCCTCGGCAGAAAGGCTCATGGGTTCATCAATATTGGTCTTGGCAGTTGACTTGAAAATTATTTTTGTAACTAGGCTCTAGCCCCACTCTGCAGCAGTCTCAGCTTAGTATTGCTTGTATAAGGACCCATCTGTGCAACTGGGACAGGCTTGCCAGCCTCTGTCCCACAGCAGATCCTGAAGGGGCCTAGTCTCAGCTCCAGAGCCCTCTTGCTAGTCAGAGAGCTATCACAAAAGCACAGGGAACTTCTGGGAGACATGGCTATCTATGTCAACTGGACAGGCTCGGTAACCTTCATCCCACAGCACACCCTAAAGGAGACCTGTCTCAGCTCCAGCATCTCTTTGCTGCAACTCCAGAGCTACCTTGTGTGCACAGAGAACTCCTGGGAGACAGATCAGGACAATATTCAAAACAGAAGTTTTGGAAAAGGCCTTGTCAGCTCCAGCCTCTCTGTGATGTTGAAGCAATTCTGCTCATACAGGGAACTGCTGGGTGTCTCGTTGGCAGTTGCCACTGAGTTAGCTTGCCAACATGAGTCCCGTGGCAGATTCTGACTTATCTTTGAAGCTTGGTTTCAGCCCCCCCAAAGCTGTGGTCTGGAAGCAGTTCTACCCAGCCAGTATCCTGTCAGGATATGAACCTATCTGAGTCAGTGTGGCAGCCTTGCCAAGCTCTGTCCCTCAGTGATTCATTAAGCACCCCTGGATCTTGGCACTGGCCCTCTTGTCTGAGAACTAAGACTAGTTTGGCCTTCTACAGACCTGGAAAAAAGCAAATTCACTAGTGCTCCTTCAGACTGACACCCTGACCTCAGTAACACTGTGGATAT
Organism: Homo sapiens; assembly: GCF_000001405.40. NCBI lineage: Eukaryota > Metazoa > Chordata > Mammalia > Primates > Hominidae > Homo > Homo sapiens. The sequence goes on along the minus strand of NC_000005.10, from coordinate 106,545,323 downwards.
TGAAACATCCCTATAAATTACGTGCATCCCCTCTCAACTACAGTCTAAGAGCAGGCCTGTCTACCCAGGGACCCACTGGGAGACATGCCTATCCCCCGAAGACAGGCCTGAAAAATCTGTGTCAGTTGTGGACCTGAAACAACCCTGTGTCTCAGTTGTAGCTCATCTCAGCCATGGACTGGAGTAGTATAGACAACTCAGGAATTCAACTAATTGCCCAAGGGATGTCCTTCCAGAGACTCATAAAAAGCCAATATACCCATAGGCATACCTGGTAACAGGCCTAATGTCTGAACTCTGAAGAGGACACTCATCCTAGGGCAAGCCCCAAAGACCAAGGTCCTGAAGACAGTATAGCCCACCCAGTGACAAGGTAGGACCCACACTCACTAGGGCCCCTAGGAATAGGCCAACCAACTGTGGTCTCCACTGTAGACCCAGCATCAGCCACAATACCTGGATTTAACCCCATTCAACTACAACCCCAGAGTCAATTTCATCAGTCTAGAGACCTTACAGGGAAGTACTTTAACTTGTTGAAACTAGTCTATAGGTCTCTAAGAGAAGTTTGCTTCTTCAAATACACAGATATTTGTGCAAGGCTACATGATAACAAAGATTAAGGCAAACATGACACCACCAAAGGAAACTAATAAAGGTTTAATAACTGACCTCAAGGAAATGGAGTTATATAGATTGCCTGAAAAAGAATTGAAAATAATCATCTTAAACTCAAAGAGATGCAAGAAAATGCAGAGAGATAACTAAATGAAATTAGGAAAACAATGCATGATCACAATCAGAAGTTTAATAAAGAAATAGAAGTGCTTTGTCTCCTAGCTCGCAGGCTCTGAGCCCAGTTCCCGTCTCCACTGTTCCATCTCCTCCACTTCAGGAGCTCCTTGGTGGCTCTATCATAGCCCCTGTTATCCCACGACCTGCAGGTACTGGGAGATCCAGAGGGAGGACGGCAGAATATCCGGAGGCCAGGAAGTGGGAGTGTTAACATTCAGGGATGTGGCCACAGAATTCTCCCCGGAAGAGTGGGAATGCCTGGACTCTGCTCAGCAACATTTGTATAGGGACGTGATATTAGAGAACTACAGAAACCTGGTCTCCTTGGGTCTTGCTATCTTTAAGCCAGACTTGATTACCTGTCTGGAGCAAAGAAAAGAGCCCTGAAATTTGAAGAGACAGGAGACAGTAGTCAAACACCCAGCTGGCTCTTTTCATTTTACTGCAGAGATAATGCTGGAGCACGACATAAAAGATTCATTTAAAAAAGTGATTCTGAGAAAATATAGAAGCTGTGACCTTAGTAATTTACATTTAAAGAAAGACTACCAAAGTGTGGGTAATTGCAAGGGAGCAGAAAAGCAGTTATAATGGCCTTTATCAATGTTTGTCAACTACCCATAGCAAAACCTGTCAATGTAATAGATGCGGCAAAGCTTTTGAGTTGTGCTCAATCTTCACTGAACATAAAATTTTTAGCGTAGAAATGCTACAAATGTGAAGAATGTGGCAAAGACTGTAGGTTGTTCTCAGATTTTACTAGACATAAGAGAATTCATACTGCAGAGAGATGCTACAAATGTGAAGAATGTGGCAAAGCCTTTAAAAAGTTCTCAAACCTTACTAAATATAGAGTTCATATGGGAGAGAAACCCTACAAATGTGAAAAATGTGACAAAACTGTTACCTGCTCCTCAACCCTTCTTAAACACTAGAGAAATCATACTGGAGAAAGATGCTACCAATGTGAAGAATGTGGCAAAGCCTTTAAGTGCTTCTCAGACCTTACTATTCGTAAGAGAATTCATGCTGGAGAGAAACCCTACAAATGTGAAGAATGTAACAAAGCCTGTAGGTAGTTCTCAGACCTTGCTAAACATAAGATAATTCATACTGGAGATAAACCCTATAAATGTAATGAACTTGGAAAAGGTTTTAAGTGGTTCTCAGCCATTAGTAAACATAAAATTCATACTGTAGAGAAACCCTACATCAGTGAAGATTGTGGCAAAGCCTTTACCTGCCCTTCAACCCTTATTAACCACAAGAGAATTCATATGGAAAAGAGACCTTACAAATGTGAAGAATGTTGCAAAACCTTTAAGTGCTTCTCAGACCTTACTAATCATGAGAGAATTCACACTGGAGAGAAACTCTACAAATGTGGAGAATGTGGCAAAGCATTGAGCTGGTTCTCACACCTCATTAGACATTAGCAAATTCATACTAGAGAGAAGCAACATTAAATAGGATAGTTGTGTAGAGCTTTTAATACAATGCCTGCCTCCAGTAAGTACTCAATAAATGGAAGCTGCATATGTTGTTCTCTGTCTATGAAAGCTGCTTTTCAGCTTGGGGGGTGTGGACTGTGGTCAATCTCCAGCTTGTGTATTACTTATCTGGCCTCTGCTACTCCTTTATTTGAAGTCATTCTGTCCAATAGACTAGCAGTTTTCCAAGTGTGGACACCAAGCCAGCATCCCAGCATCACCTAGGAACTTGTTAGAAATGCAGATTACTGAGATTCATTCCAGATTTACTGACTCAGGAATCCTGGGAGTGGAGATCAGACCTGTTTTAACAAGGCCTCCACAGTATTCTGATATGCATTCAAGTTTGGGAACCACTGAAATAGACTTATCACTTACCAAACCACCACTACCTGAGTCAGGCTTCCCTGATTGATTTTAAGACAGGCTGAAGGCAGCATGGAATATTATTGCATTAAGATAAATATCAACAACCCAGAATTCTTACACTGTTCTATGACTTATTTGTCATAAGATATTAAGTAGTTCAGTTCATTTTTCTGAGCTTCAGTTTCCTGCTCTGTCAAATGGGAATCTATCCTGTTCTGCTGCTCTTCTGCCATGGTGTAGTAGACCTCCAAAAAAAAAAATTAAAAATACCTTATGAAAACAGATATTTCAAAGGGGAAAAAGGAATGATAATTGCTATTGAATTTGAAATCCAGATTTGTAAAGTCATTTTTTCTTTTATATAAACAGTAGAAGAGATTAAAATTCAATAAACTTTGGGTAGTTTTGCCTGCAGGTAAACAGGCTTTCCACTTTTACCCTTTAAAACACATTTTGTAAAAGGCCTTGTCAATCTCCTGTACCTTTGCTCTTGACCTTATAATTTTACTCTCAACACAGCTCACACCTTTTGAAGTGAAAAGAACAATAAACAAGACAAGGGAAAGAAAGGGAAATGAAGCCAGTTTAGAAGTCAGCCACTAAAATGGAGCAGCAGCCAGGTTCTTTAGGTCCCAGCCTAAAATATTGAAACACAACACTGTTCTGCCTACTGAAGATGATATTGTTGTAATAGATTTTCCTGGTTATAAGAAAATTTAAGTTTGTAAATTTTTATTATAAATTTAATGCCTCCAATTTCTGTCCTGCCCTGTGTATACTGTCTTATATAGTTGTTGAGATCTTTAAATAAGATGAATTATATCTGATAGGATTCTTTGGAACTCAAATAACAGAAAACCTAAGCAATACTGGCTTAAGAAAGAAAGAGAGAAGGGAGCAGTTGAGAAAGAGGAATAAGAAGTAGGAGGAAGAGGGAGGGAGAAAGAAAAAGGGTAAAGGAAAGGGGAAGGAAGGAAGATAATGTACTGTCTTGCTTAGCATCCGCAAGTCAGGTATATCCAGATACAGACACAAGGCACCATTAGGTCATAGACTCTTGTTTTAGTGTTGGCTTCTTTCCAAATTAGGATCGCCTCTTACAGTTGAACCATCTCAGCAGATTCTGTCGATTTGGAGACACACACTTCTAGGTGCAGACCCAGGGAGAAAATTTGAGAGTCTTCACTCCAGTATTTCTATCTGGAGGCTCACAGCACGCCATTGGCTCAGAAAAGGTCATGTGCCACCGCTGAGCCAATCATGGTGTTAGAATGGCTCTGACTGGCTTACACCCACAGCAGAGACACAAAAACTGAGACTGGGAAAGCAGTGGATTCCCAGACATAGAGAGGAGTGAGTAGTGCTTGATGAGCAGGCGAAGCACAGATGTCTATTCTCTTTACTTGCAAGTGCTGGAGTTAGCAGAACTCTGAAATTTAGTGACATATTTAACTCTAGACACTCTTATCCACCCCTCATTAAATAAAATTTTGCAAGTCTACCATGCCTCTCCAGTTGACTGCCCCTACCATGCACTGAGAGTGCCTTCTCTTATGAGCCATGGGAAGCTGCAGGGATTATCTGGGTGGCTGCTATGCCTCAGCATTAAAAAGTATGAAAATAGCTGATTCTCATTCTTGCTCTGCCACCTATTCAGTACACAAACTTGTATTAAGTTTGTTAACCTCTCTGTCTTATTTTCCAAACATGAGATCAGTGCCTGCCCCACAGGGATACTGGGATAACTGAAAGAGGTCAATATGTAAAATGGTTAGATCTGGCTTCTTTAGATCTGGCTTCTAGTTGTACTCACCAAGTTCCCTTCTCTAGGGTAAAAAAGGGGCATCTGATATGGAAGTAGCACTGTGGGAAATTCAGCTTACAGATCTCAGGTAACTCAGCTTACTGCTCTAGTGAAACCTCTATAAATAAGGGCAGAAGCCTTAGATCAGGGAAGGAACTCAAGAGGTGGTCCCAGAAGTTCCAGTCTTTAGGCCGGTGTGGCAAAGTTAAACCCATCTTATTGGTGACTCAAAAAGAGGTGGAATGAGTTACTAAAGTTTGCAAAATTAATTCCATTAATTGATATTTACTTATTGAGCATCTGCTATGTGCCAGGTGCCATGCCAGATACTTGGGGATGTAATAATAAGTGAGACAGATTTTGTGTCTCTCTTAAGTATAGTATGGTGAGGAAGACAGAAATGAAGTAAATGATATAGGCATGGGCAAAAACTTCATGACTAAAACACCAAAAAGAAATGGCAACAAAAGCCAAAAATTGACAAATTGGATCTAATTAAACTAAAGAGCTTCTGCACAGCAAAAGAAGCTATCATCAGAGTGAACAGGCAATTGACAGAATGGGAGAAAATTTTTGCAATCTATTCTTCTGACAAAGGGTTAATATCCAGAATCTACAAGGAACTTAAACAAATTTACAAAAACAAAACAAAAAACCACAAACAACCACATCAAAAAGTAAGCAAAGGATACGAACAAACACTTCTCAAAAGAAGACATTTATGTGGCTAAAAAACATGAAAAATATCTCATCATCACTGATCATTAGAGAAATGCAAATCAAAACCAGAATGAGATACAATCTCACAATAGTTAGAATGGCAATCATTAAAATGTCAGGAAACAACAGATGCTGGAGAGGATGTGGAGAAATAGGAACACTTTTACACTGTTGGTGGGAGTATAAATTAGTTCAACCATTGTGGAAGACAGCATGGCGATTCCTCAAGGATCTAGAACTAGAAATACCATTTGATGCAGCAATCCCATTACTGGATATATACCCAAAGGATTATAAATTATTCTACTATAAAGATACATGCATACATATATTTATTGCAACACTGTTCACAAAAGCAAAGACTTGAAACCAACCCAAATTCCCATCAATGATAGACTGGATAAAGAAAATGTGGCACATATACACCATTGAATACTATGCAGCCATAAAAAAGGATGAGTTCATGTCCTGTGCAGGGACATGGATGAAGCTGGAAACCATCATTCTCAGCAAACTAACACAGGAACAGAAAACCAAACACCACATATTCTCACTCATAAGTGGGAGCTGAACAATGAGAACACATGGACACAGGGAGGGGAATATCACACACCGGGGCCTGTCAGGGGGTGGAAGGCTAGAAGAGGGATAGCATTAGGAGAAATACCTAATGTAGATGACAGGATGATGGGTGCAGCAAACCACCATGGCACGTGTATACCTAACAAACCTGCACGTTCTGCACATGTATCCCAGAACTTAAAGTATAGTAAAAAAAAAGAAGAAATAAAAAAGAAATAGAAGCAATAAAAAAGAAATCCTAGAGCTGAATAATACGACATAACTAAAAATTTTAATAGAAACTTCCAATAACAGACTCAATTATGTAGAAGAAAAATCAGTAAACTCAAAGACAGGTCATTTGAAATTAGCAAATTACAGGGACAAAAAAAAAAGAGTAAAAGAGCACAAGGAATCCATCAGACATCATTAAATATACAATTATGGCAGTACCTGAAGGAGAAGAAAGAGAAGAAAGAGACAAAAAGTCAAAAATATTATTCAAATAAATACTTTGTGAAAACTTCCCAAATTGTTTTTGTTGTTGTTTTGTTTTGTTTCTGAGACAGAGTCTCACTCTGTCGCCCAGTCTGGAGTGCAGTGGTGCGATCTTGGCTGGCTACAACATCCTGATCCTGGGTTAGAGCAATTCTCTCACTTCAGCCTCCAGAGTAGCTGGGATTACAGGTACATGCCACCATGCCCAGCTAATTTTTGTATTTTTAGTAGAGACAGAATTTTGCCATGTTGGCCAGGCTGGTCTCGAACTCCTGGCCTCAAGTGATCCGCCTGCCTTAGCCTCTCAAAGTAATGGGATTACAGTCGTGGGCCACCATGCCTGGACCCAAATCTTTAAAAAAAAATTTATTTAATTTTATTTTAAGTTCCAGGATACATGTGCAGGTTGTGCAGGTTTGTTACATAGTTAAATGTGTGCCATGGTGGTTTGCTGGAAGCCATTATCCTCAGCAAACTTCCCAAATCTTGGGAGGCATAGGGATATACAGATTCAGGAACCTCACAGGATGCCAAGCAAAATCAGTTCAAAAAATACTATGAGACACAATGTAATCAAATTGTTGAGAGCCAAAGGGAAAGAGAGAATCTAGAAAGTGGCAAGAGAGAAGAAACTCATTACATATAAAGTATCTACCATAAGGTTATCAGTAGACTTCTCAACAAAATGCTTGGAAGATAGGAGGGAGTGGAATGGCATATTCAAAGTGTTTGAAAGAAAAAGGGAATCACCAAATCAAGCATACTATATGGTGAAAAACTGCCCATCAGCAATAAAGAAAAGAAGAAAATGTTACAAGACAAACAAAAGCTAAAGGCATTCATTATGAGACCAACATTACAAGAAATACTAAAGGAATTTCTTAAAGTTGAAACAAATGGATAAGTAACAATATAAAAATATTTGGAAGTGTAAAACTCACTGATCGAGGTAATTATGTAGTCAAATTCAGAATATTCTACTACTTTAAAAGTAGAGTATAAATCACTGTTAACTCAATAGAAGAGTTTTAAAAAGGTGTATTAAAAACAACTATAGAGTTATATAGAAGAAATAAGACCTAGTGTTTGATAAATCAGTAAGGTGGCAATAGTTAATATTAATCTGTTGAACACTTCAAAATAGCTAGAAGAAAACAATTCAGATTTTCTTAGCAAAAAGAAAATATAAATATTCAAGGTTATGAATATCCCAAATACCCTGATTGGATTATATGAATATATCAAATTATCACATGCACTTTCAAATTATGCACATCTATTATGTACCAATAAAAATAATAAAAAGTAACAATTATAGCTATAAATAATTGGTTAATCATACATGATATAAATAGGTGTAAAGTATGACATCAATAGCATAAAATGTGTTGAATGAAAAGTAGAATTGTAGAGTTTTTTTATGTGATTGAAGTTAAGGTACTATAAGCTTATATTAGGACATTAATACTATAAGATGTTCACAACTAAAAGAAATAGAGAACCAGGAGCAAACCAATCCCAAAGCTAGTGGGAGACAAGACGTAACCAAAATCAGAACTGAACTGAAGGAGATAGAAACACACAAAAAAGTTAGAAAAATTAACGAACCCAGGAGCTGGTTTTTCGATAAAATTAATATAATAGATCACTAGATATACTAATAAAGAAGAAAAGAGAGAATATTCAAATAAACACAATCAGAAAAGATAAGGGGGTATTATCACTGTCCCCAAAGAAATACAAACACCATGAGAGATTATAAATGCCTCTATACATATAAACTAGACATTTTAGAAGAAATTGATAACATCCTGGAGACATACACCCTCCCAACACTGAACTAGGAAGAAATTGAAGCCCTAAAGAGATCAAAAATGAGTTCTGAAATTGAGGCAGTAATAAATAGCCTACCAACCAAAAAACAGCCAGGACCAGATAGATTCACAGCTGAATTCTACCAGATGTACAGAGAAGAGCTGATTCCATTCCTACTGAAATTATTCCAAAAAATTGACAAGGACTCCTCTCTAACTCATTCTATAAGGTCAGCATCATCCTGATACCAAAACCTGGCAGTGGTATGGCAAAACAAGAGAACTTCAGGCCAATATCCTTGATGAACATCGATGCAAAAGTCCTCAACAAAATATGGGCAAACCAAATCGAGCAGCACATCAAAAAGCTTACTCATCACGATCCAGTAGGCTTCATCCTGGGATGCAAGGTTGGTTCAACATATGCAAATCAGTAAATGTGATTTATTACATAAACAGAATGAGAGACAAAACCACACAATTATCTCAACAGATGCAGAAAAGGCTTTCAATAAAACTCAATATCCCTTCATCTTACTCTCAATAAACTAGGTATTGAGGGAACATACCCCAAAATAATAAGAGCCATATATGACAAACCCAGCATCTATAAGAAACTTAAACAAACTTACAGAAAGAAACAACCTCATTAAAAAGTAGGCAAAAGACATGAACAGACGCTTTTCAAAAGAAGATATACATGCAGCCAACAAGCATATGAAAAACAGCTGGAAGCATTCCCCTGGAAAACTGGCACAAGACAAGGATGCCCTCTCTCACCACCCCTATTCAAGATCATACTGGAAATTCTGGTCAGAACAATCAGGCAAGAGAAAGATATAAGGGGAATTCAAATAGGAAGAGAGGAAGTCAAACTATCCCTATCTGCAGATGACATGATTCTATATCTAGAAAACCCATCATCTCAGCCTATCCTAAAAGTTTCTTAAGCTGATAAGCAACTTCAGCGAAATGTCAGGATACAAAATTAATGTGCAAAAATTGCTAGCATTCCTATACACCAACAACAGTCAAGCCAAGAGCCAAATCACAAACAAATACCCATTATTCACAGTCACAACAAAAATAATATCTAGGAATACAGCTAATTATGGAGGTAAAAGATCTCTAAAAGAACTACAAACTACTGCTCAGAGAAATCAGAGATAACACAAACAAATGGAAAAACATTTCATGCTCATGGATAGGAAGGATAAATATAGTTAAAATGGACGTACTTCCCAAATGAAAACCACAATGAGAAACCATCTCACACCATTAAGAATGAGATACTATATCATGCCAGTTAGGAAGGCTATTATTAAAAAGTAAAAAAAAAAAAAAAAAAAAAAATGCTGGTGGGGTTGTAGAGAAAAGGGAACACTTATGACTGTTGGTGGGAGCAAATTCATTCAACCATTGTGGAAGACAGTGTGGTGATTCTTTAAAGACCTAGAGACAGAAATACCATTTGACCCAGCAATCTCATTACTGGGTATACACCCAAAAGGCGGGCAGATCATGAGGTCACAAGATAGAGAATATCCTGGCCAACATGGTGAAACCCCATCTCTACAAAATACAAAGAATTAGCCGGGCATGGTGGTGAGCACCTATAGTCCCAGCTACCTGGGAGGCTGAGGGAGGGGAATCGCTTGAACCTAGGAGGTGGAGATTGGAGTGAGCTGAGATTGTGCCACTGCACTCCAGCCTGGCGACAGAGTGAACCTCCATCTCAAATATATGTATCTTTCTATTATAAAGACACCTGTACATATATGTTCATTGCAGCACTATTTACAATAGCAAAGATATGGAATCAACCTAAATGCCCATTAATGATAGACTGGATAAAGAAAATGTGGAATATATACACCACAGAATGCTATGTATCCTTAAAAAAAAATTAAAAAATGAGATAATGCCCTTTGCAGCGACATGGATAGAGCTGGAGGCCATTATCCTCAGCAAACTAACTCGAGAACAGAAAACCAAATAACACGTGTTCTGTCCTACGTGGGAGCTAACTTATGAGAACACCTGGATGCAAAGAGGGGAACAACACGTATTGGGGCCTACTTGGGAGTGGAGGGTGGGAAGAGGGAGAGGGCCAGGAAAAATAATGGGTACTAGGCTTCATACCTTGGTGATGAAATAATCTGTACAACAAACCCCCATGACACATGTTTATTTATGTAACAAACCTGCAAATGTATCCCTGAACTCAAAAGTATAAAAAAGACAAAATGTAGCATAAGTGTCCTCTTGTTGTGATAAAAAATAAGATCATTAAAAAAACTACAAGATGTTTTATGTAAGCCTCATTGTAACCACACACAAAATAAAAGCTGTTGCAGATACACAAAAGATAAAGGGAAAGGGAAAGAATCAAAATATACCATTAGAAAAACACAAGTCACCAAAAAAGACAGCAAGATTGAAAGAGAGGAATATGATAACTGCAAAACAGTGAGTAAAGATGAACAAAATGCCAGTAGCAAGTCCTTATTTGTCAATGCTTACTTTAAATATAAATGGATTCAATTATTCAATCAAAAGACAGAGTAGATTAATGAATTTAAAACAAAATCAAGACGAAACAATACGCCATTTACAAGAGACTCATCTTAGCCATAAGGCACACATAGAATGGGAGTGAACAGATGGAAAAAGATATTCCAGGCAAATGATAACCAGAAGAAAACAGGGTTGGCTACTCTTCTATCTAACAAAATAGACTTTAAGTCAAAACTTTAATGAGAGGCAAATAAGGTCATTTTATTATGATGAAAAGATCAACTCTTCAGGAAAATAACACAATTTTATATGTATGCACCCAACAGTGGAATATTTAAATGTATAATACAAATATGAATAAACCTTAAGGGAGAGATAGATTGTAACACAATAACATAGGGAATATAATACTTCACTTTTAACAATAGACAGGTCATTCAGACAAAAAATCAATAGGAGAATGATGATTTGAATGTGAACAACACTTCAGACCAAATGGACCTAACAGACATATATATATAAAACATTTCATCCAACAGAGGCAAAGTACACATGCTTCTGGAGCATACACAGGTAACTCTACAGAATAGACTGTGTTAGGCCATAAAACAAGTCTTAAAATGTTTAAGAATATTGAAATCATATCAAGTATCTCTCCTGACCACAATGGAACAATAATAAATATCAGTAACAGAAGATTTTTGGAAAATTCACATATACACGAAAATTACATAGCATGCTCCTGAACAACCAACTAATAAAGAAATTAAGAAGAAAGCTTAAAAAGTATCTTGAGATAAATGAAAATGGAAACACTACATCCAAAACTTATGCAGCAAGTGTCATGCTAAGAGGAAAGCTTATAGCAATAAATACCTACGTCAAAAAGGAAGAAAAACCTCAAAAAACAACTTAATGTTACACTTTGAGTAACTAGAAAAAGAAGGATAAAAAACAAAATTAGTAGAAAGAAGGAAATAATAAAGATCACAGAAGAAATAATCGAATTAGAGAACAGTAAGACGATAGAAAAGATTAATACAATGAATAGTTGATTCTTTCAAAAGATAAATAAAATTGGCAAACCTCTAGTAAGACAAACTAAGAAAAAAAAGAGGACTCAAATAAATAAAATTGGAAACTAAAGAGGAGATATTATAACAGATACCACAGAAATACAATGGATGATAAGAGGTTACTATGAACCAATATATGCCAACAAATTGGAAAACCTGGAAGGATGGAAAAACTTACAGAAGCAAACAAGTGACCAAGGCTGAATCAAGAAGAAATACAAAATCTGAACATGTCAATAGAGAAAGATGACGATAATGAAATCAGTAATAAAAATTCTGCCATGAAAGGAAAGCCCAGAACCAGAGAGCTTCATGGTAGAATTCTACCAAATATTAAAAAAAGAACTAATACTAATTTTGTCTCAAAAGCTTCCAAAAAAAATCGAAGTGTAGGGAATATTTCAAAAACTTTCTTACAAAACCAGTATGACATGATACTAAAGGAAGACAAGGACACCACAATAAATGAAAATTACAGGACAACATCCCTAATGAATATACATGCAATAATCCTTAACAAAACACTAGCAAACTGAATTCAACAGCACATGAAAACAGTCATTCATCATGATCAAGTGGGATTTATCCATGGGACGCAAAGTGGATTGCACATACAAAAATCAAACAATATGATACACCATATTAACCAACTGAAGAATAAAACCCATATGATCATCTCAATAGATGCAGAAAACAAATTTGACAAATTTCCACATTCTTTTTATAATAAAAACTCTCAATAAATTAGGTATGAAAGGCCATATCTGAAAAGCCCACAGGTAACATACTCAACTGTGAAAAGTTGGAAGTTTTTCCTCTGTGATCAGGAACAAAATGAGGATGCCTGTTCTAACCAGATCTATTCAATATAGTGCTGGAAGTTTTGGTCAGAAATAAAAGACGTCCATATCAAAAAGGAAAAGGTAAAATGGTCTGTTTCCCAATGACCTGACCTTATATGTAGAAAAACCTAAGGAATTCACTAGAAGAAGTTAGATCTGATAAATGAATTCAATAAAGTTTCAGGGTGCAAAATCAGCCTGCAATATCCAACAGCATTTTTTACACAAGCAGTGAACTTTCTGAAAAAGAATATAAATTTGTTCTGTTCACAGTAGCATAAAAATATACTTAGGAGTAAATTGAACGAAGGAAGTGAAAGATATACATAAAGAAAACTAAAACATTGATGAAAAAATTATAGATGACACAAATAAATGGAGAGGCTTAACTGATTCATGGTTCTGCAGGCCATAGAGAAAGCAGAGTGGCACCTGCTTCTGGGGAGGAATCAGGAAGCTTCCAATCATGGAAGAAGGCAAAAGAAGGAGCAGGCACATCACGTGGTGAAAGCAGGAGGAAGAGAGAGAGAGAGCAAGGTGCCACACTTTTAAGCAGCCAGATCTCATGATAAGTTACTCACTATTGTGAAGACAGCATTAGGGAGATGATGCCAAACCATTCATGAGAAATCCACCGCCATGATCCAGTCAGTTCCCACCACGCCCCACCTCCAACACTGATGATTACATTTCAACATGGGATTTGGGGGGAAGGGAGGCAGATCAAATCTATATCACCATACGATTCATTAATCCCACTCCTGGGTATATATCCAAAGGCATTAAAATCAGCATGCCAAAGAGATATCTGCACTTTCATGTTCATTGCAGTATTATTCACAATAGCCAAGATATGGAAGCAATCTAGGTATTCATCAATAGTTAAATATATAACAAAAATGTGTTTTATATAGATACACAATGGTATACTATTCGGCGTTAAAAGGGGGGATTTCTGTTATTTGGACAACATGGATGACCATGAAAGACATTATACTAAGTGACTAAGCCAGGCACAAAAAGACAAATACTTCATTATCTCATACGTGGACTCTAAAAAGTACAGCTCCTACAAGTAGAATGTAGAATGATGGCTACCAGAGGCTGGGGGAGGGAGGGAGATGAGAAAAGGGGAGATGTTGATAAAAGGGTACAAAGTTTGAGGTAGACAGGAGGAATAAGCTTTAGTGATCTATTGCACAGAATGGTGACTACAATAAACAACAATGTATTATGTATTTCCAAATTGCCAAAGAAGCTGATTTTAAATGTTTTCACAACCAAAAAAGGTAAGTTATGTGAAGTTATGGATTTGTTAATTAGTCTGAATTGATCATTCCTCATTGTAAATATGTAGCAAAACATCACATTATACCCCATATATATACACATATATATTCCTATATATTATTTTCCAATTACAAATGAAATTTAAACAACTTTTTAAACTAGAGTAATGCTAGTACTAAAAACAAGTGGTACTGTAACTGTACAAGCAATGTTATGATCTGTTAGCCAGCAACTCTCAAATCTCAGTAACTTATAACAAGAAAGCTGTTTTATGGCTTTAAATTATTATTTTTTTGGTTATTTGCTATGCAAAACCAGATCACAGTCGACAAAGCAACTCTATCCATTGGAACTTCAGAGTCATTGGAGGCCCTAGCTTGATGGGACAAATACTATTTGGAATAATGTTGGTCACTTTTCCAGAGGAAAAATAAAGCTCTGGAGATTTGCACAACCAATTAAATATTTGGCCTAGAAATATCACAACAAATTTATATACATAATTTGCTTACTAGAGTGTCTCACTTGACCCCCACATAATAAAAAAGAGCAAGAAAATGCATACAATGATGTGTCTGAAAGGTCAAGAGCCAGAAACACTCAGTGAACAACACTAAAGTTTTCCCATTTTAATTGCTGCATTTTTAGTTTACTTCATGTGACACAGATAACATCTTTAATGATGGTTAAACTTTCCAATTATGCTCCTTCATTTATCAAAATTGTATAAGCAGTTGAACTTTTCCAGTTAATTTTTCTTATTACTTGATCAATGATTTTTAATAACTTTAAAAAATCAATTTGAGATTTTTAATCCAGTATCAATACACATAATAACCACCATCACTCACAATAATAGGGGTATCTCTTTAAATGGCACAGGAGCAACACAAAAATTAGATGTAATTGCTTCAAACGTTAATTTTTAAAACAATATTCGTTAGATGATCACATTTTTACTAGTCTCAATATTTATGTTTATATTTTAAACACAGTTCACTGATTTTATTCCAATCAAGTGTAAGAACATATATTTCCATCCTATCTATACAAATTTTTTTGTATGATAAATTTAAATATTGCTAATATATTTATTCACCATTTTGAAATACAATGGAGTCACATGTATACCTGTTAGAACTCAATTGAACCTCTGGAAATAAAGAACCATAATAATAAGTGAGAGGTGATGATTCAGCATTTTTCTCAATGAGCATGTGCCTCTGAGAGTAAATTCAATGGAATCTTAAGTAATAAGTCCATATTTTGATGCCTTTGGAAAGAGAGCAGACATTCTGCAAAGAGTTTCCAGATCATTTAGAAAGAAATGAATCACATTGTTTGTGCAAGTGGTTGGAAGATGGAAACTTCCTTTATGCCATTTGAAAATTACATTGAAGGATTATATTTATTAGGAAAGATACCATGGAGAAACACTATGAAGGATTTACAAGAACTCTGTAGGATGTTGTATACATAAGACAATATGTTCCATATTTTATGGGTAGTTTAATGTACTGTCAAGAGAAACTTTGACAAAATGTTCCCCTTGCCATTGGATTACAACTTAACTCATGAGGCATAAATCTACTGTACAAAATATTTTATAGCATAAAATGCATGTGGAAGTTCTATTAATAATCAATACATAATTTATCAGGAATAGACATAAGACTATTTTGCCTGTTTTCACAATTACCTTGTGATATTGATTATCTGTTCTTATGAAATTATTTGTGAATAAACTTTCAAAAAATAGAATTGTTTTAGGTTTCCAGAATATTTGCAGAGATGGTACAGAAAGTTTCTGAGTAACTTTCATCCAGTTAACATCTTACATTGCCATGGTGCATTTGTCAAAACTAAGAAACCAATGTTGGTAACATTGCCATTAACCAAACTCTGTACTTCACTTGAACTTTCCAAATTTTTTTTCTTTCTGTTCCAGGATCCCATCCAGGATACCTCATTACATTAATTATCATATGTACTACCTTCCTCTTGCAAAGTTTCTCAGTGTAAGAAATATGTGAAAATCATCAAAGTATGTGATGACTTTCACATATTTCAGGAGTGCTGGCCAGGTATTTTGTAGAGTATCAGTTTGGATTTGTCTGATTTTTTGTTTCCAGGTTTAGATTGGGGCTATGGGGATTTGCGGATAATGAATACAAAGATAAGTACCATTCTTAACACTTAATATCAAAGATAAACACAATTGAAATGATTTTCACTGATGATGTTAGTCTTTACCATGAAGTTGAGGTAGTGTTTGGCACGTTTCTCTGCTGTAAAGTCACATCTCTCCCTACCCTTCCCACCTTTCCATACTTTATGCTTTTGAAGACTAATGAGAACTTTAAAATATTTTTCCTTCAGAAATTTTGGAAGAAGCCCATGATGTTCTAACCATTTAAAAGCATGGAATAAAGTAATAAAGGTACAAATATTAAGGTAAAATTTATATCAGATGGCAGACTGTTTCCTTAGCCTGGAAAAGAACATATAGAGCAAATTTGTTAATCTTCAAATGGAAGGTTGTCTTTGTTTTATTAAGTGCTCATTATTGGTGTTAAGATTTAGATTGTTATGCTTTAATGAAGCTTAATTAGCTACACTCAAGAGACATTTAAAATTTAGATGAAAGTATTCTGAAAACATTCAATGGAAACTGTTGAGGAAGAGATGAAAAAAAATTATTACACAGAAGAACCAAAACAGTAAAAAGTAAATGAGGGTTTTAAAAACAGAAATCAGCTAAAGATTTTAAAAAAGTGGAGGTAACTATTTTAGTATATGAAATACAGGAAAAATATTTTATTAGTGAAGTGTGCTCAAACAAATAAATATAATCCAGCTAAAAATCATGATCACTTGGTACTTATAGCTTTTTATAATCCCTTCATCCCAAGTAATCAGAAAATTTTTAACTGACTTATAAAGCAAAGGCTGATGGGCGTGCCAGTATGAAGACAGACAAATCAGTTAAGTAACCACAGAAATTGATGATAAAATTTCTTTCATGGGATAACAACATTTTTCAATTCATCTATTTCTTTTCTGATTAATTAGGAGAATATTTTGAGTGGGTTCTGGCAGATTTATTGCTAATTAGTTTGGCTCAAACTTGGTGCCTATTACAGAATATGGTGACAGCTCTTATGTGGGGTTATATTTATTAGGAGAATAAAATCACTGCATTAAGTCCCTGCTTAAAATAAAGATTTTAAAGCAAGTTTTCTTCCATCTTATTGTGTGTCCTTCTTAGATAGAAATGGCAATGTGAACTGGAAAATGTAAAAGCCTATAAGCTTGTTATACTTTGCATGAAGTATTCAAAATTTTTGTTTACTTTTCTCATAGAAATTAATTAAAGCAGCTGTGCCTTTGTATTTACCAAGTATGCTCTATTACAAGCATTATACATTAGCCTATGGTTTTGTCTTATAAGTGATAGCAATATTTTAACATTTGTAGTGAAATCAAGAGTAGGAGCTATTTTATTTAAAAATAATAACCATAAAATATTTCCAAAAACATTTTTGAAAGAAAATGGCCATGGTCTCAGATCAGATCAGAGTGTGTTTGCCCTACTCCTCTAATAGCCTGGTCTCCTTGCTATCATCTTCCCATGCCAATCAATCTCCCAGTCCTAACACATTTACTCTTTTAAATCCGTTATGGAATCATACCACTCCTCAATTAAACAAACAAACAAAAAAAGTCAGTGCATTTTGTCTGCTGAAGAATAAAACCTAAATCTCTTCGTACATTTTACAATGCTGGGCAGTCTGGGACTCAAGTTTCCTTAGTTGAAAATTAGGCTTTGGGTGTGTAATTGTGTTTGCAGTGCCCTTATTTTCTCATGTCCATTGTGTTTTCATTGGTGTCATCTCTACTCGCAGTATCTGCTTGCTTACTCCTCATACTTTGAGAATCTAGGTTAAGAATTTAGGTTTCTTCTCTGTGAAATAATCCCAGATATCCCAAGAGGATCTCTTGGCCTCTTCATTTAGCACCCTGCTTCTTTCTGATTAATGTGGTCCGTGTGTCTTCGGCACTGCTTGTTTTGTCTTGCATCTTTTATTCCACAACTTATAAGGAATTTTGTATTTTGTATTCCTCATCTGAAGTGCATAACACAGTCCCTAGGAAAGAGTAAACCAGTCAATAAATATTTATAGAGGAAAAAGAAGGTGTATAGTGATTTTATAACTGAGGGAGGGAAAATAAATGATACCAGGAAATACCTAATTGCACCTTGATTTGCAGTGTAAGTTTTTTCCTCAGTTTTGTAATATGACAGCCATTGATATATGATATCTCTCTAAATTTTATTTTGGTAGGCATAATATTGCAAGAGAAAATGTCTTTGGCTGTGGATCTGTTTATTTCCTCTTTTCCTCATTTTGGAGGAGTCAATTAATAACTAGTAACTAACTGCCTAAGAACTGGTGTTACAAGATCACCTAACACAATACTATGCCTCTAAGTGCTAGAAAATAAAAAGAAGTAAGGAAATCAACATTTTATACCTATCTTAAATTTTGGATTTCCTGAAATTTCTTCCTAGAACCATCAAATCTAGCTTTGAGCTGCTAGATTTTGAGTTGCCACTTTTTTTTTTTCTTGTCATTGTCATTCTGACGTGTATTTGGAATTCAGCCTATTTTCTAAAGGCAAATTCAGAGTCTCTAGTTATGTCTGGGTGTATGGGTTTGAAGTAAGGATCATCTGTTATTTGAAGAAACTATGCTCTGGAGAATTCTGATTCCACTCAGTCCTATCCAGCCTATGACTGCCCCACCACACCCACAGAGAAAAACTAACTCTTTGGGAGTTAGAGGAACATTTAGTGTCTTAACTCTGATGGAGAGATGACTTCACAAATGTAAATATGCAGAAACAGCAAGAGAGAGAAAGAGAGAGAGAGACTAAGACCTGTCTTGGAAAGAATTGTAGCTTTGACCATAGGCAAATAGAGCTCACCAGAAGCAAGCAGACAAAACATACAGTTTGCTCAGGGAGCCCTGCATCCTAGGTCAAAACAGAAAGACTTAATGCATACCTAAAACACCAAGTATTCAACTTTCCACAAGAGGAAGACAGGCTGAGGTGAGCTTAGTCTTCAGTGGTGTATTTTGATATAGTGCAAGAGGAAAATGGGGAAGAGAGGAACTCCTAGACAGCAATACTAAGGGCCATATAGTTCAATGAACTTTGGGGCTACCTTCAGAGAGCAGAAAAGGGAAGGGTTAATCAAGGAATATTCCCTATCTCCCAAATTTAGCATTGCTATAGAACAAAAACTGTTTTTTGTCTCCACTTCTGCTATGGAAAAGGGAATATTTATGTGATTATGTGGTCCTTACGTTAGCATTGCGCAGTGTATGTTGCGGGTGTGTGTGCAGACAACTTGGCTTTTTCATACTTAGATGAATCAGAAAGATTAAAAGTGGAACCAATGCAAGTCTATATTAAGATCCTAGACATAGAGTCTGATGCTGTAGAAGAGTGGGACATGAATATTTGCGGCCAATGGCCTTGCCTTTGTTATAATTGATCATAACATTGTTTTCACTGCTGCTCCTTTTGTATGAGGATTATATAACTATGTCCATCGCCATGTGAGGTGCAATGCCTCCTGAAGGAAGGAGTTTATTTCCTCATCTCATTGAATTCTTGTTTTACAATGTCACTTGCTCTGGTCAATGGAATGTGTGCAGAATATTGTGTATATCTAACTGAGAAGATGCTTTTAAGAGCTACGGTACGGTTAGCACTTCTCTACTTTCCCTTGTGCCATGAGAACAGTACTGAGCCTCAGAAAATTATCCCAAAGTGAAGGCCTCAGAAGCAAGTTTTTCTCTGACTTTCCTTCTGACATGTGTCTTGGGTCTATTCTGCCCCAAGGCTAGCCATAGAAACTAGAATCTCTTTTGCCCAAAGTGAGTTATAGAAACCAGAACTCCTTTTCTGCAAAGCCAGCCATAAACCCTAAAAACATTACTCTCACTTTCCTTCTGCCTTTCTGTGTGAAAACTGGCCATAAAGAAATTATCTGACCTACCTTATTTGACTGTAGGTTATATGACCCCCATTACGGAGAAGATCCTGTCCCATACTTGGAAGGAAAGACTTCATGCTCAGAAAGGCCAACAAGAATCTGAATGGACAGGTCCTCCTGGGTTTTCTCTCAGCCTATTAGCATTAGAACGTATTTTTTGTCCAATTATATCTCTACGTGGTTGTCTATATTTTGTTGAACCTAAAGATAAAAATGGACACTGTTCCCTATATCTTTGGTTCTTCATTCTGAAGGCTGTCATGCATATACACTAAATAAATGTGTGTGTCTTTTCTCCAATTAATCTGCTTTTGCAAATTGATTTTTCAGCGTATCTTCACAGGGCCAATGGGAGCTTTCATCCTTGGCTCCCACGACAGCATAGTACTAGGACATTGCCAATTTGCTGGAATGAAAAACACCCAAAGAAAACAACCAAGGTATAGTGGGGCCACAGCTAAATTGCAGTTTCTACAGCTTTAATATCACATGAACAAGAAATAAACCATTGTTGTTTCAATCTACGAAGATTTGAGGCTATTGCCAGAGTATATCCTAATGGCAGCTAACTAATAACCACCTGAGGGGTATCTTTCTCATGGATTTACTTATAGCACCTGGCACAGTGCCCGCTACAAAGTTTCTACAAAATAAATACTTAATAGACGCAAGATTGAAGGAATGAAGATGCCTAGTCATTCAGCATCAAACATCTCATTTGCAAAAATCCCCATTATATATTTATTTTGTCCCTTATAACTACATGAGTCCTCAGGTATGACTTGAGGAGCTAAATCATTTAAAGAACTAGCATTTCCTTTGGTGAAAAATGAATATTGCCAAAATAAGAATGCATTTGAAATGGAAGAGAAATCATATCGACGTAAAATTCCAATATCATACTTAGTTTCTATAAATCAATAAGGTAAAGGTTAATGATTTCATAGAAAATATGAGCAAGAGGAAGTTCTAATGGCTCTGAAATGAATGCTGCATTAAAATGCAAATGAAAACTAACAAGTTATCACTTTAAAACTATTAAAAAGTTTAATATGTGTGACATGTGTAACAAATTGTGATAACCACTGTACTGGTTATCATAAGAACTGATAGAACTTTTCAAAATGACAGCTTGGCAGTGTCCACCAAATTTTTAAAAAATAACCTAGCTTTTAATCCCAAAACTTGAATTCTAACACTTTATCCCACAAATATACTTACATATAAGCAAAATGGTGTAAAGCTATTCATTACAAAATTATTTGTAATAGTAGAAGAATGGAAATAATCTAAATGTCAACAGGGAAACTAATGACATAACCATACAGACATTATAAAATACTTTTATATACAATCATCTGAAAATGCACCCAGATATATTTGTATGTGACAAAGGAAGGTGCAAAAGAATGTAAACTGTGCTGTTACATGAATCATATTAAAAGAAATGTGTACATAAACATAGGATGTATAGTCAGGATGACTATGCATTTCAGTTTGCCCAGGATATTTCTTATTTTTCACCTGTTCCCCTGGCATAATTACCTACTTACATACCTTTTCACTCTCCAATGTGTCTTAGCTTGGTTGCTAATTTGTCAGGGTACCATATGTATACCTTGTGTTTACATATATCATATGTATACCTTGTATTTAGGTGTCCTTAGAGTATTTCTTGAAGTATGCACAAGAAAGATAATAATGGTGATCTCCATGATGTCTATGCTCTGGGGTGGGGAAAGAATACTTAATTTACACTACATATTTTCATGAAATGTGATTTATACACTATGTGTATGAATTGCCAATTCAAAGTTAGTATAAAAATTTAAAAGTAAACCGCCTACTCAAATTTCTATCAGTAAACTTTTTATAGAATGTGAGTTATTGTGAAATACAGGAATGATTAAAGTAACAATGCAAAATCACACTGTGTGATGCGAATGGAATCATCATTAGAGAATTTTTAAGGATATAATGATCTGGAATTGCATTCTGCTGCCACAATGCTAAATTGTGGCCCCAAGCAGAGTATAATTTTCTCACTAACCTCTTGATGTTTTGCAAAAAAAAGAGAGTGAGATAATTATGATGACTTCCAGTAATTAAATAGATTCCTAATTTGTAAATAAATCTTACATATTTCCAGTTCTCACCAGGATATAATATTCATTTGAACATCATGGTAAAACTCCGAGGACTTTTTCTTCAAAATTCAGTCTATCTTTTTTTTTTCTTCAGGCCAGAAGGCTATCATAAAATCAAATGTTGTGGGGGCAAGTTTCATTAATTATTTGTTAGAACATAAGCTTCTGGTGTGGAAGCAGATTTCCCTGGCTGGTTCACTATGACACCCTATTAGCTAAAATAGGCATATTGTGGCATATTGTGAGTGTTCAATAATTATGTCAAATAAATGACTGAATAAATGAAGAAAAGATTAGACAGGTATTCTCATACTCCAGTATTGTATAAATATATTTTATAAATATAACAAACTTAGAATATATATGCCTGACAAAATATATGTTTATTTGATCATAGCTGTGTTTTCCTTCAACTAAGCTCTACAAAAGCTAAGATCTTGATTTTGTATTCACTGCTGTGTCTCTTGTTTTAATTCATAGTAGACACTCAACAATTTTGTTTTTTTTTCTTTGAACTATCTATAACTAAGTGAGCAAAAGATATCTCAGAAATAAAGTCAGATAAAAGGAAAATCAGGTATTCTCTGTGATACATATTCTCTGTGATAATGAAAACTAGATGGAGACTTAAAATAAGAAGATTGGACAAGTTTCTCCTAATAATTCTACACATTTAAAAATATTTAACTATGTCATATATTTGGTAAGAGGCCCATGACTCGATATTTTGCTGACAGTACTTTGAACTCCTGCTGCTTTATTATATCCACACGGAACGGTTCTGGCAGGCTTCAGCTTCTTTTGTACTTTTATACTTCCTTTGGCAATCTAAACAGTATAACTCTCTCCATGTCCTTTGTGTTAGGCAAAGTTATTGACTAAGATCCTTATGCAGATGTGTGAGTCCGCGAAAGTCAGTATCTAACAAGCATCTCCTGTCCCCTGCCCCGTCTCATGAACATGCAAAGATTTTATTTGGTTGGACAGTGAAACTCCTATTTGTGCATGATGTATATAATCATTCTATTTGTTTGTCTCATGATCTGTCTTTTGTTTAAGTAGATCTATCTTATTTATCTTAAATCCCTGAGAGTCCACTTCTCTATGCTACGATGTGATGCAAGAGGTAAGTTCAATATTTTATTTTCAAACTATTTACCATAATCCTAAACTTGGTAGAGGTTGTGGCTTTATAACTGATTTTTACTTTTTTCTAAACAGTGTCTCTTGGAAGAAAGTAATTTTCCACAATGCTTTTTGGTGATATTGATATGTTAGTAAAGACTTGATTTGCTTATAGAAATAAAATGATGCAGAACTTTTATATAGGAATGTTTGTGGGGACTCAATTTCACTGTATTGGCAGTTATACAAACACTATTTCTCAGTGTTCCACTGTGAGAATGCACAAAAGGAAGAGTGACTCAGAGCCAGAAACCAACTTGAATAATGAGAGTCCAAGTGCTCGTCCAGCCTTCCGTGCCAGTGCTTCTGAAAGAGCCTTGGTGAGTGGACAGATGGTAGTCATGATTGGGTAAAAATTAACCCAATAAAATTTTCCTATTATTTTTAAAGCCTTAGAAGACCTATTTAATTGAAATATTCATTTAAAAATTTTTGAACACTCTGAATCAGAAGGAAACATACACCTTAATTTAAATATTCCTTGACCTCTCACTTTCGAACAGGTTAAAGCACACCAATATTAAGGTGGAAATCTATTTCCAAATAATTATAGTCCTTGGGCTTGAGAGAGGGTAATATCTTGAAAGGCATTAACTATTATAGATGTGGGATAACTGCCATTTGACTGACACTCAGGTAGTATTTGAAGGACTTTTCCAAGGACAGAAGATTCTATCTCATAGAAAGCTGGATGCCTCCAGAGGAGGAAAGAATAAGTGTTCTTGAGAAGATATTTATTTAAATATGTTTTCAGCAGGGAATTAGAGAGAGAAATCTTCATACTATTAGAGTTAAATCCATATGAATAAAAATAACAATAACATTTATTGAGCCCTTATAATTTGTCAGCCATATATATATATAATCTCTTTTAATTATCTAAAACACTATATAATGCAATTTTACAAATAAAGTGACTACAGCTTAGAAAGGTCAAAAAATTCTCAAAGGTTATATCTACGGTAAATAGTAAAGCTCAAATTCAACAACAGGAATTGGAATAAACATAGTTTATAAAAAGTTATGAAAAGGAAAGATAATTTTTACTGAAAGTATTTTCATTTTAAACTTCTGAAAGTATAAGTAAAATATGTCATTTGAATTACTGTGTTACCTCTTTATTTAAAAAGTTCTTCCAATTTTAAGAAGTGTTTATTTTTATAACTAGGTATTATTAATGGTATATAGGTCAAAAACAATGTCAAATTATCATATATTTTGCCTCTTAAGAAATGTGCAGTCATTAATTCTGCAGGTTAGAAAGCTGGTTTATTAACAGACACCAATGCTTGTAATATGTTGTATGTGAAATTTATCTTACTTTGTCCTTGTGGTTCATAAAAATGTCAACCAGAAGACATAGGAAAGGCAGGTTTTTCTGTTTTACATTGAATAAAAAGCTATCTTAATTTCTTAGAAAGGAATGTTCTGTAACTGAAACACCCAACACAATACTTGCTGTGTAGAATTTGTTTAATGCATGTTTATTTTTTAATATATAAATTAAATAATGATTGCATAGATGTTTAATAGCTGTAAGGTGTTTAAAAATAAACCTATACTTTGGGACACTATACAAAGGATGGGCAATTAATCCTAATGTCATTCATATGAGGTAAACTCAATATTGTCAAGAATTCATTTTCAATTTATATTCTGTTTTAAATGTAGGCTATGGCTTATTCTCATTTTGCA
This sequence comes from Homo sapiens, assembly GCF_000001405.40. Lineage (NCBI taxonomy): Eukaryota > Metazoa > Chordata > Mammalia > Primates > Hominidae > Homo > Homo sapiens. Next base: position 106,520,453 of record NC_000005.10, on the reverse strand, counting down.
TATTAATCTTCTTTTAATTAGTTATTTGTAGCATGAATATACCTTTGGATTAAAGAATTAGAATTTGGTGCAACTAAATGCAGTATTATGATCAACAAGTATGTGATAGAAAAAGTAGAGCTCAAGGCATACTGACCACCTTTGCTAAGACAAAGAATATTAATTTGAATATATATTCTAAGGTTAACTACCTTGGGGAAATAAGTGTGTTTATAAAAAGATAAATGAACAATTGCAAAGTCATTTATGAATGTTATAAATGACCATTAAGACACTTCTGGGGAGACACAAAAGAGACTGGGTACAGGACCTAAAGGAGAATCATTTAGTTTGAGAGTAACAATCAGTTAAAAGAAAAGCAAAACGAAAAGACACTGTTCCCAAACGACCAAATTATCCAGCTGAAGCAGCATGTGTTTTCCTTAAACTAATGAAATACAGAATGTGTGAAATTTATTTCACAAGCAAGCCTCAGATTTTATGTATGTCAACCTGTGAAGAGGTTATATGTTTTCCATGAAAAAAATAAAGAATGACTTTCAAAAAATTAGAGGCAGAAAACTTTCAAACTTCATTCAGTTCTAAGTATGCCATAGCTAAATTAAAATCCACAGTTTTACTTCTGTTATTGAAAAAGAGTATTTCAAATTGATAGACTTCAGCTATTTGTTTAAACACGGATCTTGAATATTATTCTGAGATTTTCTTAGATAACTAAATGTAATGAATTTACAGATATTAGCCTGAGAATTAGTAACTGTGTCTCTCCTGTTAATAGTGGAAATATTTGACTTGGGTTCTACTTACATGAAGAAATGAAATGTAACATAAAAACTAGTCATTTCTTGCTTACATTTTATGTAAATATGATTCACATTCCCAGAGCTTCAAACTGTATCGCAAAGGGAAATTAGGATTGGGAGCTATCTTCTAAGCAATAACATGAGTAGAAGTGTTAAATATACACATACTAACCTGTGTGTTTCCTGTGTATTGCCCTGCATCTCTGCGAACATTTCATTGGAACCCTAAGCTCTTTTCATCTTCTTTCTCATCATGCATAGAAATGAAAAATAAATACTTAGAGAAAGCATTGGCAGAAGTGAGAAGCTGAAAGATTCTAACACATACTTGGAGAGCAAGTGTTTTCTCCTTCCGAAGATAAATTTAGGTCTGACGTAAAAGGGAAGGAACATGGTGGAATAGGAGAGATGCAGAATTAAAGAAAGAAGCAGAGCAGCAAGAGTCATTGAAATGGAAAAAACAGAAGTTTAGAAGGTCATCGATTCTGGATCCTCATCTATTCACAGCCTTTGTGCCACCTAGTATTCAGAAGTTCAAGCCACTTATTTCATCCGAAGATGCGCTGGTGGTCTTAGACATTCTGTATAAAGATAAAATGTGGAAGAAATATTTTCCCAGTCCATTTCCAAGTAGGAATTGAATAGAATCAGGTTGGAATTTCTCTATAAGATATGTCAGTTTTGGGCACTCTGACATTTAATACATTCTGTTTGAATTGCTGCTCTTCTCACACATATGTGGCCTTACCAGTTACTTTCTTCCATTGACCAAAATGTTTATATGTATTTCTTAAAATATAGTTTATGTTTTTAGATAGACTGCCACAATTTAGTCATCCAGATGGTCTCCCCAAGTCCAAATAGTTAAAGGGACAATTAGTCTCTAAATAAAAAAAAAAAAAAAAAAAAAAAAAAAAAGAAAATACCTTAAATTCACTTCTGTTACTAAAAATAATCAAGGAAGTCTTATTTAATATTTTCATGACATTCACCATGGGTTTGTGATTTTCAAAATGTAAAGTATCAGCTTTCAAAAATCACATGAAAATATTACTTTTAAAGATGAGTTACTTGTTTTCAGGTTCTCTTATTGATATTCAAAACTGCAGTTCATTTTTGTATGTTCAATTCTTCTTCAAAGTAATGATACTTATATTATCCTTCAGGGAAAGTAAGTTTGAGCATTTGTCAGTTTTATAATTGGCTTGAAATTTTACCTTCAGAAGAATTTTACACACAGGTATGTTTTATTTAACATCCGAGAATGCAACAGTGTGAATATTCGTTTGTTGCTGAAGTCTCAATAAAACTTCTTAATTTATACTAATGTGGTAGAATAAGAGGGAAGACTTTGGATAGACTTTAGGTAATAGAAACTGAGAAATAAATTGTAATAGCAACTTAAATATCACATAGGGTTTAGTTTTTAGCTAGTATCTCAAGACTACTTCAGTATAGGAAAATAACACCATCAAGTCTTTATAAAAGACACCTGGTATTACGTATAGGTAAGATCTTTTGAAAACAATATGGTGCATGATCCCAAATCAAAATATACAATTATAGTCTCTGATTGGGTAATACCACTTCTTGAAATTTAAGAAAACAACTATCTAAAACTAGGTGCTATATTCCTAGCAAAGTGTATTAAAATTTTATCTATAAAATCATAAAATTGAAAACTTTGTCTAAGGAGGTACTGATAGGTTATACATCTGCTAACAGGAATATCATGAGATATTATTATGACAAAGAGGAAGAAGAAAAAAGAGTTCATGCTAAAGCATGAATGAATTTGTTTAAATTGGTATTTATAACTTGTTACGTAAAGTAATATATAAATACAGAAAACAGTTATTTGATTAGAGCTGGCAAAAGAAATTGAATGCCATTTGTATTAAACATATTGTACTGCTTTGAATACATATGATTAGGGGCTAAAACAATTTCATTACAGTTTCTCTCCTTCAAGAAGTAAGTCCAGCAGTAGTGGTAGAACCAAACTATCATTATGTCATATATTTAAATATAATTTAAAAAATAATGTTAAAATATTATTTTAACATTCTCATTCAAAATACCATTTTAAAGATAATCAGGTATTCTAAATTAAATATTATTTACTCATAAATAAATACTCTAATATTTAACCATTACTGCCTTCTTTGGTACACCTATATAAGATAAAGCACAAGTTTATACATCTGGCTCAAATCTTTTTTTTTTTCTTATAAGGCTGGCATACAGTAGAAAACTGATAAAGATCTTGCTGATGAATAGAAATTTCTAGGAATTAAAATTAGCCTGCTTATACTAATCAATACCTAGAAGACATTGAGGCATGCACGTTCATTAGAAAATCATTACTGCACATAAAAAATGTATTTGAAGTCACACTAATGTGAAACTCAAGAAGATATGTTTATTGCACATCTTAATAGGTGGAGAGTGATAAGGAAAGCATCATTAGTGCAGTGTTTGTAAAGTGTGGTAAATGGACCATCGCACTTCTCTGTGGTTATCACGGTCTCTGCAGATGGAGCTGCTTGCTGTTTATGGTGGAGTGAGGGAGAGGAAAGAGGAAACAATTCTGTTCATTGATGTTTCCCAAAAGTGAAATGTAAAATGTATAATCTATTTAAATTTTTATTCAATCTGGTTATATTCTTAACAATCTCTGTATTCTTAAAGGTTTCCCATGAACTACAAGAATCATTTTGTTGAGTTTGTGTCCGTTATCATTCATTAAACAAGCCTCAGTAATTTTTCACATCATTTACTTTGTATTGTTTATGCTAATAATTTATCATATATCACATTTCACTGCTATTTTCCTAACTTAAGAATCAATGATTTACAAATTGCCTAAAGTTATGGGAACATAGTAATGTAAAAATTACATTAATATATGTAGGATCTGAATGCACATATATGTGCAGAACGTGTGCTGGGAAAACAGGAATTTCACAGAAGTAGGCATCAAAAATAATTTTCCAAAATTAGGATATTTAAGGCTAAATAGTTTAAAACTGGATTTTATTGGACAATTCTATTGTCTCTCAAAAATATTTCTCAAAATATAACATAAAACCATTAGAGATATTTTTCATCATTTTCCATTAAACTTGAGTGACCTTTCTGGAATACAATTGATATTTACAGAACAAACATCAAATAATGTGATCTGTTCTAGTGTATAGAGTGGCACATTTGCTATTTGGAAGGAGGGCATATACATATATATATATATATATATATATATGTTTACAGTGTTATGCTGCATCATATTATTGATATGACTTTTGTGATCACATTATATTTTATTGAATAGTGAAATGATTAGTCATTAAATGTGAGAAAGATAACATAATTACAGAAGTTTCATGTAATTTCTTAAGAAATTTTAATTTCTTAGGAGAAATAGATAGTAAAATCATATTTTTATATATTTTCTGAGAAATATATAAACAGCTTTGAAGTTAATAAAAATAATGTACTCAGAAACAGCTACTGAAAAGCATACTTACATGCAATGCTAAACATTTTATTAAATCAGTGGCATCGATGTGAAAACAAATATTGTATGGCCATATCATTGACATTTACTTTAGTGTTTGATTGATATCCTTAAAGTACACATTATGGGCTCTGTGTGTGTGTGTGTGTGTGTGTGTGTGTGTACAGTAGTCCCTTGGTATCCCTGGGGGATTGGTTCCAGACCCACCCCATACCAAAATCCATGGATACTCAACTTCCTTATATAAAATGGCATAGTACTTGCATATAACAATCCTATATGCATCCTCCTATATACTTTAAATCATTTCTAAATTGCTTATAGTACCTAATACAGTGCTTACACTTCATTTCCATGGATTCAACATGCTACTCGGTGGGTGGCAAATTCCAGTTTTGCTTTTTGAAACTTCATGAAATTATTTTTTGCATATTTTTGATCTGCAGTTGCGTGAATCCATGGATGTGAAACCCACAGATAAGGAGGGCTGACTGTATGTGTGTGTGTGTGTGTGTGTGTGTGTGTAAAATACATGTGCATGTATCTATGCATATGCCATCTATATTTGAAAGAAACGTATTCTATTTGTTAATGAATTTATATGCATTATAAAAAAGAGGTTTTTAAATTTTATAACCTGTGTAGTGAATTTGGAAACAGGATCAGAAATGATAGCAGTGTATGAGTAGAAAAGAAATAGTATAAATGTATAGGTAGGGCTTTTGAATATCCTTAGAAAAGTAAATGAATTCCCCCTACCCCATATCTTCTGATAGTCATTACCAAATCAGTCAACTTCTATATGCATTCCTCTAAACCCATCAGGAATTTTCCAGTTCTTATTTTATTTGACTTCTCAACACCATTTGAAAATAGCCAGCCACTTTTTACCTCCTCAGATTTTATCTGACTTTTTCTGAAAATATTTTCACAAGATAATGTCTATTTTGTCAGATTTTAATGCTTTTGAGTTTGTTTAAATTTAGCAATTTTAGCTCTTTTTGAAGAGACCTGACATTTCCTAGAGACCATCAAATAACCTCATTATAGGTCTCAGTATTATTCACCACTGTTAATCATTGTATCCTTTTTGAAAATTACTTTAAAAATGGCTTCTATGACATAACATTATCCTTTTTCATTTTTATCTTTTGCTATGTACCCCCTTTATTTTTGAAAAACTCATCATTCTCCACCTGTTAGACTCTTTAGTTCCTCAAGATTTACTCTTTGTTATCTTCCATTTCACTCTATATAATCTTCCTAAGATATTTCACAAGCTTATAGGTTCAATTGCTTTTATACACAGATGACTTACAAGTATCTCCTGACCAGACACACAGATGACTTACAAGTGTCTCCGGACCAGACTTTGTTTTTGGATCTAGAACTGTATATCTGCTATCCTCTTGTATTTTCTATTTGGATGTTCAAAGGCAACTCAAACTTAGCATATCTTAAAATGAACCCGTGACACCCCACCACCACACAAACACAACCTTTTTCTTTATTTCTTGTAACAGTTAACAAGAATGACTCTCTATGTTATTCTGATACTGAAGAATCTAGGGAGCAGACGCTTGTCTCTTCTTCCCTACCCTAATATCTATTTTATCACTGTGCTCTACAATTTACCTATTAAATAAATCTCACATTTCTTTTTTTTTTCCTCAGCTCCATTTACTTCTCCACAGTTCAAGCTATAAAATTCTGTGGCCTGGGTTACTGGAATAACTTCCTAACTCTGTCTTCATAGGCACTCTTGCACCTTCAAAAACGTTATCCGTGTTAAAGAATAATTGTTTGAAATCAAATGTATTTGGCTATTTTCCTGCTTAAACCCTTTGTTCTTTTATTCACTAAGTATTTATTGTGTGCCAGGTATATGCCAGGCTCTAGCTGTAAAGAACATAATCCTAAGTGAATTTTAAAAAATCTCAGCTTAACAGAGCTTACATTCTGGAAGAGAGGGCATACAGTATCAAATAAACACATAAATATATAATGTAATGTCAAGTAGCAATACTTGTTTTGAAGAAAATAAAGTGAGATATAGGGAGAAAAAATGTTATTTTATTTTTGGTGGGCTTCTCTGTTAAGGCAAAATTTGAAAAGATTGACAATAAAGTGAGAAGACAAATATATATTTGGAGGAAGAATGTTTCAGGCAGTAGGAATACCTAGAGCAAGACCCTGAATAGGAATCATCCCTGCAGGGAAAAAGAACTGCCTGTTAGCATGAATGGAGCAGGAAGGAGCATTGTAGAAGTTTAGAGGGAGCAGGGGATGGGTAGAGATGATACAGATCACAGAAGGTTTTTTAAAAGATAGGTAGGAATTCTGAATTTTAAATTAAATTAAATTAAATTAAACATCCAGTGTGAAACACTGGATGGTTTTGAATAAGAGCACCAAGTTCTTGCTTTTATTTTCTAAGGCAATACCTTAGACTGTTTATAAATGAAAGACCATAGGAACACAAGAATGAAAGCAGTGAGACAAGTCAGGAGAGTAATAATCTAGAAGGAGAAGGTCTGCACAGACATGCCATAGGTTGGAGAAAGGGAAGAGGTAAAAATGTAGATGGCTCCAGAATACATTCTAATATTAAATCACATAGGATCTTCTAATCTAGTAAATGTGTGCTATGAGAGAGAGTAGTCGAGGCCAACTATAAAATTTTTCCAGAGAAATAAGGTTAATTGTTTCACAACTTCTTGAGATGGGAATAAAAATATGGTGTTGGGAATGGCTCAATAGTTTTGTATTGAAAATGCTAAGTTTGAGATACCAAGTCATCTTGCAAGGTGACTTGTTAAATATGTAGTTATGCATATGAGTCTAGAACTCAAGGATGAGGCTGTAATTAGAGATCTAAATTTGGTAGTAGGTAACAACTAGATGGTATATTTTGAGCCTGTGGGACTAGATGCGATCACACACCAAGTCAGAATAGAGAGTGAGTAAAGATGATGCCAGGGGACTGACTCAGCAGAAGCAGCCAGTAGGATACATCCTCCTATGTACCCATGGGATAAATACGTACCCATGGAATAAATAGATGAATTAGTTTGCATATAAATTACAATCCACACTAAGGTATACCAAAGAGAACAAGGCATACAAGGCATGTTTCTCTCTCTCTCTCTTTTTTTCTTATTTCAGTTAAAGATACCACTATTGACCCAGGTCAGCAAGTAAGGAACTTAGGACAACCCTTTGAGGTTATCCTCTCTGTTGACATGTTGAAAGTTTCCCTAAAGGAGAAATCTCTCCATAATATCTCACTCCACACTTGATCCTAATATATATAACTAGTTCACAAAGACACTGTATGTGTAGTCCATTTTTAGTAACGTATAAGAGTTGGTATTTTTTAAGACAAGAAAATATCTGGGTATGCAAACTGCTCTACAATTATAGCTATTTATCATTACATTACAGCTGGATATATTAGTGAAAGCATAATATCATTCCTAACTCATCAGATATTACTATTAACAATTTTATATTATATTGTATTTTATTGCAATAATCAATTTTTTCTTAATTTACTTAAATGTGATGGTTTATGTGTGTTCCAAATGTCTATTCAATAGTCTGGAGATGCCAAGAATTTAAGAAATGCTGTATTAATGAGTAGCATGAATCTATTAAGTTGCTATTCCAAATATACTCCAGTAGTTGGTATCTAAAATATTACCTACCTATTATCCTGGCATATACTCTTTATTCTTGGAAAAAGCAAAGAGTATGATGATTTACAAAGACAGACAACTCTTTTTCACGGTCCCCAAATCATATGTACCTTTTGTGTAAGGCTTGATACATTTAACCAACAATAAATACCAGGTCACAGTTGAGTCGTAGGGATTATAGTAATAAATTTTCATCCTGCTCCATCAAAGCACATTTTCTATTTAAATAAATAAATGCACTTTAACAATTATTCTAAATGTTGTCAGAGCGTCTTTTAAAATAGTGCATTTGTAGTAATTTTTTCCCCACCTGTGAGAAAGAAGCCTGTTTTATTCTTAAACATGTAAGGGCACAAATTTACTTGCATAGAATTAAGAAAAATGAGGAAAAAATATAATTTTTGTGTATATTTGGATTCAGAGTCTCTGTTTCGCTTCCCTTAAAAACAGCCACAGAATGGCCATGAAAAATTTGCACCTGAGCTTTGTTGACAGCAAGCTATAATGTGAAATCATACCCACTTTAAACTTCTTAACTGTTTTTGATTAAGTTGTTAGGCATGGAATTCTTGAAATAAAACATGTCTTCAAGTCTTTTTTTTTTTTTTTTTTTTTTTTTGAGACAGAGTCTTGCTCTGCTGCCCAGGCTGGAATGCAGTGACATGAACATGGCTCACTGTAGCCTTGACCTCCTGGGTTCAAGCTATGCTCCCACCTCAGGCTCCTGAGTAGCTGGGACTACAGGTTCATGCCACCATGCTCACCTTAATTATTTAGTTATTTTTTTATGGAAATGGGGGTCTTGCTGTGTCCGGAATTTATTCCTTCCTGTGGGTTCTTGGTCTCGCTGACTTCAAGAATGAAGCTGCAAGAATGAAGCTGCGGACCTTCGCGGTGAGTGTTACAGCTCTTAAAGATGGTGTGTCTGGAGTTTGTTTCTTTAGATATTCAGATGTGTCTGGAGTTTCTTCCTTTCAGTGGGTTTGTGGTGTCACTGACTTCAGGAGTGAAGCCGCAGACCCTCGCAGTGAATGTTACAGCTCTTAAAGATGGCATGTCGGGAGTTGTTTCTCCCAGTGGGTTCGTGGTCTCGCTGACTTCAGGAATGAAGCTGCAGACCCTTGTGGTGTTAGAGCTCATAAAGGTAGTGCAGAGCCAGTGAGCAGCGGTAAGATTTATTGCCAAGAGCGAAAGAACAAACCCTCCACACGGTGGAAGGGAACCCGAACAGCTTGCGGATGGTGGCTAGGGTGGCCAGCTTTTATTCCCTTATTTGGCCCCATCCACGTCCTGCTGATTGGTCCATTTTACAGAGCACTGATTGGTCCATTTTACAGAGTGCTGATTGGTCTGTTTTTACAGAGTGCTGATTGGTGCATTTACAAACCTTTAACTAGACACAGAGTGCTGACTGGTGCATTTACAAACCTTTAGCTAGACAAAGAGTGCTGATTGCTGCATTTTTACAGAGTGCTGATTGGTGTGTTTACAAACCTTTAGCTAGACACAGACCACTGACAGGTGCATTTACAAACCTTTAGCTAGACAGAAAAGTTCTCCAAGTCCCCACCCGACCCAGAAGCCCAGCTGGCTTCACCTCTCATTGCCATGTTCCCCAGGCTGGTCTCGAACTCTTGGGCTCAAGCAATCCTTCTTCCTTGACCTCCCAAGGTGGGGGGATTACAGGCATGAGCCATAGAACTTGGCCCAAATCTTTTTGTTCTTAAAGATGAGAAGAAAAATTGGCAAAATTGGGAGGTACTTTGCAATCCTGAAGAATGCTTAATATCTGATGGGATTTCTATGTGAGAAGGAAAGAAGTAGGCATTTTTAGCAAACAGGAAGAAGATGCACCAGATTCTATGTTTAATTAGTAAAGAATCTGTTTGGACATGAAAAGAGCAACATGTAAAAAAGTTTCTCAATGTATAGGGCTGACTCACATTTCCCTCCAAAATGCTTCCTAAGGACAGAATCTTTTATTTTGGTGCCTTCTTGGCTCTGCCAGGCCTGCATTTGATCAAGTATTTAAAGATAAAAGCAAAGTATCTTAGTTGTCCAACACAAATAAATAGGAAAAGCAAGAATTCAGTTTCCCTTATTTTGTTTTTGAGAAGATCCAGACAGCTTCTAATCATTGTTTCAGGAAGGGAAGGGAAGGGAAGGGGAAAGGAGGGAAAGGGAGGGGAAGGGAGAAAGGGGAAGCGGAGGGGAGGGAAGGACAGGGCAGGAGAGGGGAGGGCAGGGGAGGGGAGGGCAGAGGAGGGGAGAGGAGGGGAGGAAAAAAGAAAGAGAAGGAAAAAAAATAATGTGGGGTAGTTTGGTTTATTATGACTTTCTCTCAGTTTGAGTTTCAAGCCTAATACAGATGTCAGGTAAATTCTATTAGATTTACTTCTTTTATATTAGTAAGTGCTCCTCCTCAATTGGCTAATTTAGAATTTCACTGAAATATCTTCAAATGAAGCTATATATCTCAATAATAATAGTTCTAATTTGCATGAGGCACCTAATCTGCTTACTATCAGTTTTTGGCATAATAACAATTTTTAAAAGTGGCTTTAATTTCAGAAATGTTCTCTGATTCTAAAGTTTTAAAAGCAGTAGATACCAATGCAGAATGGCTTTTAGATGAAATGAATAATTATAATTTTTCTAGGAATCACATTAATTAACTGCCACCTTTGCCTAATGAGAAAGCTTTGTACTTTGTACATTTCTCAGCAGTTATTTATTTGACAGAAGGACCATGACTAATCAAGTTATGCTACTTGGGATCATTTAACATGGTGTAATAAAATAGAACCATGCAGTGATAGATTGAATTTCTTATACTGAAATTAGAATTCTGAAACTGCAAATACAAAAGAGTTTGAAAAGACACAGTAGTTAAAATTCTTTTTGGGTTCATTTTACTTCATTTGGTAGAAAATATAATTTTAAAATTCATTGAAAACAATATCAAAATTCAATTTTGAATAGGTAAGAATGAAGCAACACTGACATTTTGAATAACAAAGATGCAAATACAAGTGACATACTCTATGTCGCACATCTATTCCTTAGGCTTTCAAAATTATCATTGTAGTAGACAGGATTGGATTGAGAAATTTAATCATATTTTTCAAGAATACTTTTAGTACCCATAGCAATACCCATTCAGCAAACATACGTATATTTCTTTGAAATAATTTGGCTTAGAATTTCAGGATAAGCTAGTTCTCTTAAATTATAATCATGAGTTTTTAGAGCTGCCTTGTTTTAGGATAGTGTTTCTAGACTCACAGACACTACATAACGGGAATGTGATATGAGGACTTTGAGAGGTGAAATGGTTATACTCCTAACAAGCTTCAACACAATAGCTTATAAATAGTACCCTTGCATTTACTGATAGGCCATCTGGTGTGACTTGGCTCGATCGCTTACTAGCAATGTGACCCTCAGTATCTTCTTTTATAAATGGGGATAATGATGGTACCACTTTAACAATTTCATAAAGATTAAATAAATTAATAGATGGAACTGGCTTAAATCAAGCTTAGAGCATGGAAAACACTTAAAAAACCATAATATGCTATGATTACTAATATGTTTGAAAATATATATAATACTGCTATATAAAAATGAGAAATATTTTAGAGGAAAAATGCGTGAAGCCATGAAGTTATGTTCGCAATTACAGATTCTGATATATATATATATGGGTATTTAGGGGGCAACTGGCAACGATGTCCTTTATTTCCTAGATTTTATTCGGTCTGCCTATTGCCTAAGGAAGAACCATTTATCATTACAAAACACAACAACACAAAAAAAATCATTTCCAAATACCTTAATATGTAAGGGATAGGAGAATGTGGACCAATTTTAAATGAGAGCTCTATGATTCAGACTTTGAGTGTATCTCATTTCTATATTGAAGTGCAATAAGTCTATAGTTTTTTCTTTTTGTTTTTTTTTTTTTTGGAGTGTCTCCTTCACAGATAAGATTCACCTGCTAAGATTTTGCTTCTCTATTAATTTACTCTTGCTAAGTTGCCTCTCCATCTTTTCTCTTAAGCAAACCTTTATGTAGCTACAGCTAATCAGACTCATTTGCAAACAGCATTCCAACAATTTTCTACTTTCTATTTGAATTTAAAAAATACGTGCTACATTTTCATCAATTGTAAGTCCAGAAAATAAGGCTCATATTACATTTTAAATTTCCACCTTGGAATGTGTTTTACCTCATTAAAATGTTTTCTTTGTAATATTGGCCCCAGGAGGTGGAACATATTTTGCTATTTTGCTTATCTAGATCCTAGAGGGAAAAATAAGTAATATGCTATATGTCAATTATATCATACAAAGTTTTGTAACTAAACCTGGAATCTCTTCATTGAAACCATTACTATTATTTAATTGATTCACAAGGTAAAATTTAAGAAAATGAATCTAATGTTTAAATGGTAAATTTTATATACTTTATTATACTATTAAGGGACTGACTGGATTAAATTAGCTCAAAAACCTTAAAATATATAATATCAAACCAGAGATGACAACAGATAGTACATTTAGCATAACAAATATTGAAATATTTTGATTGCATCAAGAAATAATTTATTCCATGTTATAGAATTATGATCTATTAAAATATGTGCAAAATAAGATAAACTTACTTCCTAATTTTTTCTTCAGTTAAAAATTACTAAAATGATAATTTGCTGGGCAACCAGATTTCCAAAAGTTCCTAATGAAATAAATGTTGTCTGTGGAGATTTTAGCACATTTTTAAACTTTCAATTTGAAGTAGTGAACACATTTTGAAAAGAGTGTTCAATTTCAAAAGTAAATGCATTAAAATACTATTAGTGCTGCACTCATTTTTATTTTTCATCTTATTTGTAATTATTATGTATACTTTATTTTTACAATTTATTTTATTTCATTGTAAATTGACAAATTATAAGTGTATATATTTATGGGGCACAAAGTGATGTTATAATCTATTAACACAATGCAGAATAAATTAGGCTAATCAACATATCTATTACCTTGAATACTTGTCATTTTTGTTGTGGTGAGAACATCTGCAGTGTACTGTCAGCAATTTTGAAATGTACAATACTTTATTATTAACTGTATTCACCATTCCATGCGATAGGTATTTTTCAAAAAATACCTCATGCTTCTTGTCTGAGACTTTGTACCCTTTGACTTTCATTCCTCTATTCCCCACAGCTCCCAGCCTCTGGTAATAACCATTCTGCTCTCTGCTTCTGTGAGAATGATTGTTTTAGATTCCATAGATAGATGAGAACATGCGGTCTTTGTCTTTCTGTGCCTTATTTCATTTGGAATAATGTTCTCTAATTCCATCCATGTTGTAGCTAGTTTGATTAGTGCTGCAATAAACATGGGAGTGCAGCTATCTCTTCAACAAACTGATTTCAAAGCTTTTGGGTAAATACCAGATGTGGGATTGCTAGATCATATAATGACATTTTTACATTCGAGAAATTACCATACAGTTTTCCATAATGGCTGTACTAATTTGCATTGCCATCAGCCGTGTACAAGGGTTCGCTTTCCTCCACATCCTCACTGAATCTTTTTTTTTTTTTCAATAATAGCCATTCTAATAGGAGCGAGGTGATATGCCATTATAGTTTTACATTTGCATTTCCCTGGTCAGTGATGATAAATACTTTTTTTTTTTCTGAAACGGAGTCTTGCTCTGTCGCCAGGCTGGAGTGCAGTGGTGCAATCTCTATGCACTACAACCTCTGCCTCCAGGGTTCAAGTGATTCTCCTGCCTCAGCTTCCCAAGAAGTAGCTGGGACTACAGGCACGTACCACCATGCCGGGCTAATTTTTGTATTTTTATTAATTAATTAATTAATTTATTTATTTATTTGAGACTGAGTCTCGTTCTGTCGCCCAGGCTGGAGTGCAGTGGCGTGATCTCAGCTCACTGCAAGTTCCGCTTACCCAGCTCACACCATTCTCCTGCCTCGGCCTCCCAAGTAGCTGGGACTACAGGCCCCCACCACTACTCTGGGCTAATTTTTTTGTATTTTTAGTAGAGACGGGGTTTCACCATGTTAGCCAGGATGGTCTTGATCTCCTGACCTCGTGATCCACCCACCTCAGCCTCCCAAAGTGCTGGGATTACAGGTGTGAGCCACCATGTCTGGCCTAATTTTTAATATTTTTAGTAAAGATGGGGTTTCACCATATTGGCCAGAATGGTCTTGATCTCCTGACCTCGTAATCCACCCGCCTCGGCCTCCCAAAGTGCTAGGATTAGAGAGGTGAACCAACCACGCCCAGCTGATAAATACTTTACATATATATATATCTGTTGGCCATTCATATGTCTTCTTTTGAGAAATTTCTATTTAGGTCCCTTGTCAACTTAAAAATTTTTTTTTATTATTGAGTTGTTTAAGTTCCTTATATAATTTGGATATTAGTCCTTTATCAGATGTGCAGTATTTTCTTCTAATCTGTGGGTTGTCTTTTCAGTCTATTAATTGTTTCTGTTGCTGCACAGAGCTTTTTAGTTTGATGTAATCCTATTTATTTTTGCTTTTGTTGCCTGTACTTTTGCAGTAAAATCCAAAAACTTATTGCCCAGACCAGTGGCTGGCATGTAGTTTCTCCTTGATGTTTTCTTCTAGTAGTTTTACAGGTTCAGGTTTTATTTTTAAGTCTTTAATCCATTTCGAGTTGCTTTTTATATATGGTGTGAGGGCGTACAAGATAATGGTCCATTTTCACTCTCCTGCATGCAGATATCTATATTTTCCAGCATCACTTACTGAGGATACTGCACTTTTCCCATTGTGTATCCCTGGCAGCTTTGTTTAAAATAAATTGACAATACATGTATGAGATCATTTCTGGGCTCTTTCTTCTGTTCCATTAGTAAATGTGTCTATTTTTTAACCAGTATCATGCTGTTTTACTTACTATAGCTTTGTAGTACACTACATTTTTTGAAATCAGGTAGTATGATGCCAACTTTGTTTTTTGTTTATGGTTGCTTTCGCTATTCAGAGTTTTTTGTGGTTCCATACGAATTTTAGGATTTTTTTGAAATTTTTATGGAAAAGTGACATTGAAATTTTTATAGGGATAGCATTAAATCTGTAGATCATTTTGGATATTATGGAAATTTTAATTCTCCCAATCCATGAACATGAAATAGCTATTTATTTGTGTCTTTTTCAATTTCTTTCGTCAATAGTTTATAGTATTCAGTGTATAGGACCTTTAGCATCTTGGTTAATTGTATTTCTAAATATTTTATTTTTTTGAGAGCTATTATAAAAGAGATTGTCACCTTAATTTCTTTTTCAGATAGTTCATGGTTAGCGTACAGAAATGCTATAGTTTTTTTGTAGGTCGATTCGATTTTATATTCTGCAACTTTATTGTATTTGTTTATTTGTTCTAACAGTTTTGGTGATGTCTTTACTGTTTCTATATATAAAATTATGTTGTCAACAAACAGTGAAAAACACTTCTTCCATTCTGATATGGATGCCTTTTATTTCTTTACTTTGCTTAATTGCTTCAACTAGAACTTCCAGTATTATATTGAATAGAAGTGGTTAGAGTAGGCATCTTTGTATGGTTTGTGGCATTAGAAGAAAAACTTTCAACTATCCACCATTGAGTATGATTATCACTTGTGGGATTTTCTGACATAGTCTTTATTGTGTTGAAGTAATTCCTTCTATGCCTAATGTATTGAGAGTTTTTGTCATGAAAGGATGATGAATTTTGTCAAATTCGTTTCTGCATTTATTAATCTATTGGGTTTTGTCCTTCATTATCTTAATGTGATATATTACATTTATTGATTTGTGTATGTTGAGCCATCTATGCATCCCAGGGATAAATCCCACCTTATTATGATCAATAATCCTTTTAATGTGCTATTGAATTCTATTTGCTAGATTTTTGTTGGGGATTTTTATATCCATATTCTTCAAGGATGTTAGTCTGTAATTTTCTTGTAATGTCGTTATCTGTGTTTGGTATTAGAGTAATGCTGTCTTTGTTAACAGAGGTTGGAAATATTCTTTCCTCTTTCATTTTTTAAGAAGAGTTTCAGAAAGATTTGTATCAGTTCTTTAAGTGTTTGGTAGAATTCAACATTTAAGCCATTAGGTCTTGAACTTTTCTTTGGAGGAAGACTGAAAAACATTTTACTACTGATTCAATCTCCTACTCATTATTCGTCTGTTTAGACTTTGTATGTCTTCATAATTCAATCTTGGTAGGTTGTGTTTATTTCTTCTCAATTACTCAATTCATTGGCACATAATTGTTTATGATAATCTCTTATAATCCTTTACATTTCTGTGATATCAGTTGCCTCCTCTTTAATTTCTGATTTTGAGTCTTCTCTCTTTTTTCTCAGTTTGCCTTGCTAGGGGTTTGTCAATTTTATCTTTTCAAAAAACAAACTTGTAGTTTTCTTGAGTTTTTCATATTGTTTTTCTAGTATCTATTTCATTTATTTCTTCTCTGATCTTTATTTTTGCCTACCTTCTACTAACCTTGGGCTTAGTTTGTTCTTTTTTGTTCTTTAAGGTATAATCTTATTTGACATATTTCTTCTTTTTTTGATGTAGGCATTTATTGCTATAAACTTTCCTCTGAAAAATGGTTTTGTTGCATCTTATAAGGCTTGGCATTTTGTGTTTGCATTTTCATTTTTCTCAAGATATTTTAAAATTTCCCTTTTAGTTTCTTTACTGAATTATTGGTTGTTCAGGAGCAAATTATTTAATTTTTATTTATTTGTGAATTTTATGAAATTCTTTGTTATTGATTTCCAGTTTCAAACCACTGTGCTACAAAAATAGCTTTGATGTGATTTAAATCTTCTTAAATTTGCTAAGACTTGTTTGTGGCCTAATGTAGGATCTATCCTGGAGAATGCTCCAAGTGCACTTGAGAAGGATATGTATTATGTTCAGTGGATTGTTTCATATATGTCTGTTAGGTCCATTTGGTCTAAAGAATTTTTCAAGTCTAATATTTTCTTATTAATGTTCTGTCTGGATGATCTGCCCATTATTGTGGCAAGCATCTCCTTGCCTGGGTGGGACCATAATCTGAATAGTTGCTAGTTCAAATTTCTGTCAAGGGGAGTAAAGTCTGAAGCCTTCTATTCCACCTTCTTGCTGATATAACTGTCATAATTTAAAATTTTGCTCATGATAAAAAATAATAATTTTTTTTGTTACAAGGTTAATCCACTTAGGAAACTTTGAAATAAGAAATAAAAATCTTAGCTGTTTTTCAAGTTAACACAATGGAAAGAATGTTGAAGGAGGAGGCAGAAGAAGAAAGACAAAATTCAGCTAATTCTAGATATTGTCACAATGGTTACAGTCTGGTCTTTATCCTAACAACAACAGGGAGCCAATGGAAATACTTAAGCAGTGAGTTGCTTTATTTAGAATCATATTTTAAAATTTTACTATTTATTATATGTCAATGGTGGACTAGAAGGATCCAACAAGTCATATAATAAAACAGCCTTTAGATATTCCTATACTTAAATCTGAGATGAGAAATTGTCAAAAACTAGAGGGGAGCATGCTATGGACAAATATGTATATATGTATGTATTTAAAATATTGAGTGCTTTTATTTTCCAGGTCTTACTATAATCACAGAAAAAGATAATATGACACAGGATGTCCATATTCATGAAGGTCACATTCTAGAGCACCAAAACAGTTAGTAATCAATTAAAAATAAAACAGTCCATTCTAACTTCTATAAATTAAAAAAAAAATAATGCAATCAAGAGTAGTAGCATGGCCTGAGGGCATTATTTTGTGGTAAAATCAGAGAAAGTGTTTTTGAATAGGTAATAACTTCTAATTAAAATTCTAAGATATTAACATGTTAAGAAATCAGAAGGATTTTCCAGGAATTGAGAATATCAAATATATAGGTTTTAAGGAATGTTCTGGTATATTCTTGTATAAAAATAAAGCCAATGTGCCTGAGTTTACATGAATGAGATTAAGAAGAAACAAAATATAAGTGATCTCTCTCATTTCTTAATTAGATCATATAAGTTTCTATAGGTCATGATCAGACATCTTAATTTTAGTCTAGGAAA
The DNA here is from genome assembly GCF_000001405.40 of Homo sapiens. Classification (NCBI taxonomy): domain Eukaryota; kingdom Metazoa; phylum Chordata; class Mammalia; order Primates; family Hominidae; genus Homo; species Homo sapiens. The sequence continues at coordinate 106,502,291 of NC_000005.10, read as the reverse complement.
GAAAACTTTAAAGGAGACAATATTTGATATATTATTAAAAGATCACTCTTGCCAATCACTGGGAAATGAGAAGCTGGAAGAGTGTGAAGTAATATGAGCAAAGAACAGTGACATTACAGAAATTAGTTGGAGCCTTTTGAATAGCCCAGGTAAGACATGACAGTAGCTTAGAAGAGGTTAGTAGCATTGGAGAAGGTAAGAAACTACATTTTCCATATTTTTCATATAATTAATAGGACTCACTACATAGTAGTGATTAAAGTCAGTAATCGCACCTTATCTGTGGGGCATATGTTCCAAGACCCCCAGTGGATGCCTGAAACCGTAGATAATACTGGACCCTATATATGTTTCTTTCCTATATACATATCTATGATAAAGTTTAATTTATAAAGTGGGTGTGATAAGAGATTAATAGTAACAAGGAAATGAAAAAATTATAATAATAAACTGTAATGAAAGTTATGTAAATATGGTCTCTTTCTCGCTCAAAATATCTCATATTATACTCATCTATTTTTGGACTGAGTTTGACTATGGGTAACTAAAACCATGAGAAGTGAACCTGTGGGCAAGGGAGAACTACTGCACATCAGAGAGAATGATTTAATTGGACCTAGCTATGTTTGTGTACGGAAGACTTTTTTGAACAACTAAGTGGTTGGTGTGCTATTTGCTAAGACTGGAATCAATAGAGTAGGAATGTGGACATCAGTTTCACACATACTTAGTTTTAATTTCAAGAGATTTCCACATAGACAATTTTTGAGGCTTGGTTACAGATACATTTTTGGAAGTCTTTGACGTAGAGTTGGTAACTGAGAACATTATAGGAAAGAATATGGATTGAAAAGAAAATCATATAGGATCAAGCCCCAAAGAATACCAACATATTAAGCACTAGTAGAGGAGTTAGAGAAGAAAGAAAGGACTAAGACACTTTGGGCAGAAGCATAGAAGGAATACTAGTAGTATTGAGTGATCAAGTAAAATAAAGGAAAGCTTAGGTGTGCAGATTTGCCTTTGATAGGAGGAGATGACTCTCCCAATTGTATCAGATGGGTAGAAAGACAGTAGAATCCTAAGCGCAGTTCCATTTGTAGGTGTTTTATAAAGGTGAGATTGTTCCTGTCCAATGTCTTTTGTGTTACCAAGGAAGTCAGGTCAATTAATAGAAAGTATGTGGTAAGTTCAAGGTTAGTGAATCTAGTGAAGAGAGGGTTTGACATATTTTTGGAGAAAAAAGAAAAGAGGAAGTTGATTAGAGAAATTCAGTGGATTTGCTGAATTCATTTTCATGTCCAATAGTTTTAATAATCATGATTTCATAATGGAACCAGAGACCTGAATGATTTTTATCCAGTCTGTGAGCAGTCCCAGAAATGTCACTTAGCTTCCTTAATTCAAGATATGATAAAAATGCAATGGATAAAGGACCTTTTGAAATTGGCAAGAATGATGGACCATTTAATATAAACTTAGTATAAGTTAAATGGGGAGAATACATTGCTAGGAGAGTTTAGAGTATTTGAAAAACAAAAATTAAAATTAGGATCTATGTATGATTATTAGGGAGTTAGACCATGCACTATGCAATGGTTAAAATAATTCAATAGACTATGAATACCAAAGAGGCAAAAAATGGAATGTTAATTATTGAACAAAAAAGCTGGTGGAATAATGTGATGTCAATAATCTGTGTGAGTCTTAGAATAAGATAGCCAAATCAGAGTATGTACACATTCCCAGATTATAATATTTCCACAATACAAAGAAATTAATTCTCAAGTCTTAATTTGTAGAACATCCTAAATTTATAATTATTCATATCACTTTAAATGAAATTTTTACAGAGATAATTGTAAATTTATATACAGTCCTAAGAAGTAATACAGAAAGACTATGAAATGCTGCTGAAAGAAATCATAGACAACAAACACATGGAAACACATACCACGCTCATAGATGGGCAGGCTCAGTATTGTGAAAATGACCATACTACCAAAAGCAACCTACAAATTTAATGCAATTCCCATCAAAATACTACCATCGTTCTTCACCGAACCAGAAAAAGACAATCCTAAAATTGATATGGGACTGAAGAACTGCCTGTATAGCTAAAGCAAGACTAAGCAAAAAAAAAAAAAAAAAAAAAAAAAAAAAAAAAAAAAAAATCTGGAGGCATCGTATTACCTGATTTCAAACAAAAAACAAAATGTAAAGTGGGGAAATGACACACTATTCACCAAATGGTGCTGGGATAATTGGCAAGCCACATGCAGAAGAATGAAACCGGATCCTCATCTCTCACTTTATACAAAAATCAACTCAACATGGATCAAAGACTCAAATCTAAGTCCTAAAGCCATAAAAATTCTAGAAAACAACATTGGGAAAAATTCTAGACATTCATTGGCTTAGGAAAAGACTTCATGACCAAGAACTCAAAAATAAATGCAACAAAAAGAAAGATAAATAGATAGGACTTAATTAAACTGAAAAGCTTCTGCACAGCAAAAGAAATAATCAGCAGAGTAAACAGACATCCCACAGAGTCGGAGAAAATCTTCACAATCTTTATATCTGACAAAGGACTAATATCCAAAATCTACAAGGAATTCAAACAAATCAGCAAGAAAAAAAAAACAATCCCATCAAAAAATGGGCTAAGGACATGAATAGACAATTCTCAAAAGAAGATATACAAGTGGCCAACAAATATATGCAAAAATACTGGACATCACTAATGATCAGGGAAATGCAAATCGAAACCACAATACAATACCACCTTACTCCTGCAAGAATGGCCATAATCAAAAAAATCCAAAAATAATAGATGCTGGCATGGATGTGGTGAAAAGGGAATACTTTCACACTTTTGGTGGGAATGTAAACTAGTACAACAACTACTGAAAACTGTGGAGATTCCTTAAAGAACTAATAATAGATCTTCCCTTTGATCCAGCAATCACACTTCTGGCTATCTACCCAGAGGAAAAGAAGTCATTATATGAAAAAGATACTTGTACACTCATGTTTATATCAGCACATTCAGAAAAAAAGGTACCAAGCCCAAATGCCCATCAACCAACAAGTGCGTAAAGAACATGTGATACACACACACACCCCCCATGGAATACTACTTGGCATAAAAAGTAATGAAATAATGGCATTTGCAGCAACCTGGATGGAATTGAAAATGATTATTCTAATGAAGTAAGCCAGGAATGAAAACCAAACATTGTATGTTCTCATTCATAAGTGGAATGCAAAGGCATAAGAATGATATGGTGGACTTTGGGGACTGGGAGGAAAAGGTATGAAGGGGGCAAGGGTTAAAATACTACACATTGGGTACAGTGTGCATTGCTTGGGTGATGAGTGCACCAAAATCTCAGAAATAACCACTAAAGAACTTATTCATGTAACCAAACACCACCTATTCCCGAAAAACCTATTGAAATAAAATAAATAAATAAAATAGGGAGATAATCCTAGATTATCAAAGTGAGCCCAGTGTGATCCCAGGGTCCGTAAGTGTAGAGGAAGGGAAGCAGGATCATCAGGGCCAGAATGCTGTGATATATAAAGGACTCTCTGGCCATTGTTGTCTTTGAAGATGGAAGGGGACCAGGAACCATGTGGACAGCCTATACAAGCTGGAAAAGGCAAGAAAAGGGATTTTTCCTTAGAGTCTCCTGAAGAAATGCAGCCCTGATGACACTCAGATTTTACCCCCATAAGACCCATTTGGACTTCTGATCTTCAGAACCATAAAATAATACATTTGTGTTGTTTTAAGCCAACAAGTTACTGATAATGTGTTCCAGTAACAATAAGAACCTAATAATATCTGGGAGAAAAGGAAAGCAGCCCAGTGGTTGCTGCTGTTCAACATGAGGTGATAGAACTAAAGCCAGGATGATGGCTGTGGAAAAGCTGATGAATTGTTTGATCCAGCAGATGTACCTAACAGCTTCTATCAGATAAAGCTAGGATTTGTTAGAAGAGTATTTGTCAGAAGTATTTTATAAGTAATAGAGAACGCCATAAGGCTTCATCTTCCTCTATACCCTATAATCCAAGTTGGGGGTATCCAAGACAAGCACTTGGGAAGATAGAGGCTGGAGACCAGCATTGTATGCATTTACTGAATGCTTGCTGAGCTGCAGAAACAAGGACTCAGCCTGCAGGGACTGGTGCAAAGTGTGGGGAGAAAATTCTTGACTATGTACACCTGGAGTTTGGGAGCCTGGAAGTGATGCCTGACTCTGTCCTGATGAGGTCTGAAAGTCGGAGTCTGGCTGGGGTGGGAGTGAGACAGCAGTAGGAACAGATTGCACGCTCACTGATGGACGGGACAAAAGGTGTTTCTATGGCCAGTGGGACACTGTGGCAAGGACCTGCCTTGTATCATCTCAAAGGGACTCTGTGGGGGAGTAGGGTAAACATCTATCTACTAAGAGTCAGGAACTTGATTTCTAGTTCTTTGCTTACCACTGATACATGTAGTCTTGATAAAATAATATTTAAACAACAGCATCTTTCTAGTACCTTCCATATGCAAGGCATGGGTCTAGGTGCTTCATTTGTATTATCTTACTTAGTCTTCATAAAACTCTATGAGGTTAAGGCTTTCCTCATTTTTACAGATATGGAAACTCAGAACATACATAAGACAATGTGTCCATGCCAGACAGCCAGAGGGCACAAAGTCCACTCCAACTTGCAAAGTTTGGCCCCAGTGCTCTCTTGGTCACTCTGCCACATTGCCAACCAAATTCATTCTTCTATTAAAAATATAAGTATTTACGTGTAATATTTTCTAGCCATTACACTGAGGATACCAAGAGTAATCAGATATAATTCCCGGTTAGATGAGTCCACAGTCTGGTGGAGGAAACATAATTATTGTTATGATACAATAAACAAGAGAGGAGGGAACAATGTGTTGTGTATGGTCAAGATTGATGGGGGTAGGGGGCAATCAGAGGCATCCAGGCGGAAAGAGGAGTGAGGCTCCATGAAGCTGCATGTTAGAGAGTGGGTCCAGGCTGGAGAAGGGGGATGGAGCAGATTTTGTAGGGCATTGTGCTCATGTTAAGAACTGTTGTGAGAATGTGAGTGGAAGTGCTCTAAAGAAAACATTGCACGAGTCACTATTATTAGACCAATATTACTAGTATATTACTTATTGCGGTCCTAGAACTGCATCAGTAATGAGAATGCTAAAGAATGCTAAAGATGAAAGAAATGGCTTTACTCAATTAACTTAAAATCTGGCCATGACAACACTTACAGAACCGAAGCAACTGGAGAATGGCATAATGCAGTAATTCAGAGCTACGCAACTCCTTACAGACCAGAGAAACATGCAGTGCTGTTAGCATTGGAAGCCAGATATTCAGATGGGTATCGCTTGTATCTAACTTCTGGGAGAGCCCTCACCAATTTCCTTTCCTATGGTCTCTGCTCCTACCGACCTTCTTTCATACAACCTTCTAAGCTGTGATCTAGCATGTTACATCAAGTCTTAAAACCAGTAGTGTGCTGGAGCTCATTCCAGTTTGCCAGAGCTGATTGCTACATTTTCAGGAATTTTGTGAGCCAATTGTTAAACCCAGCCTTCATTAAAAAGTGAATTATATAAACTTCTAGTCAAATATATTGAAAACAAAAGGTAATAAATACTTAAAACTCATCACTTTCTAATTATTTTCTTACATTTTTCTATTATCTATGTTCATAAGGTTTACATGAATTGAATGCTTTTGTCCTCTGAAAATCCATGAATTCATGTTGAAATCAAATCCCCTATTTGATAATGGGCCTTTGAGAGGTAATTAGATCATGAGGATGGAGCCCTTAAGAATGAGATTAGTGCCTTTATAAATTAAGAATGAGATTAGTGCCTTTATAAATTAAGAATGAGATTAGTGCCTTTATAAACAGCAGCCAGAGTGCTAGCTTGCTCTCTTTCCAGCACATAAGGATACAAAGAGAAGTTAGCAGTCTGCGATCCAGAAGAGGCCCTCACCAGAACCCGATCATGCTGTCACCCTGATCTCAGACTTCCAGCCTCTGGAACTATGAGAGATAAATTTCTGCTGATTATAAAAGAAAAAGAAAGAAAAGAAAAGAAATAATACAGAAAGAGTCAGTGGTACTTTACCCAGTTCCCCCCAATGGTAACACTGTAAAACTGTAGCAGAATATTGCCACTGTGATATTGGCATTATACAATCCACATATCTTACTCAGAATTTGTCAATTGTATAAGAAGTCGTGCATGTGTGTGTGTGTGTATGACAGTTTGTGTGGGTGCATATTCAGTTCTCTACAATTTTATCACACATATATATTCATATGTCCTACACTACAGTCAAGATACTAACAGTTCTCTCACCACAGGGATCCCTCGTGTTGCCCTTTTATGACCACAACCATTTTGCTTGAATACCACCTTCCTCTAGTCTTAATCCCGGGCAACCACTCATATCTTCTAAAATATCTCTTAACATAAGTTAAGAGATATTATGGTGTGTAGTCTTTTGAGATTGGCTTTTTTCTTCCCACTTGGCACAATTCCCTAGGGATTCATCCAAGTACTTGTTGTATGTCAATAATTTGTTTCTTTTTGTTACTGAATAGTATTAAATGTGTGGTATGTATGAACCACAATTCAGTTTCATTCATTCACATTTATTTACCATTTATTGTTTGTATATAAAAATTTTATCAGCAAATAATGGTAGTCTCCCTTTTGTACTATGATACTAATTAGTTATTTTTCATGTTTTAATGCATTATTCTAGATCTTCAGTATATTAAGTAGAAGTTTTGAAAGAAGGCATTGTTATTCTCCAACTTACAGGCAGAATTTTCAGTAATTTGCCATTAAGTATTTGTACAGTATTTGTAGATGCTGTTTATCATATCAAGGAAGTTCTCTTTTGTTCCTAATACACAAATAGGTTTTAAAAAGATAATGATTGCACATTTAAGTTTAATGCCTTTTTGTCTATCAGAATGATCATAGTTTCTCTCCTTTTTTAAGTTAATATGTTTAATTTTATTGATTGGTTTATCATCCTTGCATTTCTGGAATAAACATCACTTAGTCATGATGTGATATATTTTTGATATTTCTCTGGTTTGATTTCCTATGCTATTTTTAAGATTTTTGCACCTGTATTCACAAAGTTTTCTGTCATCTTGTAAAGTCCTTGTGGTTATTATCAAGAATATGATATTCCCTCTTTCTCTACTCTCTGGAGGATTTTATGTAAGACTGGTAATATGTCTTCCTTATATGTTTGGAAGAATTCACCTTCAAAATGATTTGAGACTAGAGTTTTCTTTGTGAGAAGGTTTTAATAATGGATCCAGTTTTTAAAAGAGATTTAACGCTATTTAAATTTCCTGTTTCCTTTTGTGCCTTGAATATTATTGCTGTTATTCATGTTAAGTATACACATATTTAAAAACTCAAAATGCATCACTATTACTGATATTTATTTATGCATATAAAACGTTAAATCTTTTTGTATTTATTTCTACTTGCATTTTTACAAAGGGCCATTATTGGTCTTTGCAGTTCAATATAGATTTTAGAACTTAACATGCTCTCTCCCACAACCCACAAAATTCCCCAAAACTGACTGGAATTATGCTAACTCTATATAACAATTTTGGGGGGGATGCTTGATATAGTATCCTACAAAATATTTATGTCTCCTTTAATTTTTCTCATTAATAATTTGTTTTCAGTGTAGATCTTTTAAAATTTTTTTCTACATTGTTTAAGAAATAACAGGCCCCAGATGGATTCACTTGTGCCAAAATTCCACATCACCAAACCAAAACCTAAGTTATTCACTTGTAAGATCTAACTAGGCCAGAAGTCAGGAAATAAATGATAGCCAGATCCCAAAACAGGCCAGTTTTCCAAAAGACGGGCAATTCACAGCAACCAATCAAAAGGGGACCAGTTAACTTGAGCCAGCATAATGGGGATGCTCCTTTGCTTAAACTCATATGAGAAAAATCATCCGATGAAAATTAATCTGCTTTTTGCACTATGTTATTTCCTCATTCTACTACAGCTGTCTTATAAAAGCCAAATTGTTCCGCCACATCCAGCTAAGTTACTGTCTGTTTTGTAGATTAAATGCTGCCTGGTTCATGAATTGCTAATAAGAACCAATTATACCTTTGAAACTCAATTTGTAGAAATTTTGTTCTTTGACAATGTGTTTGATGTTATTGATGTTATTGTACATGGAGACATTTTAAATTTTCACCTTTATTATGTTTGTTGCTGCTGTACAGGTATGCAACTTAATATTGTGTTTTTACCTTGTGTAATCTGTTTACTTGATAAATTCTTATTACTTTTAAAGGTTTTTTGTATATTTTTATACATGTTCTTTCTGCATATAAATTCATGTGGTCCATGAGCAGATAGTTCACTATTTCAACATTCTATACATTCTATCTCAAAAGTTGTTCACACAACTCCACAAGATCATGAACTACTTTTTTTTTTTTTTTTTTTTTTTACTTTAGGTTATCACAGCTCATGGACTTGTCAATTATTTTGCCACTACATAACCTGGGACACCCTGATTTCTGTATTTTATTACAGTTGGCTCACTGTTCAATACCCTTCCCTAAAGCCAGCACTATGCATTCAAGGTTATGTTATAAACAACTTTCTCCTATGTACCAATTTCTATATTAGACATATTTTAATATTTTTCATTAGACAGGGTTTCGCTCTGTCATCCAGGCTGAGCCCAATGACAGGATCACAGCTCACTGCAGCCTCAAACTCCCGGGTTCAAGCAATCCTCCCATCTCAGCCTTCCAAGTAGCTGGGACTACAGGCACACACCACTGTGCCCAGCTCAGTGACATAACTTAATCAAGATTCCTTTATGGCTTTTGGACTTGTGTATTGGCTGCAGAATTGGCTAGATTAAAATTTTACATACTCCAAATATCTCACTCTCAGACTCAGAAATATGGGCTAACAAATATATGCTTATTTTGATAAGTGTCAAAAGTTCCAAAAAGAGACAGCAAATACACAACATCTCTTTTGGCTTAAGATTGGAACTGACACACTGTCACATATACAAATTTAGATGCGTATATGTTTTGCATTTCTTAAAATAAATGATATCATATAAAACAACTTTTGAATCTTTTGTAGTTTTTTTTCCAGTCACTATTGTGATAACATAAGACTATGCTTTTATTTCAGCTGCTGTATACTTTCCACTGCCTTAAAATATAACAAGTTATTCATCAACACTTTCATTGATGATCATTCCCATTGTTACTAATTTTTTTGCTATGCCACAGAGCACATTACACCCTTTTTCTTGGATTTGTATAGAAATTTCCTGTAGAAAATATAATTAGAATAGTGTTGATTTGACTTAATTAGATAATGGTAACTCCAACCAAAAGTGATTTTACAAATTTATACATGTATTAATAAGGAACACAGTTCCTACTTCCCCACATTCCTGCAAACATTTGCTATTATAAGACATTAGAGCTTGTTAGTTTACTAGCTGACTTAACTACCGAATCTACATTATGCTGATTGCAAAGGAAGCTGAACATTTTTAAATATATTTCTCTTTCAGTTTACTCTATCTTTAAATTGTCTGTTTATATCATTTGCCCATTTTTTCTCATTTTAATTTTTAAATTTGCAAGAGTGTTTTTGATAGTATTGAGAATTGAAAACTATTTCTCTGTCAGAAATGTGATTTACAAATATCATCTCCTGACTAATATCTTGAATGTCTTGTGGGGTTTTTTCAATTATAGTAAATGTATATATGGAGTTTATCAGTCTATTTATCAAATTATACATTTATCAATATCTGTTACTTGTAAATTTTTATATTTATCAACATATCTTTTATGGTTTGTGTTTTCTGTGTCTTATTTAAGCAACTTGTACTTATTTAATATATGTTTTATTCTGCATTTTACTTTTAAAATATTGAATATTTGATTTTTCACTTAGAATTTCAAGAAATTTTTGTGTACTATGTTTTCTATATTGAATTCTGTATGAATTATGTAACTGTAATCCTTTACATTGGTATTTGGGGAAAAATTACTAAGATTAAAGAAAGAAAAAAAATTGAACTGTCAATATTTTCCCCACTGCTGTTATGTACTAGGTTTTGAAAAATTATATTTCTTTCAGCATTTGTTATTATGTTTGTATGGTCTACCTGTACCAATACATAGTCTCTCAGTTTCTATAACTATAAACTTTAATATCTTATAAATTTCCATGGTAAATATTTCTCTTTTCTGCTGTATGAGTATTATCTTCTTTATAAATCTATTAGCTTTTTTACTGATATTTCCATTTGTATTGTCTGATTATCTCTTGCCAAGTTATAAAAAGCTATCAGAACTTTAATTAGAAACACATACATTATATATGTAAACATACTTTATATGTATACAAGTATATGAAATACAGCTCTTTTTCCCCATCTATGAATATGGTATATTGCACTTTAAATAATTTTTTGGTTGCTTATTATCTTTTAGTGATTTTTAAAAATTCAGGATATTGACTATCTTTTCTTGTTGGGGAATCATGGAGGGTATTTTTATTGGTTTATTTTATTTACTTATGAATTGATAACTGTACAGTAGCTTAAAACTTATATATTTTATTCATGTAGTCCTTATTAGGGAAAATATACAGAGTTAAGAAATTTGGATATGGCAGATAATGGGGAACCACCATTTTGGTATATAGACTTTTGAATCATTAATCTCTTGTAATGGGCTTGTGATATGTTTGTGTTAGTAAAAATATCATATACCAAAAACAAAAATCCTTTCAACAAAGTTTTAGAATTTTTTCACAACATGCTTACCAATCTTTTACGTTTACTCCAAGGACCTTATATTTTCATTGTTCATGTCAACAGAATATTTTTTAAATTAAGTATTTGTGTGGTTACTACTCATATACATATTTTGTTTTTAATTATCTATTCTGATTGTGCATGCAGAAAACTGTCTACACTCTCATTTGTTTCAATTCATAAAGATTATAGAATTTTACATAATCACATCACTATAAATAATTTTTAAAATATTTAATTTATATAATAGTCATTAGCTAGAAATTCTAATACAATTTTTAAATATTTTATTTAAATTTTAAAAAATATTTAAATTGGCATATAATTGTACATATTTATGGGGTGCATAGTGATGTTGCAATAAATGTAATATATAGAGAACCATGTAATTAGTATATTCATCATCTTAAATATTATTTGTGTTGGAAACATTCAATGTCTTCCTTCAGCTCTTGGAAGCTTATTTTTAACTATGTAAATCCTATAGTGCTAAAAAATACTAAATCTTATTCTTCCTACTAAGCTGCAATATTGTATCCTTTAACAAATCTCTTCCTAGTTCCTCTTCCCCTGTCCTTCCCAGCCTCTAGTATCCTCTGTTCTACTTTTTTACTTCTATGAAATCAACTCTTTTTAGCTTCCAAATGTGAGTGAGGAATACAGGGTTTAATGATCTGTTCTTGGCATATTTTGCTTAACATAATGTCGTCCAGTTTCATCCTTGCTGCTGTGAATGATGGGATTTCATTTTTTTAAATCCCTGAATAGTATTACATATTGTCAATATATATATGTGACATTTTCTTCATTCATCTGTTTTTGGACACCTGGGTTGATTCCATTTCTTGGCTATTGTTAACAATATTGCAATAAACATGGGGGTACAGATGTGGGCAATATTGTCTTCAGTGGGGATTCGTTTGTCTGTAGGAGTTACAGGTGCCTTGGTTACAAAAGGCGGTCTTGATGCAAAGACCTTACTTACTTCTTTGAGGGGCTAATGGGTATCTATTAAACTGTTATTATTTATTTATTTATTTATTTTTTGAGATGGTGTCTCGCTAACCTCTACCTCCCGGGTTCAAGCGATTCTCCTGCCTTAGCCTCCTGAATAGCTGGGGTTACAGGTACACACCACCACGCCCAGCTAACTTTTGTATTTTTAGTAGAGAAAGGGTTTCACCATGTTGGTCAGGCTGGTCTCGAACTCCTGACCTTGTGATCCGCCTGCCTTGGCCTCCCAAAGTGCTGGGATTACAGCCGTGAGCTACCACACCTGGCCAAAACTGTTAAAATTTTTATGTTTGTTTCTTGGTTTTGTGTCTTCCCACTTTCAGATATTTATAGTTCACACCCCATAGCCCAAAATGGTCCAGGTATGGGATTTCAAATCTTCTAAAGTGGTATTTTTTTCTTCTTTCTAGAGATTTTCAAACATTGATTTTTGTTTTGAGCTTTATGCAGAGTAGACTATTCCAAGTTTCATTTCATCCACAGACCAAAGCTGTATCTTCTCTAACAGTGTGCAGAACACTCATCCCAGCAATAAGGACATATGTCTGAGCCTAGATAAGCCATGGACTTTCCCTATATCAATTTGTACTTAATTCTATACTTTTGTTATCATTTGTTAATTGTAGTGAGCTATATAGATACAGACATAAATGTGTATGTGTATATCAGTTTAGTTTTTCATATTGTTAGAAGCCCTCAAAAGTAATTTTTAAACCTAAATCTATAGATCTCTCATTTATGAGGACAAAGCTCTTAAACATATTAATGATTAAAATTTGAGTATCTTAAATAATAGTCAATTAAAGTAAATGTCTCTGAGAGCAGAAACTAAGATTTTGAGAGCATACTAAGACTAATTTGTAAGCTAATTTTATTTTAAACATATGTATGTCTAAACAGTACTTGAATTAAAATTAATGAGACAAGATGTGTAAATTTTTATTATAAAATATGTCCTGTAGAATGTAGATGAAGCATTCCTATGTTTTTATTAAAATATTTTCTCCATGTCTATCGCAAGTTTCTACTTAATTAAAAGAACCTGAGAAACTTTAAAATACAAACACACCATAAGTGATTATTTGCAAATGTTGAATGTGCTTTTCCTTACTCTAGGTAATTGAGTAAAATATTTAAGATATTTAAGTTGGCAACGCCTCAAGTAAAACAATGACTTTCAGTAAACCAGTAAAATTGTTCTGGCTACCAGAGAAATATGCTTCCATTTATTATAAAGACAAATTCTATCCGACCAATTGAAAGCAATGAGTTTTTCTTAAGAAAATATTTCATTCCTTCTTTCAAAGTGATAAAGACTGTTGAGTATATATTTTCAGGGAAGATTAACAGAAATTTTGATGATTGAAATTTTTGTATTGTATTTCTTACATATCCTATCAGGTAGACTTTCCTTGTCTGAATAGCAATCAAGAAATAATTCATAGGATTCCAGAAGATTTTCTCAGGGAAGGTAGCAATATACAGGAGGAATAAGTTTTTATTTTTAAAGAGTTTGACCCGTTATTAAATCTGTAAAGGAAAAAGGGAGTTAAAAACTCCCTGGCAGAGTTCACAGGCTTCAATTAAGAAGGACTGTAATTATTATTACAGAACAAAACTGAGTCAATTAGGCTTCTGGAGCCTGTGCTGCACTATCCTTAGAAACCCTCTCAGCTTGGTGGTATAAAGTATTGAGCTGAAGCTTTCTACAATACTCTTGCCATTTGCTTTCATTTACAAAGACAAATGAATTATAGCTGTCTCCCAGATAGTGAAATGTCACTACAACATGCCAAAGTAGACTATGACTATAAGGCAAATGGAAAACAAGCAAAAAAACCCATAAGCCATGCTCCTTAATATCTTCAATATTTTTATCAATATCATAAATATATTGATAAAAAAGAACTAAGGTGTCAAAAAAACACCCTAATAATAAAAATATATACCTCATTTGTCCGTGCTGGAAACCAAGCCTCTTAATAAAAAAATTATTTCCATGTATTTTATACAATTCTGACTATATACTCCCTCATACTGTAAGCACATTCCTTTTTAAAAAGAATAGAAGTTTTAAGAAAGAAGTCATGATTTATGTATTTGAAAGGGCAGTATTAATTTTTAGTACTGGTTGAGGTATAATTTTATAATATTGTGGTTGTTTTTATAAGCTCTCCATGAAATCCAGTTTAGCTTTTCTATCATTCTCAACTGGCATATTTTAATAGGTTATGATCACTAATTTATTTCAGGTTTTATTGTTTAACCTAGTAGAAAAAATGTCACTAAATTTTACTATCATTTGTAGCTAGTTAGCACAACTGTCTTCATTTGAGGAACAGCCTGGTTGTTCTCAGGCTTTAGCATCTTATGGAAGACCTTGTTTTACCACAGAATGCTGGGCCCCACCTGCAGTGTTTGTGATTCATTCAATAAATTTAGGTTTAGGTAAGATAATTTACAGTTTAAAAAAATTATCTGATGATGTTCTTGCTGCTGGTGTTGGGAATCACAATTTTAGAACCAATGCTGTAAAGAATAAGCATTCTCCTACTTCTGTCTGAAAAATGACCTTGGGAGGTGGTTAAATGTGCAGATCCTCGGGTCTGCTGTCTAGACGTTCAGATTCTGTAGGACCCAGAATAATCAGACCTCTGGCTGAAGACCTTTCAAGTGCTGAGGGGCCAACTAGTATGTAGAATTGAGTTATTTATCTCTTATGTTTTATCATGTTCAGGTGGGGAATGCAAGAAGACAAAAATCTTGAAAAAAATATGAGAAGCATCATCCTCAGCAAACTAACACAGGAACAGAAAACCAAATACTGCATGTTCTCACTCATAAGTGGGAGTTGAACAGTGAGAACACATGGACACAGAGAGGGGAACATCACACACAAGGGCCTGTTCGGGGGTGGGGAAAAAGGGGAGGGAGAGCATTAGGACAAATACCTAATGCATGTGGGGCTTAAAACCTAGATGACGGGTTGACAGGTGCAGCAAACCACCATGACACATGTATACCTAAAAACAAAATTACACTGTTGAGTAAGATAAAGAATACCTGTCAGCAAGGGCACAGGGTGGATTTGGGGGGCTTAGATGTGTTGGCCTTTATGAAGATGGGATATTGGAGCATAAACCAAAATTATAAGAAAGAGAAAGGACTAGACAGCCAGCACGTTATGGTATGTTAGTATTTGGAGGGAAGTATCCTAGGCTGAGTAGAAAAAAAAAGAAAAATGGCTGAGGAACAAACAAACTTGGCATGTTCAGGGAATTTTATGGAAAGAAATGTTATATGAAATAAAGTCAGAGAAGTATGTGCTTTTCTACTACTGAGGAAAGGCTTTTGGTTTTCCAGTCATTCTTGAACATCTGAGCTATGAGATTCTATAGAAAACTCCCTACACTTTTGTTGACCAAAATCATCACTATTTTAAGTATTCATTAGAAACATTTATTAACTATCTATTATACTCTGCACATTTTTATAATTGTGTAGATATTAATGATTGAGTGTTTTAAAGGTCAATATGCAGAATAATGAATTCAAGAAGGCTAAAGTAGATATTTTCAAGTAGATCTTTTAAAACCCTTACAGTTAACTGCATAAGTGGTTTCATACTCTTTTTGTTTGACCTTAGCTGCAAATTTATCTTTGGGCAGAAACTCAATACCACCAGTTTAGCAGATTTAATTAGACTCACATATGCTGGATTATGCTAACAAAGCTAAAAAGAGTCTACTATATTGAAAAATCAAAATACTAGCTTAATTAGTAAGTGGCTGTATAGTAATATTAGATGAACTAGGAAAAGTTTTCCCTATAAGCGACATATATGAGATTTGTAATTCGCAGATGGAACAGTGATGAATATGGATTCAATAGAAGTGGGTAAATGTTTATAATTGTTCAAGTGTTTATAGCAACAGAAGGAAATCTGCTGATTATTCTTTATTCATAATCAGTATTTGTCAGACAGCGCAGATATTTCACTCAGCCTGATAAGGCACCCACTCTTGTGGATAGTGCATAAATTTTTATTGACAGTATTTGTGACTTTTATTAATGTTTGACTAGACTAAATAAGTTATCTATTAGACATATAGCAAGAGAGAAGATAGAAATATGACAAATAAACATGTTAAAATATAAATAGCAAATTTGTTAATATTGACGATATTATAAAAAGACCATATATAGCTTTGATAGTGCGTGTATAGGGAGGTGGGAGGTGAGGTGGGGCAGAGGGGGAAGAGGAGAACGAAGAGAATATTTATGTGTGGGTTACGTAGGAGTGAACCATATTTTCAGCTAACCAACACTAGTGATGACTAAAGATAATATACCTTTTTGTTTATATGTGGCATCCAACATTACATATACAAAATAGAATTAAAGTATAAAGATTAAGAACCATTTAGAAATAGGTACACCTAAAAGAAGAAACCTGAAACCATCATTTTTCTTAAATATTGCATTTTATAGTATAATACTTTTAGCAACTAAATTAATTACAGGATAAAGAATGAAAAATATACCCTTTTCAGCTAATTTTAAAACTTCAGATTATGCAAAATTGCCAACATATGACTAAAATAACAATTTTTCCTTTTCTCTAGCACTTCATCACCTTTGTTCTTTCTCTTTTTTATAAATATCACCTTTCCAGATACACATGTATAAGAGAGAACTCTCCAGAGAAGGAGCAAGCTTACAACTGTGATCCTAGAGAAATGCAAATTAAAAGAGCTTAGCTTTGATTGTATGGGTGAACCAAGGATCTGAAATTGTTGGTTTTTTTATAAATAATGTTTTTGTTATTTTACATTTGCAACATAGTGGGTGGTATTTTTAAATAAAATAATTACTTTAGAAACACATCTGTTTTCAATACTGGCCCATTAATAAATGTATATTTTAAGGGAGGCTGAAGGTTTTTCTTGATTTCTATCTCTTCCCTTCCTCTAGTCCATTAGCCAATCCTGTCTTCAAAATATATTTAAAATATGAACACTTTTAATCAAATACACTGTTTTAACTCTAGTTTACTTTCATTGCTAATTTGATTGAATTAATTCATATCAGGTAAACAAAAGGCTAATGAACATGTGACAAAATATTTGATCTTAATAGAAATAATATGAATGACACCATTTTCCACCCAGTTATAAAAATAAATATTCAACAAATCAACTGTATGGAGTACATGCACAAATATGTGTAGGAGAATACCTATTCATGATGTAAAGGTGAATTTCATGAATCTCCTTAGAGCACTATTTGTCAGTACATTTTAAAATTAAAATACCTTTTCTATATGACCCCATAATTCTACCTCTAACCCATAATTCTACTTCTAACTATCTCCCCAAGAGAAAACACAAATATGTTCAAAGACATATGCAGAGAGACATACTTCACAGCATTGCTTGTGACAGCAGACTGTTATAAATCCTGGACATCTATAAAGTATCCTATATACTGCTCTATTACATAGCAGTTAGAATGGTTATATACCTTCATGTGCTGATGTGGAAAATTCAAGGTGTATTGTTAAGTGGAAAAAAGCAAGTTGCAGGTCAGCATAAGAATGTTATATTATATGTAAAATCACAGAGTTGAAATAAAACTATGTATTTCTAGGAATATGTATATGCATATATAAAGAGTCTGAAAACTGTATACCAAAATAACAAAGATAGAAAAATATTGTAAATAATATTGGATTAGTCCATCTTTGCACTGCTATGAAGAAATGCCTGAGACTGGGTAATTTATAAAGAAAAGAGGTTTAATTGACTCACAGTTCCATGTGGCTGTAGAGACCTCAGGAAATGTTAGATGAGGAGAGGGGGATGGCAGAAGGCAGAGCAGTCATCTTCTTCGCAAGGTGGCAGGAAGGAAAAGTGCAAAGCAGAGGAAATGCCATATGGTTATAAAACCATCAGATCTCGTGAGACTCACTATCACGAACAGTATGGGGGAAACCACCCCCATGATCCAATTACTTCCACCTGGTCCTGGCCTTGACATGTGGGGATTATGGAGATTACTTTCTGAGATGAGATTTTGGGTAGGGACACAGCCAAACCATATCACATATTAATTTTTTTACTTTATTACATATTTATATACTTTATGAAATTAAAAATAATGTTGAAAATCAGTGGCTGAGGCAATAGAAAACTGGACAAAATGCTTTGCTTCATAAAAGAAAAATAACAATGACAAAATGAAGTGATTAAAGCTCAAGTATATTATTCATCAAGGAAATGCATATTAAAACATCCACAGGATACTTACTTAGACAAAGTAAAAATGCAACTAATCAAATACAAGCATTGCTTGCCTGGATAAGGAATTGATCACATAGGAAATGTTAGAGTCAGGATTTGCATCCCAATCTTAAAAGTCACTATACTCATTAGATGGAAAGTCATACTAACAGAAACAATTCAAACAAGCCTCTTTTATGAGAGTCTGCATCTTCTTCCCTAAACAATATTCCAAGAGGTGCTCATCCATGGAATTTGTCTCAAAGCTAGCCCTGTACATTTTCCAGTACCTTCTTCCTTGGCTTTCTCCTTTTGACCATGACTTGCTCTTCTGTTCTCCCTTATTCAAGCTTTTCTGCCATATCAACCTGATGAGAAACTATTTCCAACTTCTAACATGAAACTTTTAAGGTTTCAAGTGTCCCTTCCCTCAAATATGCCATCTCCTATCATTTGGCAGATGATATCAAACAAATATTCTTTGTTTGATATGGCTGTAGTTCTCCACAAACCTGGGCATTATCCTGGAAAGAAGCCCTATTTTTAAAATGCAAATGACTGTAACTCCTTTATTTTCATTTCCCCTTCATTAGACTCTATTTTGTCATTAAGACACAAGATATGGCAAATAGAAATAAAAAATAGTGATAAATCTGCTAAAGCTAATTAGAAAACTTTGGATTTATGGCCAAAGCTGCTTGCTGATATTTTACCCAAAAGTCAGAGTTATGCCCCCAACGCTGCTGCAGCTGGAGAATTGCACTTAAAGCAACAGAGCTGACCACACAGAATTTATTACACGGCAAGAGAGAGGACCTTATATAATGCTACCTTCTGTGAACAATTTTGTCACCAAAAAAACTGTGCCCAATTAGCTTAGCAGACTCAGTTTTTTCTCTCAAATTTTCCAATCTGCTTTTAAGACATTCCACCCCTCTTAAAACGTGAAATACAAAAGAGAAACTCAAAGAGATACCTTATCAAAGTTGCCTTAAGAGCGCGTTAAAATTCATATTGCTGAGCCCCAGCACCAAAGTTTCTGCTTCAGTAGGTATAGGAGGAAGCCTGGGACGTTGTGAAAAGTTTACAGGTGATGCTGCTGTGGTTGTTCTGGTAATCAAAGTTGAAGAACCATGGTGCTAGTGCATTGGAATCACCTGAGGGATCTTTTTAGGCACTACCAATGCTTTCACTCAGTTCAAACCAATGAAGCCTAAGTCTCTGAGGGTGGGGTCTCTGGCATTGGGAAATTGGAAATTCTTTCCAGGTGATTCTAATATTCAGATAGTGTCAACCATTGTATCTTCTTTCAAATACATGCCAGAGGACGGGGAATTGTGTTTTTTTTCCTGAATTTTTCTCTTAAATTTTAAACTCACACGATTTAGCCCCTGAAAATATGTTTTGAAGTTTAAAAAGAAAAACCACAAATTTGTAGCAATAGTTTTTGACATACATATAAATGTTTAAGAAAACACATATAAGTGAATGTTATATAAGTAAATTATACACATAATTTACACCTTTACTTACAAATTTACTTATACATATAAATAAACACAAACAGGCAAATCAATACATGTAAGTGTTAAATGAAATTAGCTCTCCAACTGTATTTGAGCAAGTTTTATTCTGCAGGTGAGACTTGGTCTGACAAGGACTAGATTTGGTATAGTATCGTGCACTTGTTTCCAGGGTAGGTCTGAAATCTGGATTGGGATCTGGAGGTAGAACTGGTCTTTGACAGGAACTGAACTGGGTCTAATTAGAGGCCTCAGATAAATGAAATTTTAGGACAGAGTATTTTGGCTTGTCAAACCCTAGGGATTCTGGGACTTCTTCATCTAGAACTCCAGCTAGTTTTGTTTTCAGAAGTTATGGATGCAGAACCTTTGTTTTTCTAGAGAAATAGGTGCACCTCAGGATGATTACTTAGATTTACAGTGATGACAATAAGGATGTTTTATTCTAGATGAAACCATTTATCTTTGGGCACATTGGGAAAAAAAAAGAGGGGATACGGAATGCCCTAGAAACAATGAGATACATTTTTGAGTAGTATACAGAGGTTTCCAAAAGACATGGTTACCACAAAAGAAAAGAAAAGAAAAAAGCTTCTCTAAAGGTATCTCTACAGCACATTAATTAAAAGTATTCCGAATATACTATCCTCTTTGATCTTTTGTCTTTTTCATCTGAATCTCGTCAACATCAACTCCCGTTAAAATTAGATCCTCAAGTGAGCCAGGAGGATCTGCAACAATGAAATTTAACTCTTGGTCTTGCACACAATTCAATTATTACAAAATCAACTGCCTAAGGCTAAAAGGTAAAAGACTATCTGGTAATAGACTGATATCCCCTCAGTCTTTCATTTAAAATTTAGTCCAAGTCTCAATAAGATTGATTTCTGAAAATAGGTGGATAGCCAAAATTCCTCTTTGAAAAAAACTTAACATCTTTTCTCTTTCCTTAGACATGTCTAAATATTTAAAATGCAGGCTTCAGGGAAATGACTCATCAGAAGAAGGGGGAGAAAAGAGGAACTTTTGAGAAATAAAGTGGCAAATGAAAAATCTTAAAAGTCCCTTCCATGAATATTAATAAATGGGTTTAGCCATATGAATAGGTAATCAAAACTGCCAAGAACATAATTTGGATCCATCTAGTGAGTTTTATATTATTGTACCTGGCAAATGGCTACAATTTCAGAACTGAAGCCATAAATCTCTATTTGCCTCTGTCTGTATGTTTATGTATGCTCCTTCTTTATATGTTACTTACATGTAATATTATTCTATATCCAGATGGTATAATTAGAAATTATATATAAGAACTCTATTTAATCAGCCTAAAGAAAAAGTGTTTGTATATAAGTTAAATATTTTCTCAGAAAACAAAGGAACTAAACCACATAATTTTCAAGTTCATGTAACTTGGGTAAACTTAAATGAATAAGGGTATAGGTGACTTAGTAAAAACTGGTATTCTACCTAGCTTTTCTAATCAAATAAGCTCAGTCATCTCTGTTACAGAATTTGTTAATAAGAAAAATAGTCCGGATGCGGTGGCTAACAGCTGTAATCCCAGCACTTTGGGAGGCCAAGGTGAGTGGATCAGTTGAGGTCAGGAATTTGAGACCAGCCTGACCAACATGGTGAAACCCCGTTTCTACTAAAAATACAAAATTAGCCGGGCATGGTGGCACATGCCTGTAATCCCAGGTACTTGTGAGGCTGAGGCGGGAGAGTCACTTGAACCTGGGAGGCGGAGGTTGCAGTGATCCGAGATCGTGCCATTGCACTCCAGCCTGGGCGACAATGGTGAGACTCTGTCAAAAAAGAGAGAGAGAGAGAGAGAGAGAGACGAGGGAGGGAGGGAGGGAAGGAAGGAAAGGAAGGAAAGGAAGGAGAGAAAGAGAAGGAAGGGAGAGAAAAAGAAAGGGAAAGAAGACAGAAATAGAGGAAGAAAGGAAGGAAGGAAGGAGAAAGAAGGAAAGAAAGAAAGAGAAATCAAGCAAGCTTGAGATGACAACTTGGTTTAATATTACAAATGGCTTCCTGAAAATAGTTTTCAAAATATTTTTTTGTAAATTAAAGCCTTATAAGTATACTAAGTTAAGTGATAGCTACTCATTAAATATCTAGATTATATCCAAATAAGATAAAAATATTAATTGCTGAAAATAAGTTTAAGGTTATCTATTGTTGGCTTCTTATTGAAGAAAGACTAGTGATATTTGGTTCCACTGGTAAACATGTCTTGTGCTATAGGAAGCATATGTTATTTAAAAACTCTGAAATTATGTACTTCCTAATTTTCATTAGATATTAAGATTACTGAGAGTTGAGGATTTTATTTAACATGTGTAATTAAAACTATGAGAAATAGTAAAAATTAAAGGAAGCAAGTGTATATAAAAACGTATAAAAGGCCAGGTGCATTGGCTAACGCCTGTAATCCCAGCACTTTATGAAGCCAAGGTGGGCAGATCATAAGGTCAAGAGATGGAGACCATCCTGGCTGACATGGTGAAACCCTGTCTCTACTAAAAATACAAAAAGTAGCCGTGCTGGGTGGCGTGAACCAGTAGTCCCAGCTACTTGAGAGGCTGAGGCAGGAGAATCGCTTGAACATGGGAGGTGGAGGTTGCAGTGAGCCGAGATCGGGCCACTGAACTCCAGCCTGGTGACAGAGTGAGACTGCATCTCAAAAAAATAAAAAAATAAAAAAGTATAAAGAACATGGGATGTATTTTTAATAAAAAGAAGTATACAAAATATGTGTTTACATTAAGTTCAAAGAAGTAATTTTGTCTTAAAGCAAGATGACTAATTGTTCTATAATAAAAAAGAAGAAAAGTGTAAGGCCAAAATGGAAGAGATACAAAAAGTTTTTGAAGGTCTGGAAAAGAGGAAGTTTTTGTGTGGTCAGATTACTAAGATTAGATAGATTTTATTTATAATTTAAAAAATAATAATCTCAGTTATGTACTGAAACAAAGCCAGAATTGGGTTTTCTTTTTGTTACATGAACAAAGTTTTCTTGGAATATTTGTTCTTGATTATGAACGTTTTTCTTTTTTTTTTTAATTTCTTCTAAAAAAAGTAAACAACAGGATACATGTGCAGAACATGCAGGTTTGTTACATATTTATACGTGTGCCATGGTGGTTTGCTTCACCTATTGATCCATCCTCTAAGTTCCCTCCCCTCTCCCCCTACCCCCCAACAGGCCCTGGTGTGTGTTTTGTTTACTTAAACTGGAAAGAAAAAAAGGTCATTGTAAATAGTGCTACAATAAACATACTTGTGCATGTGTCTTTATAGTAGATTAATTTATATTCTTTTGAGTAGCACATGTATGTTTATTGCAGCACTGTTTACAGGAAATTTTTTCTTTATATTTTAAGTAATTGACATAGAAAACAAAGATTTTGTGTTTCATTAGGATACTTTCATGGGTTTGATGTTGTCTTTTATTTGCTTTTTTATTATTTAAGAAAAGTGAGTCTTTTCAATATTAAAAGAGCTGGGGGTTTTTTTTGTACAACTGTGTAACATTTTGAATTTGCCCTTAAAATCTTTGTCACTTAGGTTTCATTTCACAGTGTCCTGTAATTCTATTTAATTGTTTTAAACTTTTGACATTTTGACAGCTTCCCAAAATGAAATTCTAAGTCTTGCTGACTTCATATTAGCTTTGCAGACTCCTAGAAGGCAGAATGTTCCCTGAAATATCTCAAAAGATTTTTTATTTTCCTATAAAAAGAAAGATGTTAAACTCACTAGGCTTATTGGATATGTTAAATTTCATGGGAGGCATTGTCAAGTGATTGATGCTAAACCTTCTTTAAGTTACATATATTATTGATATGATTGTTCCAGAAATTGTATGAAATTTCTAGAGATTCCTATATCCTGGTATAATGTTATCAGTAGTAAATCCAATTATTATCTTAAATTGCTATATGCCACAAAAACAATGAAATTTTCTTGTCAATTGCATCATACTGAACTTTCATCAGATCTTTAACAAGGGCCACTTTAAGTCTTTTGTCATGGACAGACATTTATTGTTTTATTTTTATGCTTTTCTGAAAGCTTTGAAAGCAGCTGTGATACCAAATTGCAAGATACACACTTTAAAAAACTGACAAGAACAAGTTTCTGGTAACTTTAACATCATACTACTAGGCTGGGTAAAAATTTTCAGAACTCTAATGGAAAACCAATGAATTTGTAGAACTATAACCCAATATTAAGCAAACTGAAATTATATGGGACTAAATTAGCTGATGAATAATTATAATTTTAAAAACTTTTACTTGTAACATTGCTTGTTCTCTGTCTTATTTTTCAGTTTTAAGGAATACTTTTTCTCTTAAGTTGCCTATAACTCACAGATATTTGACAAAATATATTTTTATAAATTAAAATGGAACATATTTTTCTCTATCTCTGATAGCTCCAGAATGTGAAATCTTACCAAATTTTTTTTTGTCAATGTGGGTATTAGCATAGGGTCAATAAGAATCTATTCTCCTTGTAATAGGAAATAATTGGGCAACTCTTTAACTTGACTTCCTTATCTAGAGAAGTATTTAAGGTCTAATCTGAGACATCTCATTACCAAATAGGTTGAAAAAGCTAATGTTGACTGATGCAAAGTAAACAAAGCTACTTGGATGTTACCAAAGCTCTAAGTAAAATAGCATGTTTTAAAATATACATAGAATTACTGTTCTTCCTGTACTTATATAGACAATTAGGTCAAGTTTAATGAAATTAGACTTATTTTAAAAATTAACTGTAACTGCTTTTGGTAAAAATGAGAGTGATTATCATAAAGATTATATTTCAATAGAAAAATATAGTGTGTCCAGTATAAAATGTTAGTCCTATTAATTTTCTTTGAAGTTTTGTTAGCTTCCTATAAACTGGATTGAATCCTGAATTCTTCTAGTTTCATGAAAAACTAAAGTTTTCTTTTCTCAAGTTCTGCAAACTGAAATTGGAAGATTTTAAACTTTAGAAAAATCACTACCACAGTTTATGCATGGAAGACCTTCACGCCTGCTGGTATATGGGTCACTCAGAGAGTTCACCAGAAACCTGATGGTATAACCAGAGGCATTCAAACTGCAAATAAAGAAAATCTATATCAGATTTTAATTGCCATCCTCACCCTACAATCTAAAGAGTCTTCAAACTCACATCTGGATTTCTTCTTTACTAGCTGCCCTCTGGACTCAAAAATAAGATCATAATTTGCTCAAAATATTAACCTTTTTACTTTGTTTTCATAGCATGATACCTTAAATTCTCTTCAAGAAATAGAATCTTACTCCAGAATTGAAAAGTTCCTAATACCTTAACAGCATAAAAAGGACAAACATATGCTTCTGTTGATAAAAGATGTTCTTTCTATGATGATAAATTAGAAATTGTTTCCCCAAATTTAAAGGATCTTAAAGAACAAGTACGGCTTTTATCAAAACATGTGTTGCCTTCTCCATTGATTTATTTAATTGGTTAAATATTGGCACCTGGAAATTTCTTCTCCAGGGAATTTTTCAATCTTTGGCTATTTTTCTCCTATATTTATTGTATTTATCTCTCTACTGTGTTGTACCCTTTCAAGGGTTTTAAATGCTTTAAAAACAGCCACTCACACATCAAATGATTGCCATCAGGATTCGATAGATTGAAGGACCCAACAGTTTGACTAGTCAAGCCTACGATGACTATGCAATTTTGAATAATGATGGCCATGTGACTTTACATCGCAGTGCAGCTATTGATAATAACAGCATCTACATGACTCTGATCCAGTGATTATGTCAATAGTGGGAACCAAGAGTAAAGCTATACTGTTTGGTCATGCTCCCAGCATGATCAAAAGGAGGGAATGGTTAAAATTAATTCCAGGCCTAAAGAATCCCTGAGCCGACAAAACCAGTTAGACATCATGAATGACTTCAACATTGCTTGATTTGAAAACATAAGTGAAATTTAACTTCATCTATTTCTTATAAATGCTAATATTAAAGAAAACTAGAACTAGAACTTTAGCTCAACCAATCAGAAACAGCCAGCAAACTTAAAACTGTATAACCAGGGACTTTCCAATGGGATAGACTAAATAAAGCAACTATATGTTTGTAACCAATCAAATGTTTTCTTTACTTTACTTCTGTGTTCATCCTATTAAAGTCTTTCCCTTGTATTTCCTCAGTGGAGCTCCCAGACAACTTCAGGTTCGAGCTGCTTGATTTCTGAATTGTTTGTTCAAATAAATTTTTAAAATTGTAATTGTTATTGTGGCTCAGTTTGCCTTTTAAACTTTTGGGAAATTGCAACACACCAGTGATGTGTTTCTTTTATTTAAATAGTGTACTTTTGAGACACTGTAACATATCAATAATATGTTTTCTCTTATTTAAATAATAACATTTTCTTATGTTTATATAGAAGATAGATTTACCTTTATAACAATGTTTTGGCTGTTCCTTTTTTTCTGTAAAATTTAAAAATTGGCCAGAAATCACAAAAAAACACTTCCTTTTAATAACATACATATAAACAATTTTAGCTTATAGTGATTATTTTCATTCCAAAAAATATTATTTTTCTGGTTTTATGAAAAGTGTGTGTGTGTGTGTGTGTGTGTCACAGAGTTTCACTCTTGTTGCCCAGAGTGGAGTGCAATGGCATGAGCTCAGCTCACTGCAATCTCCACCTCCCGGGTTCAAGCGATTCTCCTGCCTCGGCCTCCCGAGTAGCTGGGATTACAGGCATGCGCCACCACACTGGCTAATTTTCTATTTTTAATAAGACAAAAGGTTTCTCCATGTTAGTCAGACTGGTCTCAAACTCCCGACCTCAAGTGATCTGGCTGCCTCGGCCTCCCAAAATGCTGAGATTACAGACATGAGTCACTGCTCCTGGCCGAAAAGTATTTTTTGGTTTTTATTAAATGAAAAACACAGACACGCACACAGGATGTAAAGAGTAATAATAAAGCAAACTCCCGGGCAATCAATCAATTTAAGAAATGAACCTTGCTTCTGAAGCCTATAGGGCAGTGGTCCTTTTTGGCACCAGGGACTGGTTTCAAGAAGACAATTTTCCACTGATGGGGTGTGGGGCAGGAAGGTTTCAGGATGAAACTGTTCCACCTCAGATCATCAGTCATTAGATTCTCATCGGTAGCATGCAATCAAGATCCCTTGCATGTGCAGTTCACAATAGGGTTGGCTCTCCTGTGAGAATCTAATGCTACAGCTGATTGGACAGGAGGTGGAGCTCTGGCAGTTATGCTTCTTGGCCCTCTGCTCACCTCCTGCTGTGCCACTCACATCCTAACAGGCTGTGGAATGCTACTGGCCTGTAACCTGGGGATGGGGACCCCTGCATTAGGGTAATGGATCATCACCTGGGAGGTAACTAATAACCTGAATTTTGTGTTTATTATCTCTGTGGTACTTTCATAGTGTTATAACACTGCTAAATTGTTTTTCAAATGGATGTACAAATGCACACTTCCTACAGCACTATGTGATTGTCCTCTTTACTTGACATCCTAGCCAACCTTTGTTATTGTGCTAGGAGTTGTAAATCATCAAGGGACCTAATTCTTATAGTGTAATTTAGCAGAGAAATTTAATTTAACTTTGAAATAAGTTAATATAATAAATAAAATCAAACTGGTAAATATAAATAAAACTAATTACTAAAATACCAAGGGGTGATTTGTTTTAAGGGACTTCAGAGAGTGCCTAATCTACTTGGTCTACCACAGATATCCTCTTCTATAACTCCTTTCGCTCCAAGAGTATAATACAGATGGAAGTGGATCATTTACTTTTCAACCAAATAACAAAATCCTGCATATTCATAAGTTAAAAGTTATATCAATCTGAAACTAATTGCAAAAAGTTATTAAGAATCTAAAGTCCATTAAACACCAGCTGTTTGCAGCTATTAATCACTAATACCTCTGTCTTATTAATCACCATCAACATATACTGAAGTATTTTGGAGACTATTAGGATGTCGTATTCCACTTGAAGTAAAATCCAAAATCTGCATTATGGCTTACACTGCACATATATAATCTCATTCTCTATATTTCAGCCTTGTTTCCTTTCAATTACTAAAAAATGCCTTTTTTGTTTTTTGCCTCTTCTGAAAGAGCACATGCTGTTTTCTCTTTGTAAAGACACCCACCCTCTGAAGCATAAGTGAGTGGATAATGGTGACATTTCATTGAAATTACATGTTATATTTGTAATGCTTTGGACTATACCCTAGGGATCTATCTTTTCCATGTTCCTCTTATCAATGTCAAAGCAGGATCCATGACACTTTTTTGGCACATCTCACATCTAAATATTCCAAAGCAACCTCTTGAAAACCTAGGGCACTTCTTTATTTCTCTTGGCTTCCTTTTGTTTATTAAAGAATCAATGTTTTCCTTTACACAGCTTTTCCCATACTCTTGGTTTCATATACAAAGCCATATGCACATGTTTTATTTCTAGCTCCTTTCCCCTTAATGATGATACAAAAAATCTTATAAAATATACACTATTCCAAACTTCATACCAATGCATTCATATTTTATGTTGTTAAACTTGAAAATGACAGTTGACCTTATCTTGTTATCTGCTCACATTTATTTCATTTCAGGTGTTGCATATTTCTGCTATATTTGTTCTTGTCTGTGTAAAATTAAATGATGATGCCCACATTGGATGCACATTGCTTTTTATTAAGCACTAGACACTGGACTTGATGTTTTGCAGATATGATCCCACTTATTCCTCACACCACACTCTAAGCAAGAAATGGTTATTCTCAGTTAACAGAAGAGGAAATTGACCACAGAGGGGTTAGGCAATCTGTTTATGGTTTTAATACTAATAAATAGGCAAGGAAGTTTTGTTGTTTCTAAACAAAACTCTTGGCCACAACATTCTTTGTACATTCATACATTTCAATATTTTTATAACACACCTAAGCCCACAAAATTTCATTGACATCTTTTGCTTACAGTTTTTGCTTCTCTCCGATATTTTCCAGAATAGCATTCTCTCTCTCATTTTCTTGTTATGATATATCCAACATGGAAATTGAGTCAATTTTTATTACTGTTTCAAATTTTTCAGTGGATTAAACTGCAAGATATGGTGAGGACTCAGGTGTAGGTCTATGTCAAAAGAGAGAGGAAGAGTCAACAGGACTCAGAAAACAGAGGGAGTCACATATAAGCCTAATGAACCAAGGCTCAAATGAGGCCACCTTCTACATTTCATGCTTTTATCAAATAGATGAAATTTATTCTCGGTGTTTCCACATCAGAGATGGTGAACAGACTTCCTCTTGCAGACCATCTGGGTAGTAAGTGGTAGAGTACTATAATGAAATAATTGTAAAATGCTGCCCAAAATGGAAGCACACCATGGCTAATAACTGACACCTTTCTGGACACTCACTGAGGATGAGCTATGATTGGCAGAATGATCCAGGCATCTTTTTCCTTTGCTGACATTGTTTTGTATCTTAATATAATACATTGGATACAGTGTATCCAATGCTGACATTGCTTTGTATCATAATAAATGATAGCTGGTAGTATAACTGTATGATGATTGTGAGTCCTGCGAGTCCTTGTAGGGAATCATTGAACCTAGGGAGGTCTTAGTGTCCCTGCCACAGGAAGAGATTAGTAAACTTAGACTAGGTCAGAGCTCTGGTTAAGTGGCCACGAGGTCAAGACATGTCTCTAATTCAATCTCATAGAAACCCAGAGGGCAAGTCAGTACTGTGGTCTTAATAAATGATCAAGACAGACATTATATAGAAATTAGTTGTTAATCATATTACATGTGTTGAGGACATTAACAATTAACTGGTGTATCAAAGCTGCCTGGGTCAAAGCTGACTCATGGACTAGATATTGATTCTAGAGGCTGAAGGATTTATATGTCTCTGTGTCTAAAGCTCAACAAGTGCTCTAAATATCCACAAAACAACAAACCCATATCCCCTTCTTTAATTATAGATTAGAGATACAGAAATGTAGATAGAAAGGAGAGGAACTCTGGATTTGTCTGATCTATTTGGTTTATGATGCTTTCGTTTTCATATTTCTTTCAAACTCTCAGACTTTAATTGAAATGTTTTTTAAAATAAATTGAGTAGACGTAAGTGAAATAACTAGTTAGGAGGTCATTTTGGTATCCCAGGGGGTGCCCACAATGAACCTGCCACTCACTGTTGGCACAGTGGGTTGTCAATTACAGATTAAGTATGGAATTTGGCTTTTTTTTTTTTGAGATGGAGTCTCATTCTGTTGCCCAGGCTAGAGTCCAGTGGCGTGATCTTGGCTCACTGCAATCTCTGCCTTCCAGGTTCATGCCATTCTCCTGCTTCAGCATCCCCAGTAGCTGGGACTATGGGTGCCCGCCACCATGCCCGGCTAATTTTTCATATTTTTAGTAGAGACGGGGTTTCACCGTGTTAGCTAGGATGGTCTTGATCTCCTGACCTTGTGATCCGCCTGCCTCGGCCTCCCAAAGTGCTGGGATTTACAGGCATGAGCCACCGCGCCCGGCCAGAATTTGGCATGTTATACAGGGAAGTGATTGCCACTTTAGGGACAGTGTTTGGGTCCAGCTTTAATGTCCTGCATCATAGAATTATAATGAAAATCCAAGTGAGTTGGGCAGCATTTTGTTGCAGTGATTCTTTGACCTGAAGATGAGCGTGCGATTGGAACAGATTTATTTTTCTGCTTTTTTTTCCCTATATCTATACACACTGCCTATAGGAAGGATTATAGACCTGGTTTTCTAATTTAAAAGCATATCGGTTATTTTGTAAAAGAATTTTCCCCTAACTTTAAACTTGGAGGGAGGCTTTATCTTTGTATAAAGGACATTGAATAATATAGTAGAATGTATCTTCAGATATAGTTTTATAGTAAAGGTACACACAAAAAAATTTACATTAAATTCTGGTAAAATGTTACCATCTACTAAACACTATCCTTTCATCAGGCTTGTCATATCCATGGGAGTGAATCTCAAAGAGGAGACAGAACCTCTTGCTCAGACTCTTTTACATGCAAGAGAGATGTTTATGCCAAATTTTATGTTTTCATTGCTCTTAAGCTATTCAGTCTTTGTTGTTCATGTATAGTTCAGTGCTTTTTAAAAGCACTTATCAGGCTATAAGATGACCACAATAGTCTGACAGGTAACCAAGTTTCCCACATCATGTGGCCATTTATACTTGTAATTGGGAGATAGATGATACATAGACAGATAGATAGATATAGATAGATAGATAGATAGATAGATAGATAGATAGATAGATAGATACTTTTTTTTAATTTTATTATTGTTATACTTTAAGTTTTAGGGTACATGTGCACAACGTGCAGGTTTGTTACATATGTATACATGTGCCATGCTGGTGTGCTGCACCCATTAACTCGTCATTTAGCATTAGGTATATCTCCTGATGCTATCCCTCCCCCCTCCCCCTACCCCACAACAGTCCCCGGTGTGTGATGTTCCCCTTCCTGTGTCCATGTGTTCTCATTGTTCAATTCCCACCTATGAGTGAGAACATGAGGTGTTTGTTTTTTTGTCCTTGTGATAGTTTGCTGAGAATGATGGTTTCCAGTTTCACACATGTCCCTACAAAGGACATGAACTCATCATTTTTTATGGCTGCATAGTATTCCATGGTGTATATGTGCCACATTTTCTTAATCCAGTCTATCGTTGTTGGACATTTAGGTTGGTTCCAAGTCTTTGCTATTGTGAATAGTGCCACTATAAACATACGTGTGCATGTGTCTTTACAGCAGCATGATTTATAATCCTTTGGTTATATACCCAGTAATGGGATGGCTGGGTCAAATGGTATTTCTAGTTCCAGATCCCTGAAGAATCGCCACACTGACTTCCACAATGGTTGAACTAGTTTACAGTCCCACCAACAGTGTAAAAGTGTTCCTATTTCTCCACATCCTCTCCAGCACCTGTTGTTTCCTGACTTTTTAATGATAATGGTTTTTGTTTTGCTTTATTTGTACTCTAAAACAATATGGCCAATTGATTTGTTTATTTTTTATTGACATCATAGTATATTTCTGGGGTGCATATATTTTCATACATGTATACAGTGTATAATGATCACATCACAGTAATTGGGATATTTATCACCTCATCTTTGTTTCGGGAACATTTCATTTCTTCTAGCTACTTTGAAATATATAATAAATTATTGTTTACTATAATTTTCCTTCTTACGCCTTCTATCTAAGTCTAAGTTTGTACCCATTAACCCACTTCTGTTCATCCTCCCTGCTTCCCTCCCAGCTTCTGGTAACCACCATTCTACTCTCCACCTCCAGGTCTCACACATGAGTGAGAACATATGATACTTGTTTTCCTGTGCCAGGCTTGTATCACTTAACACAATGAGTGCCAGTTCCACCCATGTTGCTGCAAATGACACGGTATTATTCTTTTCATGGCTGAATTGTATCCCACCATGTGTATTTACCACATTTTGTTTTTCTGTTTTTGGACACCTAGGTTGATTTCATAGCTTGGCTATTGCGAATAGTGCTGAAATAAACTTAAGAGTGCAGGTATCTCTTAGATAAACTGATTTTCCTTTATTTTGGATGTATAGCCAGCAGTGGGTCTGGCAGTTTTATACTTAGTTTTTGAGGAAACTCCATAATGTTTTCCATAATGGTTGTACTACTTTACATTACCACCAACAGTGTATGAGGCTTCACGCTCACCACCATGTGTTGTTTTGTCTTTTTAAAATGACAGACACTTTAACTGGGGTGAGATAATAAAACCATTGTGGTTTTGAATTGCATTTTCTTGATTAGTGATGGTAAGCAGTTTTTCCTAAACTCATTGGCCATTTGTACATCTTCTTTTGCAAAATGTCTATCCAGGTCTTTTGCCCATTTTTAAATTAGATTATTATTATTTTTTCCTGTTGAGTTGTCTGAGTTCCTTATGTATTCTGGTTGTTAATCCCTTGCTGGATGAATAATTTTCAAGTATCTTTTCTCATTCTGTGTGTTGTCTCTTCACTTTGTTAATTGTTTCCTTTGCTGTGCAGAAGCTTTTTCGCTTGATGTAATCTCATTTGTCTCTTTTGCTTTTGTTGCCTGTGCTTTTGAGGTCTTACCCAAAAAAAATCTCTTCCCAGACTAATGTCCTGTAGTGTTTCCCCAATGTTTTCTTATGGTGATTTTATAGTTCCAGGTCTTAAATTTAAGTCTTTAATTCATTTTGAGTTGATTTTTGTATATGGTAAAAGATAGGGATCTAGTTTCATTCTTCTGCATAAGAATATCCAGTTTTCCCAGCACCATTTATTGAAGAGACTTTTCCCCAATGTATGTCCTTGACAACTATGTTAAAAAAAAGTTGGCAGTTAGCATGTGGATTTATTTCTGGGTTCTCTATTCTGTTTCATTGGCCTTTGTGTTGGTTTTTATGCCAGTACCATGCTGTTTTAGTATAGCTTTATAGTAGAATTTGAAATTAGATGGTGTGCTGCCTCCACCTTTAGTATTTTTGCTCAGGATTGCTTTAGCTATTTTTTTTTTTTTTTTGGTATGTGTGATTCCAAACAAAATTTAGAATTGTTTTTCCTATTTCTGTTAAGAATGTCGCTGATATTTTCATAGGAGTTTTATTGAATCTGTAGTTTGCTTTGGGTAGAATAGATATTCAATAATAATATTTCTTCCAACCTATAAGCATGGGATATCTTCATTTTTTGTGTCCTCTTCAGTTTCTTTCATCACTGTTTCATAGTTTTCCTTTTAGAGATATTTTACTTCTTTGTTTAAATATATTGCTAGGTTTTTCTGTAGCCATTATAAATAGGATTGCTTCCTTGATTTATGTTCAGGTTGTTTGGTTAGTGTATAGAAACACTACTGATTTTTGCATGTTGATTTTGTATCCTGGAAATTTACTGAATTTTTTGATCAGTTCTAGGAGATTTTAATAGAGTCTGAGCAATAAATATTTTATTTTTGAAGGCTTTACTAGTGTATACACACAGTATTGTTAAACACTGAGCACTCCCACTGAGCTTTATTTTATTTTGAAATAAACCCTTAACTAGCATCGAGTAAGAAACTTAAGTGTTCTTGGGTAGATCTGTTTCCTCACTAGATTGTTCATGTTAGGCTTCTGCTTAATAAAGTGTGGACTTTCAATTTTGTCTCCTGTTCTGATCTCTTCTTTTGTTGCTAAATACATGTGTACATTAAAAAACAGAGAATATTATCTGGGGCAGGTATCATGGGTTGGCTTATCACCTATTCTTTATTGTTTCTCCTTTGCCTGGTTTTCCTCTAGCAGAAAAACAAGTCTTAATTTTTTTCTGGCTTCTTTGAATATAGGGTGGCTAATGAGATGTAAGACACTCTGGTGCCACACCCCATTCTACCTTTCTCCTCTTCCTGGTCTGAACACTGGCAAAGTGGCTGGAGCTATAGTACCTACTGATGACGGACAGAGAAAAGAACAGGGTATCACGGATATCCTAGCTCTGATTCCATGAAAAACTGACCAACCTCTTCACTTCCTATATTCAGACTATAAGTTATGTTAAATACTTAAATAAATAAAAACACTTTCTTAAAACTTTCATTGGTTTTCTGTCATTGAAATTAATTTAAAAAAATATAAGCTAGCTAGCTATGAACTATGGATGAGTGGTACTGCTAATCTGGCTCATTAAATAATGAAAATATAATCTCTAACCATGAAAGAAAATTGAAGTAAATAAGAGACCATTTTCTATGGCTCAATTTTGGGGAGAGAAAGGAAGTTTGGACTCGAGAAACTTAAAAAGTAATGATTTAAAAATACATTTATTTGCAGGTATTAATATAGTCAACTTTTGTTAGTTGCCTATGAATCATTTATACCTTTTCTACCTTTTCTTAGCAGTACCTACAATTTCCCACCTATAATGTGTGTGTGGGATGGGTTATTCCATCTGTGTTTCCAGGGGGTACACCAGGATTGGTTAAAGCCAATTGACACAACATATCTTCCTGGCCAAGATAATTTTCCAGGAAAGTACATATGAAAAACTCAGTGGAATAAAAGCCCAAGAATCTCGATTACATGGCTTTTATTTGGTGTGGGGGAAGCCGACTCCATCTTGGTGAATATGAACACGGAAGCACTTAGTAGATCAGCTAGCAGCCATGTTTTGAATACAAAAGGAGAGCCTAACAGGGAACAGAGGCAAGGGTAAGAAAAAAGGACTGAGAGTAAATTGAGTACTGGTTATATTTCTAGAACCCATAATCAAGCCTATCTTGCAACTAGAACATCAATTGCACGAAGAAATGACATAGAAATTCCCTTTATTTTAAATAGTCTGAATAAGTATAATTTTCTATTACTTATAATAGAAATACTCCTATTACCTGTATTACCTTCTTGCTTTGTAAATGAGACTGTCAAAATATAGAGGATTATATTTTTTATATTTTGTCAGTAATTTTATTTGTCACTATTATAGAATCTCCCCCTTACTACATATGACTAAATAAAAGCTCATTTCATTTACTTTGGTAATTTACAGTGTTGTGTGGAGGGGCAAGCAATAAAATGAGAACTATAAAATCACTCCATAAATGCGTTGTCCTCTGTACATGTGTTTTAATCTTTTGGATAAAGAAATGTAGAGAGAGAAAGTGTGGTCCAGTTTTATGCTTATTTCAGTTCCTGAACCACTTGGTGAAGTCAGCTAATAAATTTACATTATTTTATAACTTCAAATGAGAGTTGAAGAATTTGGTCACCAAGTTCCTTGTGATAAGTCCTTGCCCTCCCTACCTTCTTTCATTTGGACTTAAGGAAGACCTAGCTGTGGGCTAACTCCTACATGGTCTCTGAGCTGAGGTGTGAAGTATTTAAGAACACTCCTCTGCTTTCAAAGGAAGGTGTAAAATTAGTCTTATTGTCATAAGTCCAATATACATTGTGTCTAGGAATAGCCAAGGGCATCAATGTGAACAATCTTGGGTAAACTCACCGGACTTGGTAGGGTAGTGGTAGTTGTTTATGATCATGTTTCAGGTCAGCACTGAGAAAGGAGAGTACTTTTTCAGTCTGTGTGGCTGATCTCTGAGCACATATATTACTCTTAAGTGCCCATTCTCTCCAGAGGCCAGACTTCTGATTATCAACATTTAGTGTGCATGAATATCGCCTATGAGAGCTTGTTGAAAATGCAAATTCACATATCTTAGAAGAATTTGCTGAGGTGATTGTAAAACCACAGTTGAGAAATGTTAGGCTAGATATTGTCCCCAATTTACATATGCTTGCTGTTTAAAACTCAATAGACAACGTAAAACTTTGCACCTTTATACACTTGATTTTAAGCATCTTCAATGCTAACGCAACTCCATTCTGCCATTACCTTTCCTTCAAATCAGATATAATTGTATAAAGATTCACAAACAGATCCCTTCCCTCTCAGAATAAAATGGACTACTCTCTCCCTCATGATATGGAAGCAACTCAAAAATGTGAGATAAACAAATATACTATTTATTCTTCCTTCAAGAACCTTAAAGTTTACTAAAGGAGGTAAGACAAGTTGTAAGTAACTAATAAAATGAAGAAAGTTATGCATTATAAGAAAGAAACAAATAATGCTGCGGGGGGTTCAAAGATGAGAGAAAGCACATGCGTCTTGGGGTGTCCTAGAAAACCAACGTTCTGTGCCAATGCTTCTCTTTTGGCAGCCTTTTATTTGTTTTCAGTAGTTATGCTCAAGGAGGCAGGCAGTCAGCATGAGATACCAGTGCGGTATAAATTTCCTAACCAAACAGAAACTTTATGGAATTTAATATTTACACATTCTTGAGATCAGAATCTAATGCAGGCTTACCATTCACTTCATTAAAGTTTTATTACTACTTGCAATGGATAAATTTATGTGCTAACTTGATTGGGCTAAGGGATGCCAAGATAGCTGGTGAAACATTATTTCTGAGTATTTTTGTGAGGGTGTTTCTAGAAGAGATTAACATCTGAATTGGTAGATTGCATAAAAATGATAGCCCTCACTGATGAGGGTGAGCATCATTCAGTCCATTGAAGGACTAAATAGAACAAAATGGTGGTAAATTGGCTCTCTCTGTGCTTGGGCTAGGACATTCATCTTGTTCTGCCCTTAGACATCAGCACTCCTGGTACTCTGGCATTCATACTAATATGTGGATTAACACCATTGGCTACCCTGGTCATGGCTTTGGGGTTTGCATTAGAACTAAAACACTGGTTGTCCTGGGCCTCCAGCTTACAGATGGCAGATCATGGGGCTTCTCAGCCTCCATTATCATGTGAGACAATTCATCATAATAAATCTCTTCCACTCTCTCTCTCCTATTGGTTCCATTTCTCTGGTGAACCCTATTATTATTATTTGTGAGTTATCCTTCAAAATTAACACAACCAAGTGACAAATGTTGCAGAAATCTATGCATTATCCAAGGAATTTATGAATGGCAGAATGAGTGGCAGAAGGAGGAAATAAATGAATTTTTCTTTTTTTTTTGAGATGGAGTCTCACACTGTCACCCAGGCTGGAGTGCAGTGGCACGATCTCTGCTCACTGCAAGCTCTGCCTCCTGGGTTTACGCCAAGGAAATGAAACATTTTTATAAAGTAAAGTGTGGTGGACAAATAAATAGAATAAATATGCCACATAACCATGTAGCTGTAAGCCATTAGAAAATGACTTTAGCAAGAAAGGTGCCATTTAAGAGCAAGGTGTGATATGGCATTCTCAAAACCTAATAGCATCAAACTAAAAGCAAACGGTCATGTTCAGAACATTCAGAACATATTTCTGAGTGGGGAGGGATAGAGAAGAGAGAGAAGGAGCAAGAAATAGAGATAGAAAGAGATTGGCATAAGTATTCTTACCTGTACCAATATCAGTGGAAAATTCTTGCCTGTGGTGTCATCCTTAAAATCAAAAGACTCATTTTAAATTTTGATCCACTTTTCACTGGTTAGCTTCTTAAATAGTGTGTCTACTGATTAATGTATTCATTTATTAGATATTTTTAATGTAATTTACTACTGTCTACCCTATATAGAGGAGATTTTTAAAATGGGTACAAAGCTTGTAAAGAGTGCTAATTGTTGACATGTGGGGAAGAAATTAAAATAGAATGCAATAAAACTGGAGGTGAATACATAAAGTGAAGTGATTGCACAATATAAGAAGAGAAAAACTGCAGAAAGTTAGAATAGAGTGAGGCTGCAAGTAAAGATATTTTAGACAGATGTCTTAAATCATGTTTAAGATTTACCAAATAGATATGGAAAGGAGAGGTAGAAGAAAACAATGTATGCAAAGTAATAGTGTCATGAGAGAATATGTGGACTCAGGATAACGTAAGCAGAAAACCTGCTCTTCAATAGAAGCGTTCTTGCCATTTCAAACTATTTGGTAATAATTTGTTAGTATAGTTTCAATTGTTTTGGTGGTTTTAGAGGGTTTCTTATATCAATAAATAGCAAATTTGACATATATCAGTTTATAAATATTATATTGTGGGTTTTTTCCTGATCAATTAATTACACTTTCAGAGGATAAAATTTATTCATAATGAGATTGCACAAACATTATATTATAGTTATTAACCTATATCCACAGTATAAACAATGTGATACAGCCTGTCAGTAAGAGAAAAATATGGCTGGAATAATCAAAGGGAAAACAAATTAGCTCAGTCATAGTAGGTTTGTCCCTTCTAGAGAAATAATTTGATCCCATGATTCAATTTCCTTTAAAAACTCGGAGATAGATTTATATCAATACACAAATATTTATATTTTATTTTGACATTAGCTTTATAAATTTCTCAACAATAACCCTACATTACTGAAATATTTTAGCTAAATATCTGCTTAGAAACCAGAATTAAGAAGTGAAAAAACTAAATGACTGACACAACTCATGACAATAGAATTAAGTATTTTTCTTTGCTTCAAATTTTAACTTTGGGAGGAATGTGGTATCTTTTATTGGTCACATATGCTAAATGCAAATCTTTGTGAAACAAATCACATGAGCAGATGATCTTTTTTTGCAATGGCCTGTGTAGCAGGCTTAATGTAGTCAAATTTTGTAAATGATAGGATTTGTGAAAAGCCACTTTCCCTAGGTTATAATGTGGATGTTATTAGGGTGTGCTCATGGTACGTGAGAATTTTAACAATCCAGGTAATGTTACTTCCTCTAAGTTGAGAGTACAAAATCTATCTTCTCGAAGGCTTTTAGATTGGATTGTATACCAGCTCTTGTTCAAATCCACAGATGTGACCCAGTGGTTATTTTGCCATGTTCTATACTAAACTTTAACCTCTTAAATGTTCCTCTTCGTGATTCTTTGTGCAATTTTTCAATGGTTATGTTTGTTGATTCTCCCTACTTAAAGATAGGCAGTGCATATAGTTTGTTTATTCCATTTTAATCTCTACTGATAACTAGACGATAAGATGTATTTAGCTTACATCAACCAAATGATTATGAAAGAATATATTGGGTATCTAATTGTTTATTTTGGTGTCTTATCAATATAGCTCCATGTATACATTAGAGAAGATACTTATAAAGCTAAGAATCTTCTCTAAATATTTCCATGATATGAACTTATCTCTCTATATTCCTTCAGATTTTTTACAATGATTTTGCTTTCTCATTATGATTTTTTCTTTCTAGCATATTCTCTATTGTCTCTCTCATATATTGTATCTCTGTATACGTTTATTAATTGCATAGACATTCTATATTGTACAAAGTGACTCCTATCCCTATTTTTTAAGTATATGTATCATTTTTTCTGTCTTTCAATATCCATGTCGATTATTTTTCAAATTTAAAAGGAAATATTTATATTCTAGAACCACATATATTAAGGAACTTCAATTTTGATACAAACAGATGATTAAACATTTCTGTCACCATCTCAAAAGCTTAGGATATATTTTAATCAATAAATTACATCATATGTTTTATATGCATTTTCCAGAATTGCTTTTGTAGTATTTTTGTATATTTGTACC
This sequence comes from Homo sapiens, assembly GCF_000001405.40. Classification (NCBI taxonomy): domain Eukaryota; kingdom Metazoa; phylum Chordata; class Mammalia; order Primates; family Hominidae; genus Homo; species Homo sapiens. The sequence goes on along the minus strand of NC_000005.10, from coordinate 106,462,407 downwards.
AAACCTTAGGATGCATAAAAACAGGACATACTGGGTCAGGATTATACATCGTATGGATTTTTAAAAGGCAGCTTTCCTAACATCATCTACAGTTCTCTTAAAGTTATCCTTGTCATGACCTCAAATCACTTAAATTCAATATTAAAGGGCACGTGCCTTTAGTCCCAGCTACTCCGGAGGCTGAGGCAGGAGAATGGCATGAACCCGGGAGGCGGAGCTTGCAGTGAGCTGAGATCCCGCCACTGCACTCCAGCCTGGGCGACGGAGCGAGACTCAGTCTCAAAAATAAAAAAATAAAAAAATAAAAAAACTCTAAATGTGATAACAGGTTAACTCTCAAATTCCAAATAATTACAAAGAACTGACTTAAATGTCAATGTCTAGATTAATGTTAGTATTTAATAACCTTAAAAATGACGTCAGTTAAATTCTGTATTATGTAAATGATACTAAAATATGATTATAAAAATGGGAAAATCATTTATCAGTATCATTTTAAAAAGAATAACTATTTTTCCACTAAATAATAAAAATTCAGAGGCGTATAAAAATTTTAAATGAATAAAAACAGGAAAATTAAAAGACAATTGAAAAACAGAAAAGATAGAAACAATGAATAATACCTAGGATTTGATAGCATAAAAGGGTGACTATAGTCAAAATAATTTAATTGTATATTTAAAAACAACTAAAAGAGTATAATTCAATTGTAACTCAAAAGATAAATTCTTGAGAGGATGGATACCCCATTTTTCATGATGTGATTATTATGCATTATATGCTTGTCTCAAAATATCTTATGTACCTCAAAAATATATGTATTAGTTTGGCGCCAAAGTAATTGTGGGTTTTGCCATTAAAAGTAATTAGTTTTCTACCAACCTTATACCTACTATGTACCCAGAAAAATCAAAACTAAATTTATTGTAAAAAATTGCAAAACAAATCTAAAATTCTGCTACTCAACTATTAACAAAATTTCCCAGAATAGATTATTGTACTTATTTCCTATAATTAAAAATAAAACAAAACTTACTTTTTTTATGAAAAGGCAGCTAATTCGGCTTGATAGTTAAGAAATATTCAATTTGGAAAGAATATTATCTCTTATATTTCAAATCTTCTGTATCTAAATGTTCTATTTGACTTTCTTTCTTTCTCTGTCTTTCTTTTTCTTTCTTTCTCTCTCTCTCTTTCTCTCTCTCTTTCCCTCCCTCCCTCCCTGCCTGCCTTCCTTCCTTCCTTCCTTCCTTCCTTCCTTCCTTCCTTCCTTCCTTCCTTCCTCCTCTCTCTGTCTCTCTCTCTCTTTATTTCTTTCTCTCTCTCTCTCTCTCATTTTTTCTTCTTTGACAGAGTCTCACTCTGTTGCCCAGTCTGGAGTGCAGTGGCATGATGTCGGCTTAGTGCAACCTCCACCTCCGGGATGTAACTGATTCTCCTGCCTCAGCCTCCTGAGTAGCTGGGACTACGGGCGTGTTCCACCACACCAGGCTAATTTTTGTATTTTTAGTAGAGGTGGGGTTTCTTCACATTGGCCAGGCTGGTCTCTGAATATTTTCATTTTATAATGCATTTCTGATTGTGGTATTGTCTTGCAGTCACTTATATAAAAAGGGCATCACTTCCACAACAAGTGATATTTCGGTAAGATAGTCGGCACATTTTGGAATTTATGCAAGATATTCAAATATTATATTTTCAACACTGTCCTTAGCCATTTCTCAGAACAGATCCAAAAGGAGATTTTCTAGTATCTTTTGAAATGTTTATTAAAATATCAAAAGTTTTTATTTGAAGCATCAATTTAATTGAAGACAATTTTTTATCTTCTGTTTCCAAAGATAATATGGAAGGGAGCAAAAGTTATGAACTTATGTAGAGTACTGATAAAAAATCCATTTTTGTTCCCTAAACTTCTTGTTACACTGTGACACAGTTTCCTTGTCTCCTGAAAGAAGCTATGATCCTGCCTGAATAGAAAATCAAAAACAAACAAAAGAAAAAAAATTATCTAAAACATATGTTATATCAAATAAATAAGTTTTATACAAAGGATAATTTGGGAGCACATCTCTTAGATAACTTAATTTTTAATTGTTTTTGACCAAACATAACTATTACACAGTGCTTGGACGTGCCAATAGCATTTTCATTGCTCTAACATTGTAGAATTTTATGGTATTTTCATATTCAAACTATCATTAATCTTTATTTTGTTCTTTAAAAAATAACCTTGTATCTCGAATATGCTTCATTTGACATAAGATGAGCTGATCTGAATCTTTAAGATACTGATGATAAATAAAATGGAAGTTTATTTTAATTTCATTTCTCCTATTTGTATATACCTAGATAGTCTGTAACTTAATTAAGAAACAAAATTTGGTCAAGAAAGAGGAAATATGTCTAATACAATTTGAATGTATTTGCAGATGAGGATGAGGATTGCTGTGGAGAAGGAGGTGCCAGAAATACTGGTGTTTTAATGTGACTAAAACCTACTCATTTTAAGTATTAGCACATTTTTTGAATAATTTCAAAAGAAAATATTGACGGAGAACTTCTCCATTTTCCTCTGCATGTTTTTCTTGGATCTTGACCTGAGAGTATCTCAACTCAAAGTCGATATATGATGCCAATATAAATAGGATCCTCTTTTCTCTTTTTACTGACGCATTACATCCTTGTGACATGTGATGCATGGTGTTGAGATGGACTGACGTAGCTAATGAAATGTGACAGAAGGCAGTTAGATACCAAGTTTTATAAATGCTAGATGTGAAATGAAAATCTATACAAGTTACTTTCAAAGGAAGCAGCTTTCATTTCACATTTTGTTTATCAACTAGAAGAGATATAGTCACATATGTCAATGAATTTCCTTATTAGCTGTAACTTAAAAATACATAAAATATAGTATTTCAAAAATTATTTTTATCTAAAATTTTGTGCAAGTCACCTAATTAATCACTATGTCAGTATAAGATTTCTCTAACATGGCTGGGCGCCGTGGCTCACGCCTGTAATCCCAGCACTTTGGGAGGCTGAGGCGGGTGGATCACAAGGTCAGGAGATAGAGACCATCCTGGCTAACACAGTGAAACCCCATCTCTACTGAAAATACAAAAAGAAATTAGCCGGGCATGGTGGCGGGCGCCTGTAGTCCCAGCTACTCGTGAGGCTTAGGCAGGAGAATGGCATGAACCCGGGAGGTGGAGGTTGCAGTGAGCCAAGATTGCGCCACTGCAATCCAGCCTGGGCGACAGAGCAAGACTCTGGCTCAATAAATAAATAAATAAATAAATAAATAAATAAATAAATAAAGATTTCTCTAACACTCAGAATTTAGCATTTGCATAGGTTATACTTAATGGCTTATGCATCAGTGTACCTGTGGAATCATTTTGGGAAAATTTTAGATTACTGGAAATTATTTGGCCTAATGTAAATCTCATCAGACCACTGAATCCACCTATTTTTATATTATTGACTCATTAAACAATCATTACCTTACTTGGGAGTATACCAAATTTATTAATTTATCTCTTGAACTGGGACATAGCTAAATAAGGTGGCATGAGACATGCACACCTGGCTGACAGAATAAGTATAGATACTAGAACATTGAAAAAAAAAAAAAAAGGAAAATGCTGCCATGTTTAGGATAAACCGATATGATGTTTTTGTCTTACTCTCAAAAAATTCAGAGAGTAAATAAATCAAAATTACATATACATGAGAGGTAAGATGTTAATGATTGGTGAAAGGTATGTAAGTATTCATTGTACTATTCTTGAAACTTCTCTTTGGGTTTAAAATTTAAAAAAATAAAGAATATATTAAATAAGTATCCTATAAAAAAGATAGTAACTGGTTCTGTAAAATAACCAGTAGTTAAAGCATTAAATTGGTATTTCCAAAATGAATAGTGACTCAGACATTAAATCAACATTTGGCATCAGAAAAGGAATTGATGTAAGATGAAGTTTTCAGAAAAAAACAGAAGGTATTTTAAAGAATAAAGTGTCAGGAAACAACCAATGCTGGAAAGGATGTGGAGAAATAGGAACGCTTTTACACTGTTGGTGGGAGTGTAAATTAGTTCAACCATTGTGGAAGACAGTGTGGTGATTCCTCAAGGATCTAGAACTAGAAATACCATTTGACCCAGCAATCCCATTACTGGGTATATACCTAAAGGATTATACATCATTCTACTATAAAGATACATGCAGATGTATGTTTATTGCAGGACTGTTCACACTAGAAAATACTTGGAACCAACCCAAATGCCCATCGATGATAGACTGGATAAAGAAAATGTGGCACATATACACTGTGGAATACGATGCATCCATAAAAAGACGAGTTCATGTCCTTTGCAGGGGCATGGATGAAACTGGAAACCATCATTCTCAGCAAACTAACGCAAGAACAGAAAACCAAACTCCGCATGTTCTCACTCATAAGTGGGAGTTGAACAATGAGAATACATGGATACAGGGAGAGGAACATCACACATGGGGGCCTGCCGGAGGGTGCAGGGCTAGAGGAGGGGTAGCATTAGGAGAAATACCCAATGGAGATGACAGTTTGATGGGTGCAGCAAACCACCATGACACGTGTATACCTATGTAACAAACCTGCATGCTCTGTATCCCAGAACTTAAAGTATAATTTAAAAAAAAAACTCCCCAATAGAGGTCCCGTATTTTCAAAATAAAATAAAATAAAATAAAATAAAAAGTCCTTCAGCTCTAAATTCTGTAAATAAATATTTCATACATCAAAAAAAAAAAAGAAAGAAAGAACAAAGCGTAATTCCTTATGCTTTTTGACTCTTTGCAGACTTGTAATAAAGAGTAACTAGAACCTTAGATGTACTTAGCTCTGGAGATTCATTTGATCTAACCGATGGTTCTATATTAACATTTATATAGCTTCCAACAAAGGGCATGGTCCAGTGTAGATTTTCAGTACAAACTGGTTTCTTTACCTTTTAAGTTTAGAAGACAAAGTAGAACAGAGCTATGTCAACTGCTATTGGGAATCATAAATTTCTTTTGTATAAAATGATATAAAAATATTTTGTAAGATTGTTTTATTATAATAGTATTATTTTACAATAAGATTATGGGGACAGCAATAACTTGGTATGTTCTCCCATATTACTTTCTTAGCCTATTTGATACACTTTATAAAATGAGACTTTGTGAATTAGACAATTTTGCTTTGATTTGGGAGAAAGTTTCTCTTGATTGGGATTCCATTACATTTATAGATGAATTTGGGGAAGAATAGATTATGTCATCTCATCCATGATTATGGTATATCGCTTTATTTTGTTCACTTCATTGAAATTAACTTATTGTTCTAATTCTAAAGATAAACTTCACTACTTGAGTTCAAGTTTTGGTTCATTTCTACAAATTTTGGTGTATTTGCATGGCTCAGTTTACTTCTTCATGACAGACATATGTTAGTATGCCTAATTAGAATTATATTATAATAAATTCTATATCATATAACATGATCAATTATTATATATAATAAACAGTTATAACTATATTATTCATTTCTAAATATGTGAATTATTTAGATGCAAAACATGTGAACACAAAAGGATTCTTAGAGACAAATAAATTAAAATCTGTTAATCTTACTTTTCCAATTTTAATTTTATTATGACTTATAGTAGTAAAATACAAATGCTTGGAGGCTACCTAATTACTCAACAGAAAAGAATGATTAAATATATTGCAATAGAGCTATACAGCAAAACATTATGTAGTTGATTAAATGAATGATATATATGTGAATGTACTGAGAGATCATATTGTAGGGAAAATGAAAGTTTCAAAATGCTATGGATTCTATGATTTCATAAAAGCTACAGGTATATGTCTGTACCTAGCCAACAAGTTATTAATTTTTTTGAGACATAAATCTCATTCTGTTGCCCAGGTGGGAATGCAGTGGCATGATTTCATCTCACTGCAACCTCCACCTCCCAGGTTTAAGCAATTTTCTGCCTCAGCCTCCGAAGTAGCTGGGACTACAGGCACGTGCCACCACACCCCACTTTTTTTTTTATTTTTAGTAGAGAAAGGGCTTCACCATGTTTGCCAGGCTAGTCGTGAACTCCTGGCCTCAAGTGATCCGCATGCCTCCGCCTCCCAAAGTGCTGGGATTACAGGCATAAACCACTGCATTTGGCACAAATTAATAATCCTAATCACCTCTGAAGCTATAGGATCAAAAAGATATTTTACTGTTTGATTGATATACTATAATCTATTTTTATTTCTTTTTTTCTGTTGATATTTTCAATTTATTTTTCAATGAAAAATCAGAGAAATTAATGGGCAGTTAATTGCTTGTTGATGACACTACACAGTTGAATAAATTGTATCACCTGGGAATAAAAGACTCTTAAATGAGAGTAAATAAGTACATAGCTAGAACATGTGATTTTAATTATAATGTAATACAAAGGCAAACAATGTTTAGTGAAGTTAGTGAAGTTAATTGATTTTTTAAATTAGATATAAAAATTCTTCCCTAAATATGCTTTCATAATTGTTGTGGCAAATTACTTGGAAATATGTTAAGAACATCGAAAGGCTTAAGATTTTACCTCATTTTCAATGTAACAAGTTAGTATGCCCTAGTTAGTGAGCTGAGTCTGAGATGAATGCCTCTCAAAGTTCAGATGATGTCACTGATCTCTTAATCTAAAATTAAGGACATATTTTATAGCAACTTTTCTACTTGTATGGCTCTCATTGTAGAGACAATAACCTGCAAGATATGCAGAGATAACAAGTCATTCCTCTACCCCTACCCAGAGAAACTTCCCTAAGTAACCAACAGTGGCCTAATTTAGGAGACCTCCTCCATTGTCTAAGAGCTACATAATTCAGAGGTAGTGTTTTCTTAAGCAATTGCAGATCTGCTATGACCCAGACCTAGCGATGTAACCAATGACCCCTGAATAAAAGTGTTATTTGTCCTTGTTAGAGTCCTCCAAATGAGACCTATGTTAGGTGGAGGTCACAGATTAACAAAGCCTCCAATACTGTGTTCCTCTCTGCAGATATGTCTTAGAGTTCCTGGTTTAGTGTGAGTAATTGAGTCTGTCTTCATTCCTGATGACTATCCTTTGTTCATTCCAATAGCCAGGTAGTATTTGTGATAGGATGAGTTGACATCCAATGTGATGACTAAGCCATGGTGAATTAGTTTTATATTGCAGCATAACAAATCACCACAAACTTAGCCTCTTAAAACAACACACATTTATTATCTCATAGTTTCTGTTTGTCAGAAGTCTGGGCACAGCTTTATCTGGGTTCAGGGTCTTGATCAGTTGTAATTTAGTTGCTATCCAGGTCTGGGGTCACATTAGAGGCTTGACCAGGGAAATATCCACATTCAAGCTCATTTTTTGTTGGCAGAATACATTTCCTTGAGGCTGTACAACAGAGGTCCTTGTTTTCTTGATGGCTGTTTGCTGTCCCTGATTTCCTTGCCACAGCGCCCTCTTTCTGAGCTTTCACACCATAGCAGCTTAGTTCTTAGCAGAGGGATTTTCAAAGGGATTATCCATTCTAGCAAAACAGTGCATTAACCTTTCCCTATGTAGTAACATAATCACAGGAGTGATAGACCACCAACACTGCCAAGTGATGTAACCTAATCAAGGGAGAAGCAGCCCATCGCTTTGCCACGTCCTATTGTTTAGAAGCTAGTCACAGATCTCATCCCATTCAAGGAGAGAGGAAGTCTACAATAACATCAATTGTTGAGAGTTGATGGTGGCCAATTTAAAATTCTGCCTGTTAAAGGAGGCTGCTGGAATGAGGGTAAGAAAAAAACTCAGAAGTGATGGCAGGTTTTTTGTGGTGAAGGTTTAAGAGCTGATAACCATCTCCTGCTACATTAGATAGCCTTCTCAGTAAGGTTAAGGGAAATGGTGAACAAATTGTAGTTAGAGCTATCTGGTAGGGTATAGCAAATCCAGCAGCAAGTTAAATTTAAGGTATTTGCATTAGTTTGGGGAACTGCACCAGTGTATTTTCTTTGGGGAGGAGGGCTCTAGCAGTGACTCTGAAAACCGAAAGTTTATTTATGCTGTTCTGTCCTATAGCTTCAAGGGCCAAACTTATCCCCTGTAAGGGTGGTGGGGTGGTTGATTTTCCTTGGTTGCCATACAGTTGTAGTTTGCTACTTCTGAAACTGTAACCACAACATTTTTTTTTCTCTAGCCATAGTCTCCTTGTACACAGACCTTTCATCCAGAAGGGCCAGAAGCAAGAGAGACAAAGAAACTTCCATAAAACTAACAAAGACCTATTATGTGCCATAGATGGATCATCGTGGGATACCCAGCAAGCAATATACTTAACCCACTACCACTTTAATTGATGTCTGATCATCACCAGGAAAGAGAAGAGATGAACCCTTTCCAGGTACAGTGACATCCACTGACAAAATCATATTACTAAGGTGTTTAGACCAATAAGAGATAATGGATGTAGAGTCAGAAATATTTTTTGAGTGATATTAAGGAGACCATTCCAATATTCAACAATGCCAGATGCCAGTGTATTTTAGCGATCATGGAAGGCCTGTCAAAGGACTCAGGGTTGAATGGCTTTTTCAATAAATTGTGCACTATTGTCAGAAAATAATCTGGAAAGTAAAAAAATATATATGGAGATTAATTTTAAAGTTTATAGTGATGTGGATAGCATCAGATGATTGGATTAGAACTGTAAAACTGTAACCTGGAAAACTGTAGACAGAGTTCCAATCTAAGTTGTGGGACATATTGCTACCTTTGTAATGATGGTGATCCAAGCAGCAATGGCTAGTCCAATCTTGTTAGTGCAGGCTCAATCAGCAGTTTGATTTCTGTCAGTCTCATCAGAGAACAGATCCTTACTGTGGATGACAAATAGCAACTGTTTAGTTTTTGGGGGTTTCCATAACAAATTACCACAAATTGATGGCTTAAACCAACAGAAATGTGTTCTATCACAGATCTAGAAGCCAGAAGTCTGATGTTAAAACGTCAACAGGATTGGTTCCTTCTGGAGACTCTGAGGGAAAATCTGTTCCATACCTCAATCCCAGGTTCTCTTGGCTGCAGGCAGTCCTTGGTATCTCTTGGCAAGAGATACATCACTTCAATTTCTGCCTGGGTCTTCACATGACCTTTGGGTCTCTGCTGTGTAGTTAAGTTTCAAATCGTACTCTCCTTTTTCTTATAGGGACATAAGTTGTTATAAGTTGTTAAATTTAGGGCCTACCCTAAATCCAGAATGATCTCATCTCATCTTTAACTTAATTACATCTGCAAAGCACCTATTTCCAAATAAAATCACATCCACAGATATCAGGGGTTAATACTTGGGCCCTATCTTTCACTATTCAACACACTACAGTGACACAGATATTTCAATGAGAAGCCATAATTTATCTGTAAAATTTGTGGCCCCAAATAGATGTGCTTTAATCTGCCAGTTTAATCTTCAACACGAGTCAGAGTAGTGGGGGTAGAAATAAACAGAGGGTACAGAAGGAAGGAGTGATTCTGAGTTATGAAGCAACTTCATCCTTAATTTTCATTTGCTTTCATTTTCAATCCACCATTTTCATAGCTCAATGAAAAAAATTCTCATATTTTCTGTCCTCCCAAAACTGTAAATCTAATTTGTAAGGTTCTCACTGCAGACAATATTTGTTTCTGCTTTGGGATATCTTGGTTTAGCTGCCATGGCCCCATGGCTTTTTAGCTAGGGCCATGGAGCTTTCTGTCCCATCGCCATAATAATTCCCCTGCCTCGACACTCTTTTACTCCTTAGAGAAAGGTGAACAACAATCAAGGTACCATTTGGCCAGCTTGCTTTAAAGCTATATTTCTCTGTTCAGCCTCTAAGCATAAACTCTTTTTTCTGTTCATTAACAGGCAGGACAGGGAACATATTCTCTTCTGTTTTCCCTTTACTAAGGCAAAAGCATTCAATATCAGATCCTAGGGAGTCATCTTGTATTCCCTATCCTAGCCCAAGAGGCCCTCATCCTTCCTCTTTTAGAAGGACATCTCTGTCAACATCACAGTCTCATTGCCAAACCGTCCAGGACTGTGAAAGCGCTGAGATCACACCCCACCTGCAAGCTAAGAAGTTAGCCTGCCACAGTTGCAGGGATGCTGACAGAGGCTGCTAGGCAGAGACAAAGAACTTTATTACTCACATCACAGCAAGCACAATGAGCATTAGTGCATTTTCCCCGTGGGGTCATGGGAATGTGTTCACACTGATGCCGGCGTGATCAGTGGTTTGCATTGCAAGAAAGAAACCATAGCTTAGGGATTCTCAATCTTTCATAATGAGGAGTAAGCATGTCTGCCCTTTGCTCCAGAGAGAGACACTATCTCTGTCTTCCAAGGCTGTTTACTGTACAAATATCCTCGTAAAGATAGTACAGATCGAGGGGCAGTCATTGCTTCTGTTTACAAAAGACGTACAGCAGCAGGATAAACCCATGTAGAATGGTCTTTCAACAAGGTCTAGTGTATTGAATTCAAGGCCATCTCTTATGCAGTGTAATTTGTGGAAATGTCATTTTTATTGTTGCATGACATTTTGAAATCAAATATGTTTTTAACAAAATAAAATGTTCAATATCATGATAGTTCCATATTGGACTATCATGATAGTTCCATATCAAATGTTCATCTTAAGCAGGATGAAATAAATGTGACTTTATTAAGATTACTTACACAGTATTGATTTGCAGGGGAAAATAATTTTGAAATTTTTTTAAATTATGTTTATCAGCCAGGTGCGGTGGCTCATGCCTGTAATCCAAGCACTTTCAGAGGCCGAGGCAGGTGGATCACCTGAGGTCAGGAGTTTGAAACCAGCCTGGCCAACATGGTGAAACCCCGTGTCTACTAAAAACACAAAAAATCAGCCGGATGTGGTGGTGGGCACCTGTAATGCTAGCTACTTGGGAGGCTGAGGCAGGAGAATCGCTTGAACCCAGGAGGTGGATTTCACAGTGAGCCGAGAGTGTGCCATTGCACTCCAGCCTGAGCAACAAGAGAGAAACTCTGTCTCAAGAAAAAAAAAATTATGTTGATTATATATGACACAAATATTAACACAAAAAATAAAGCTTTTTAGCTTATGGTGGCTGTAAATTTGGGTGCATAAAGTTAAAAGTTTATAAATGACAAAAGTAATTTAATAGTATGAAAAACAGGGCTGGACATGCTGGCTCACACTTGTAATCACAGTATTTGGGAGGCTGAGGTGGCTGGATTGCTTGAGCCCAGGAGTTCAAAACCAGCCTGGGCAACATGGCAAAACCCCATGTCCACAAATAAATAAATAAATAATAAATAAATAAATAATAAAAATAAAAATAAAAAATTAGCTGGTTGTGGTGGCATGTGCCTGTAGTCTCAGCCACTTGGGAGGCTAAGGTGGAGGACTGTTGAGACTGGGGAGGCTACAGTGAGCCATGATCATGCCACTCACTTCAGCTCAGCTGGCAAAACAACAAGACCCTGTCAAAAAAACAAACAAAAAGGTGAAAATCCAAAGACAATAAAATGTGTATATTTGGTAATGTACTTACATATTAACTCAATGCCTCTTTCCCAAATGATGGTATTTTTAGCCTCAATAAAACATAAAATTGAAGCTAAAACTCAAGTATAATGTTATATCTTTGGCAGATATCTATTTTGGTAGTAGAGCCTGTGTTTTTAAAATAAATTTTTCAATGAAAAAGTTTAAGAAAACTAGCATTCCTTGTTCAGTGACTGGATATATGCAAGGGGAAGCTGTGGAACACTTGACTGTTGAGAGAGAATGCATAGATCAGGGAAAGATTAGTATACGCCCTAGTAGTGTATGTCTGTGCATAGATCAAACTCCTTTTTGATTTTATGAATCTAGCAGGAACATTCAGTATCTATTTTATTGGTAAGGTGCTACCTAAAAATCCAATGATATTCATTTTTGAAAATAGCCCCATATAGTTGTTAACTTAGAATATATGGGACAACAATAATATGGGGCTATTCCCCCTATAGACCTTTAACTGAAATATCATTAATCATAGAATTTTAAGAAATTAAATGTAAAATGATAACATTTTAATAGATAATTAGAGAAAACATGTGTTGCATATGCTAATACTTAACTTTTTGTTACCTCAACAGATTACTTAACATAAAACTCAGGGACTTTTTTAAAAAATCAGGCTAAAATATTTTCACAGATAATATCTCTTTATGTTCTCTCCAAAATTTCTCTTCAGTTTTACATTTATCTTTCATATTCCCAATGATGGATGTGTGTTAATATCAGATATATTGATACTTGTTTTATTAATATTAGACTATTTTATTATTTTAAGGATGTATATATTTTTAGTAATGATGTAAAGATTGACACTTGGGAGGGCATTTGTTGTGTGTGGGCCTGCTGCGTGCACACACTCCCATGTTGCTTTTGGCAGTGTTGTGAACACATGGATGTATTAGAAATGATTTTGAACAATTGCAGTAAATTCTACTGTACCAGCACTACCTAATCTTCAATTTTCAGAAAACTTATTTCTACCAAATGCCATTCACTCTTTTAGTAATAGGATATTTTTGTTTCTCTTTTCACCAAATATACGTCCTTTTTCTATACAATAGTATTTTCCAAGGCAATAAATGCAACCTATATGGATTTTTTCGTTTTATGAGATAATATACTTTAAAAAATGTCAAACAAGCAAGTTTCATGAACTTTAAGCACACACACACAAACCACTTAAAAGTATAGGCCTTCCCTAGAAGTGTTTATGTTTATGCCCATTTTTATTTTAAAAACTTTTCTCCCCATTACTATGTGAATATCATGGTCACATGCAAGGCTATTTTCATGTTTCTCACTTCAATGGTATAAGTAGGCAGTGAGTTAAAATGCAGGCCGCAATGTCTGTGCTATGAATATTTATATATTTTGACATTTAGGAAGACTATTCCTTTCCATATTGTAACCCCTAGCAGTGTTTTAGTTGATATATTTCCAAAAATGGGGCAATTCATTTATACTGTGTCACTTTGGGCTTAAGGGACACATAACCTACCTTTTCACAGGCATAAAATTCAGTCGTCTTTTTTTCCTACTGCATGAATTATGCTTAGGAGCCTGTGGAGTAGCAAAGTGCTGTAATGCTTTCTGTTTCTACATTTATTTATCCCTAGGCAGCCACATTCACAGAACTGTAAGGGATATCAAGAAATTGCAGAATTTATATGGAGAATGACACCTTAAATATATGAAATAGTCTTTTCTTTCTTCTATTTCCAGAAAAAGAGAATCTCCAAGTTATTTTGGAAAATTGCTTAAGTTTCACAAATACAAGAAAATATTTTGGTCTTATGTAAATCTTCTCACTTTAGGTTAAATTTTTTCTTATACATTTTGAGGAAAATGGGATTCTTATAATCTTTCCCATAATTCGTTCAGGAAAAAGTAACAATATTACCCATAAGTCATTTCTTCATTTCTGATGATTGAAGCTGTTATAATTCCTTTTATTTATTCTTTCACTCATAGGATTGGAAACTTTTACTTTTTCAGTCATAGGATTGGAAAGTCAGTGTCTTTTTAGTATGCTTTGTGCTCCTGTAACAGAATATTATAGACTGGATAATTTATGAGAAACAGAAATATGTTTTCTTGTAATGATGGAGGCTCAGAAATCCAAGAAGAAGACGCTGGTAGGCTAGGTTGTCTGGTAAGAGCTGCGTCCTCAGAAGGGGAGAGAAATGGTATGTCCTCACATGGTGGAAGGCAGAAGGGCAAGAATGAAAGGCTAGTTGAAGCCCTGTTTATGTAGGCCTTAATTCCATTCATTAGGGGAGAATCCTTCATGATCTAATCACCTTTAAAAAGCTGCTCTTTTTAATACCATCACATTGGTTATTAAGTTTCAAAACATGAATTTTGGAGGGGACACATTCAAAACACAACAGTCAGAAATACTCAAAGAAAATAAATAAGTTCCATAACTTTTAAAGGTTTGCAAACATTACTGTAAGGTTTGTAGACCTTGGATTTAACTAGTCTCTGCTTATGTTCTTTCAGTATTTAATGTTTAAAGTTGTATTTCCAGGGTTTCATTTTTTTGTTGAGGCGAAAAGCATTAAATGTTTAATCTTAATACATATACAATGAATTTTGACAAATCAGTATACCTGTGCAACTAACACTTCAATCAAGTCGTAGAACTTTCATTAATACAAAAAGCTCCCTCATACCAACTTCCTGTCAACACCTACCCCAACAGGAAGCCACTGTTTTGACCCTGAACACCACAAATTAGTTTTCTGTGGTTTTGATGTTTATGTAAATGGAATTATATATTACTTCATTTTGGGGTTTGCCTTTTTCCTTATTTTTTTCTTTTTTTGTGTGTACAAACTTTTTAGAGACTCATCCATGCTGTTGTGTAAATCACTGGTTTACTCTTTTTGTTGCTGAATAATATTCCATTGTGTGAATGAGTTAATCCATTCCCTGTTGAAAGTCCTTTTGGTTCTTTCAAGTGATTGGCTATTATAAATAAAACTTCTATTCTTATACACATTTGTTTTGTATACATATGTTTTCATTTCTCCTGGGTAAATAACAAAGAGTAGAATTGCTGGGTCATCGAGTAGGTACATGTTTAACTATATAAAAAAAAAATGCCAAACACTTTTCCAAAGGTGGTTGAGTATTTTATATTATCATCAGCAATTGATGAAAATTCCAACTATTCCACCTCCTCATCTCTACTCTCTGTTATCAATCTTCGTGGTATTAGATATTCTAATGGGAATGATGAGGTATTCATATACCTCATGTTTATACCTCATTGAAATACCTTGTAAGTTCAATTTTCATTAAGCTGATGAATGATTTTGAACATATTTTCATGTCAAGTGCCTGTTCACGTGTTTTCTCCATTATTTTACTATTGAATACCATTTGTGGTATTTTATTTCCAGTTTTCCATGTGAAATTTTGAAAATTATTTCTACATTTTAGATACAAATTCTTTACCAGACACATTACTGATAATACTTTATTCCAGTATGGCTTATCTACTTATTCATTTAATGCTATTTCTGAGGAGCAAAAGTTTTTCTTGAAATGTAATTTATCAGTTGCTTTATGGTTACTATTGTTTGTGTTCTATATGAGATAAAGATTTACCTATCCCCAAATCACAACTTTCTCCCCATTTTCAAAATTTCTTAGTTTATTCACATAGGACATTTCCATATAAATTTTAGAATCAACTTGAAAATTTCTATCAAAAGAAAAATACCTGCTAGAGGCCAGGCACGGTGGCTCACACCTGTAATCCCAGCACTTTGGGAGGCCAAGGTGGGTGGATCACCTGAGGTCGGGAGTTCAAGACCAGCCTGACCAACATGGAGAAACCCAGTCTCTAGTAAAAATACAAAATTAGCCAGGTGTAGTGGCACAGGCACCTGTAATCCCAGCTACTCAGGAGACTGAGGCAGGAGAATCGCTTGAACCCTAGAGGTGGAGGTTGCAGTAAGCCGAGATCAGGCTTGGGCAACAAGAGCGAAATTCCATCTAAAAAAAAATAGCTGCTAGAATTTTTATTAAGATTGAGATAAATCTAGACACCTACTTGTGGACTATTGATAAACTACAGTATTGAGTCTCTTTGGGTATGAAATTTCATGCCTCTGATTAAACTCCTTTAGTCTCTCTGAACAAGACTTTTTGTTTTCAGTGTAGAAATTCTGCTTTCATTTTATTTAATTTTTTAAGGCTAGTTTAACAGAATTTTGAAATGTATTTTTTCTAGATTTTTACTCAAATCAATTGATTTTTAAAAAAATTTTCCTGACCTTACCTTTTGTCCTGAATCTTGCTAAATTCACTTTTGGTTCTTTTTTTTTTTTAATTTTCCATATTTCATAGGATTTTTCAGGTACATAGTAACATCTGACTATAATGGCAGCTATACTCTTTCCTTTCTGATAATTTACTTGTTTATTTATTTTGCTTTATTGTATCAAATAGAATTCTCAAAAATATTGAGTAAAAATAGTAAGAGTGAGAATGCCTTCCATTTTGTGATTTTAGAGGCAAAGTGTTCAATATTTTACCACTAAGTAGATCAGCTGTAGGTTTTCCATAATGAACTTTGATAAATTGAGAAAATTCTATGCTATTTTGAGATATTTGAGGGGTTTTATTTAGTCATGAATGAGCATTGATTCTGATAAATTGCTATTTAAACATCTGTTGAATTTAACACGTTGCCTCTTTTTCCTTTATCCTGCCAATAGAATGATTTACATAAGTTGATGAATAACTGTTAATCTGACTGCATTATTTGAATAAGCTCCACTTGGTCATATGTTTATAATGGTTTTTTATACATTGCTGGACACAATTTGATCATATTTTCTTAAGAATTTTTGGGTCTGTGTTCACGAGGAATAACGATCAGTAATTTTTTCTCTTGTAATGCATTTGTCAAGTTCTGGTTTAAAGATTTAGACTGTCTCATAAAACAGATTTGGGGAGTTCTCTCCTCTTCAACTTTCTGAAGGAATTTGTATAACAGCAGTATTATTCCTTCTATAAATGGTTAATAGAATTCACACAATGAAACAATTGTGCCTAAATTTACTTTTGGAGAAAATTTTGAATTCTAACCCGATGCTTTAGATTTCTGTTTCTGTGCAAATTATCTATTTCTGTTCATTTAAGTTTTTGTAATTTGTTTTCTTCAATAATTTGCCTATTTATTCTAAGTTGTATTAATTGGCATAAAGTTATTTTAATATTGCATTAATATATTTTTGTTGTTAGTAGAATTGGTAATAATGTGTTCTTTTTTGGTATCAGTAATTTTTTTATTTTTTCTCTTTGTGTTTCCTCATTTAGCCTTTCTAAGAGTTTATCAATTTCATTAATCTCATCAAAGAATCAACTTTGGCTTTGTTAATTTTCTATATTATTTGTCTGTTTTCTATGTCATTCATTTTGGTACTTATCTTTATTTCCTTCTTTCTATTTTCATTAAGTTTATTTTTATGCAGCTTCTTAAGGAAGTCTATTTGCTTATTAATTTTTAAATCTTTCTTCTATTCTAATATAAGCATTTAAGATCCACAATTGCTTCAAACCTAGCTTCTTATGCATTCCACAAACTGTTAGTTTTTTGTTGTTAATTCAATTTGAAATTTTTTTTGTAATTATCTTCTGAGTATTTTTCTTCAACTCATTGAATTTTTAAAGAAATATATTACTTAATTTCCAAGTATTAGGCATTTTAAAATATTTTCTGATTACTAATACCTAACTTATGTATAGTGTAGTCAGAAATATGCTCTGCAATATTTAATTATATTGAAATTTATTGAGATTTATGGTGTAGCATAAGGCCTATCATTGTAAAAATCCCATCTGCTCTCATCTGCGTGTTCTGCAGGTGTGGGGTACAATATTCTGTTAATGTCAATTTTGTAAAAGTGGTTCATGGTGCTCAAATCTCCATTCTCCCTATTTTCCTACCATTGTCATGTATTTTATATTAAGCAAATCCTAAATATCATTTACTTTAAATAGTTTTATTTTAAGGAAATTAAGAGAAAAATAATCTTCGTATTTCTTACATATTTGCTTTTACTGATTCTATATTTCTTCTTGTATATTCAAGTTTCCATGCTTGACCATTTTTTATAGTGCAGGTAGGTATACTAGTGATAAATTCTTTCTCCTTTTCCTATATAAAAATATTTCATTTTAGCTTCACAGAAACAAATTTGTTAACACTTAAGTAGTTTCTTTGACTATTTTTAATTTAGTTGAATTTCGAATTGCAAAATTTTTCAACAGCTCTCAGATGTTGGCCTTATTTGCTTAGATGTCTATTGAAAACATGTCCTAAAGTGAGAAACAGTTGAAAAATACAATGATGACATTATTTTAAATATTATATAGAACTTCAACTAATAGCCACTTTTATCTTTACTAATAAACAGTCTCAAATATTTTGTGCCTGTTAGGATAATAATGAAACTTCCCCAAACATTTGATTAGACTCTTAAATCTATTAAATTAAAAGTAAGACATCTCAGAATGCAAAATCATTCACTCTATGCTGGGTACAGGATATTTTTTCAGAAATCCATTGTATGGTAAACATATTGTAATCATGAATATTTTCCTCTAGTCTCCAGTCAGCTTCATGTAGCTCTTTAGAAGCATTGTTCTATACATACTTTCCTCTTGCTTGTGGCATTTAAGAATTAAACATAATATCTTCATTATGAGATCATAACATCATTTTGCCTTCTTATGAAACCTCCAAGGGGTAAGTTCTCACAAGTCACTAATAAAAGACATGACACACAAGAGCACCAAGTCATACCGAATGAGTTAGCTAACAGTTATCATACCCACTGGTGAGGCCATATCCATTATTTGCTTTTAACATCGCCTGTGGTTTCACCTAAAGCTTAAGACATCAGTTTCTTTCATGTGTTTGGATAATGTATCTAGAATGCCAACATGGTAGTAGAGGATTTATCTTAAATGAGCTGACTTCAGCAAAGTGTTCTTTTCCAGATGGACTCAAAGGGCATTTCAACTTCCTTCACAGTGAAAGTATTTTATTGCATTGGCTGAAATAGAATGTTGTCTGCCTAATATTTCATTCTTAACATTTTCCAAGCCAATTTCTATACTTTTCAATTTTGCCTTGAATGTTCTGAAAGTGCCACATTTCAGCTACTTGGCTATGCTTAGAAGTTTTACCCTTAAATTTGATGACCAGATGAATATGCATGTTTTGTCATAGTCTCATAGGATTTGTCATAGGTCACTAAATTTATCAAAAAAATTATGGTTATTTGACACAATTGACAGGAAATTTAGCCCTAAGTCTCTCTTGCTGACTTCTAGAAGACCCAGGTCTGGCCAGACAACAACAACAACAAAAGACTGTTCCTTGCACAAAGCTGCGTACTATTTATAAACTACATCATACAAATTATCAGCTCTGTCACTGTCCATAAAAAGAACTTTTGAAAAATGGCTACTGATAGATATGCCCATACAAATCAATTGTTGACCTTTGATATAGTCATTGATCACTGACTGTTAGGATTAGCACATTTGGATTTCATGTCTGGGGTTAACATCAACTATTACTGAACTTGAAGATATTTTTATAAATTAAAATGATGATTATATACTCTGCTCAATAGTAAGTAGTCTCCTACTTTTACGAAGGGACATATATAACCATTTTAAGCCTCAAACTCAATATCATAGGATATGGTTTAATTATTATTCATGTCCTGGTAAACTTTTTATCCGTGTTTAAAGCTATTTTCTCTCCCAGTAATAAAGATCTCTTTGGTTCCCAATAGGAGAATGAATAGTTAGGAGCCTGAGCAATAAGAATTGCATTTTAGGATAAATATCAGTAATGATTCTAAATAACTTATTATCAGGATGTGTTTTTGTGTACGGCTTTTAGTTTCTAACACTTAATATTATGTTTAAATGTGAATTTCTAATTAAAGTTTTAATTACATTCTACACTAAAACTTTATTTTTTTCTTTGCAGAAAATAGCACCTCAATATTTTTTCTAGACATGTTATAATCACCATTTGCTTATATATCTCTATCTATGGTCTATATATTAATATCATAATTGTCAATATCATCTTAGAAAATGGTAAGTAATCTTCTTTCAAAACAACATTCTAGTCTGCTAACTACATATTGCAAGAGACCCATGTATCACTTATAAAATAAGTAACATTTGAAAATTTTCATAACACTTGAGTATTCTCAAAGACAAGACATTTTATAATGTATGCTTTTGATTAATCTATTGGTTTTCTATAATTTTAATTGGGGTAGTGAATCATTTATTAAGAATGACTTACTGTACATTTCTGTATACTTTCAGATTGTTTTATGAACTGGAAATACTGATTGTCTCACAACAAGGTATTTAGTCTTAGAGCAAAATGGTTAGCTATGGTTTACCAGTCTGTTGTCCCTACAAAGTTAACCTTGTACAATCTGCTGTATAGTTTTATTTCAAAAAATCATATATTTATCTCATACAAACTTTTGGTACAGTGTAAACAGCCCAATCTTGGAATAGAGTACTTTGAATCATCATCATATGTGCTTCTTATTTTTATTTTTTTTATTCTTTGGGCTTGAGGCCTTCTTCCTTTGCCAATATTTTCAGATTTGTTGTAATGTGATACATGGGTTACCCTGCTTTCCCATATTCCATATGAGTTTATTAAATGGCACTGAGGTGCTTGTTTGTTCATCATCTCTCATATATGTTGGTTGAGCGTTTGAAATATAAAATCCTTAAATGACAATCACTTTAGAGAGATATTAGTTACCTGGTTTATCGACTCCAGTGCAGCGTGATTTCAGTTACAAGTAGAGCAGCTCATTGTTGCTACCATGCACTTGAGCAGTTTATTTCTCGTCACTCAAAGATGCCAGCATACCCAAATGAGCTGCAGAAATGGTTTCATAAGAATGAGTAGTCCTTTGCATATTGAATGTTTGTTAAACACTTTCTGATCAGTTCATTAATAACCATACGATGCTTGAAAATTTCTCTGTTGGTTAGATTTTACAAGTAAAAGCTTTGCAATAATGCATGAGGGCAGTGAGGTTGAAACGCAAAAAGAGAAAAAAAATTATCCAATTTTCTTCAAATTTTATCTTATAAAGTTTTTTTGTGCTGTGGTATCACATCATCAATAATGTAATGTTATTGGAAATTTCACTTGCGGTCTCATTATTTGGTATCTTAAAACTATCTTTTCTAAACTATACCCCAAAATGATAAAATGTCACCTGAGAAGTCCTCTATATTTGAAAATAAAAACACACAATACACAAGTTTGAAATAATTCTTTGACGTTTTTTTATTTAGAAAGTCTGTCTGCTTCACTAGTAGCAGGCTCCCACTTCATTCCTTAAATAATTGCTCTCCTCTCAAAAAATGATCATGCCGTAAAAGTTGAGACAGTAAAAGTTTATCAAAATATCTCAATTCTTGGGTATGATATAATTTCATTACAAAATTCAGAGTAATATTGTTTTTACATTTCTTAAAGCCTTATCTAGAATTTTACTCTGAGATGTAAAGAAAGTCGAAATGAGTTTACCTGAAAAAAATGTAAAAATCAGTATATGCAACTAAAACCTAATCATGGGGCCTGGGGTAATATGTTTATAGTTTTTTTTAATTTATCAATCCCAATAACAACCCTCATGGAAAAAGGTCAATCAGCAAAAAACAAGTAATCCTTTGGAAAAAAAGGATCCATTGTACATGGAAAACTTCCTACTTTTTTTTTTTTTTCCCTTGGGGGAGGTGTTGTCTCAGTTATTCCAAAGAAATTCATTCAAATTCCCTAATTAACTTATTCTTTACAAGTTAAAAAAAATCAATAGAATTTTAACATTATATTCTGCTTAATAAAATTTATTTCTCATGTCTGAATTTACAATTTTGCTTTTCTCAAATACAGAATTTACACTTTCATTTCAATTCATTCATACTGGGCTTAATAGTACTTCCTATTAAAATATTTTTATATTTTAATTTAAATTAGTTAATTGACTCCATAAACAAGACTAGTTTTTAAAGAGTGATTATTCATACTATAAAATAATTCATGATAAACATGATTTAATACATATTTTCAATCACTTTCCTTGGGCTATATTAAATTTCCCACTTAGACATATTTATATAAACATAAAACGAGAAACCTATGTAACTATATTATTTATATATTATTTTAAAGCCTTCACATGACTTCCCAAATATTGTGTTTCATATAAAAGATACTACCCCAGTCCCCAGAATTGGGTTTTAGCTACATACAGAAACTAAATACCTTAGAGTTCTGATGATAATAGCTATTTCTTGTGAGGTCTGTATGACTTAATTTCAAATTGTGTAGTTAAGAGGTAAAAAACAAATGAATAACACAAAACTTAAAAGCAATTTTGACATATAATTTAGCAACCTCAACTTTGGTAATAAATTAACCTAATCATTTACAATTACACTTGCCTCTTTAGCCATTCATACCATTTTTTCCCCACTAGAATACAATTGCTTCTCCCGTGAGAATATATAAATTTATGTTTTCTCTGAACTTTTCACCAACTCTCCAACTCTAACATAGCAAAATATAAAACTCCACATGTTAATAGCTGGGTGTGTGAGTTCATTGCATATCTGCTAAATCAATGAGTTGGATTTGATGCTGCCTTTTAAGCACACTTAAAGTATTTTTCTAACATAGAAGCATTCAATTATAAATCTAAGTAAAAATCCAGTACTGAAATAAAACCAAATTCCCAAGATGGAATTTAGCATGGTGTCCATCTAAAAAGAGAAAAATGCTTGAAAGTGACAGGTTTGTAGTTCAATTTAATTTTAACTAACTTATTGCCATTTTTCAATTTGAAGCCAATATTCACTTTAAGTTCATCTCAGAAGTTTAGATTATCATGAACATTTGACAATTTGTAATCGAATGCTTACAGGCTAAAGGGGTTTTGCTCTTTTATTTGATGGATTGTGTCATGCCAGAGTCTGGTAGTGCATTTTATTTGACCTTTCTCCTTAACTCCATTCATCTTAAACCCCTTGTCACATGAGTGACAGACCATCATAATGTGATGGAAGACAAAACTTCAAAAGGATGCATCACCTTGTCAGATAAATGCAGATCAGAAATTCTTTTTTAAATGTTTAGTAAGTTAAAGGACAGTTTAGGCTAAATTAGGTTGTAATATTGAAAGGTAGAAGAAGAGTAAATTTTAGAGATCAAAGCTCACTATTGAAATAACTCTAATAATATTTAGAAATGAAAATCAGAAAGACTTTTATGATCTTTCCCATACAGTTGTAAGTGACAAGATAGAATTTACTTAAGAAAAAGTCATAGGGAAAGAAAACATTTTAACTAGGTACCGTGTGTTTGTGTACACATACACACATAAACACCCCTTTATTAAACTTTGGGCATTTGTAAAGAAATGTGCTCTCATTGGGCATATTCACCAAAATGTAATTCATCTGGAGCTCCTGATACTGTTAAAAAAATTTGGTGGAACTGAAAATGGGTAGTTTTGTATTTCTTGGGAAGAAATCATCTATCTACTCACAAAACAGACATCACTGAAGTGGAGAAAGGAGTAGATTTCCTCATATTTTGTAGGTCATTCATCTTACATCAAAGACTTTTTATTATGAAGTCCTGCAAGATTCTCCACTTTGTGTGTTTATACCAATAGACAGAGGCCATTCATATTGTAAATCAATGAACTAGTTTCTTATTTTGGCAGGATCAGCAGTGATTTAGCAGTAGAGTGTGAGCACAGAGTAAAGATATTGACCTGACACATTTTATCCCTTCCCATGAGAATTTCTCCTATCCATGGAAGAAGAGAGAAATACAAAAGACAAAATAATCACAAGATAAAGATGCCATAGCCATGGAACAGAAATTAAGGAAAGCAAAGAGACCTGATTCTGTCACAAGATGCTGGAATCTGGTAATAGTGTTTTTCTATTATACGAGTGTCCAATAATACATACCCATACATATAAACATACACACATATACTGACAAATATCTTCTTTGTTTATAGATTTAGTTATCGAAGTCACAAAGTGTTTTTTGTTTTGGATAATAAAGCAATTCACAAAGATCAACAACAATAGACTCAATACACCTAAAATTTAACATATCTGAAATAAACACACAGGAATAAAGCATATGTTTCTGTTTTCTTTCTATGGTTGCATTATCCATCTAACTTGTATCATAAATCTTATCCAATTCTCTTCTCTTCATAAGGATATAAAATAACTGGTAGTCCAAAGTGGTTTGAAGGAAGGCTTTATGAGAGTTGATGTTAGGACACAAAGTGGTTGGTTATTAATAATATATTTGTTCTTTCCTTACCTAATAACTAGTCTTTGTCAAATAATACTTATTGACATAAATGAATTCCAGCAAGAAATAACACTTTTATTTAGTTATTATTGTTGAATGTGTGCATCATCTGCAAAATCTCTTATATAGTATTATTATTCCCTTCCTATTGCATTTAAAACTGAAATACAATTATATAAATATTATATATATTTAATTGGTAATTATTTTTGCTCTAAATTCTGAAAGCAACATCTTTCTGCTTCAATAAGTGCTCACTTATCATCAAGAATATTTTAAAATACGATGTAAATTTAGAAGACAATAACTTTTAAAATGCAAACTATTATCTCTAAAAGTATGCAGATAAATAAGATCTAGTATTTAATAGAACAGCAAGGTGACTATATTTAATAATAATATACTTATATATTTAAAAATAACTAAAAGGATATAATTTGATTTTTTTGGAACAAGAATGATTAATGCTTGAGGTGATAGAGTTCTCATTTACCCTGATGCAATTATTACATATTGTAAGCCTGGTCAAATTATCCCATATGCCCCATAAATATATATACCTACTATGTACTATTACCCACAAAAATTAAAAGTAAAATGAAATTTTAAAAATGCTTAAAAAGAGTAAAATAAAAGATGATATGTTACCCAATAATTAAGTAAAGAAATGTGTTAACAAGCAAATTTGTGAAAATTGAAAATATTTTAAGGCTGGCATTTTTCATCAATAAAGTGCTTGAACATCACCTAGGTTAACAGAGTCAATCTCAACTCTATTTCCTGTGACAGAATACTCCATGGTTCTGCTCCTATTAATATCCAAGCTCTTACAAAGAGTAATTACCATTTCAGTAATTCTGCTTTGTGTACATGTTATTATTATTATTACCATTAACACACAAATTAGTGCATTAAAATGTATACAGATGTATATGAATAAACGCACAGTTTAAAAAATTTTATGAAATGAACACTTGAGCAAACACCAGCCTGGTTAGAAAATATAACAGGATTCTCAATGCCCTACATGAATACATCTACCGGCTTCACTAACATTGTGAAGAACTATTCTCCTAACTTTAATGATAAATATTTACTTCCTTTGCTTTTGCTTCTATTTACTGATTTGTAAATCACTAAAAAATTATTGTCAGTTAACATAATTTATTAATATAATTGAACCATATATATTCATATATCTTCCTCTTCTAAAATAATGTTTTAATGCATTTTGTGAATAACCATAATTTATTCATTTGTGTCGCTGCAACATGCATATCACAATTCATTTACTGATTTTAGTACTGAGGAATCATTGAGATGTTTTTTAGCATTTGTTTATGCAAAGCTGCCATGAACACTCTTGTCCATGTCTCCTGGTTCACGTATGTATTGATTTTCCTTGGGAATTAATTTGAATGGAATTGCTCATCACAGACTAAACATGTCTTAAAATTTCTAATACTATCTACCTATCTCGAAAGTCTTTCAACCAATTTTAATGCCATGAGGCATTATTCTTCAATTGTCTCATCAACCTTTTGGATTGATGAACTTTGTTTTCCTTTCAATTTTTTGAGTGTATTGCAGTATTTCTCTGTGGTTTTAATTTGAATTATTGTATTAATAATGAAGTTAAGCACTGGGCTTTCATTTATTTGCCATCTGTATTTCCTCTTTTGTAAAGAGCGTGTTCAAGTTGTTTGCCCATTTTGCTAATAGGTTTAGTTTTTTTCTTATTGATCCTTAGAAGTTCTTTATATGTTCTGGATACTAAGATATTAGGTCCAACTTGTGAAAAATATCACTTTCTACAATTTGGCTAAAATTTTAACTGTTTCTATAATTTATTTTGAAGAAAGATAGTCTGTTTAAGGCAGCCTCAAATTAAATCTTTTCTTTATGATGAACACTGTTTCTCTTTGTTTTGGAAGTCTCAACCTATTCAAAAAACACGAAGATACTACGCTTTATTATTTTGTAAATATTTTACAGTGGTGGCTTTATGTTTAAGTCTTTCAGTCATCCAGGATTGATTTTTGTTTACTTTATAAGAGCGGTCATTTTTTTTCTATATGGATACTGTATTGTACCACAATAATTTTTTGAAGAACTCTGTTTATTTTCCACCAATATGTGGTTCTACCTGTGTAATATATCCAGTATCCATGTATACTTTTTAAAAGGTTTATCTTTTCTGCTCAGTTGTCTTATACATTTATCGTTATATAATTTTAATGATCTTTCATTTATTATAGCTTTATAATTAATGGAATTATCAGGTAAGTCAAGTTTCCCCTAGTTACACATCCTTCCCTTCAGATTTTTTGGTCTATGCCTTTACTTTTTTTTTAAGTTTCAAAATTTTAATTGAAAAAGTTGACAAAATCTGTGAAATTTTACCAAAGTTATTTGAAACTATAGATATTTTAAAGTAAACCATCATTAAAATATCATATTTTCAACCATTTATTTAGGTTTTTATAAATGTCTCTCAACTCAATTTTATAAATTAATCTATATATAATTTTTAGACACTCATTGACTCTATTTTGATACAGGTATTTCCTAATTTTTTGCTGATACTCCTTTTCCACGGTTACTATCAGTGACTAAAATCAAGAATATCATTTTAGTACTCATCTTGCTTGACCTATCAGCAATATTGAGAGAGCTGTACCTGCCTTCACGGAGTTCTCTTTCCTTTTCTTTCCTTACACTGCACATTCTTGGTTTTCCTTTTACCATGATAACCATTTTATTTTCAGCTTTCTTTGGCAGATCTTTTAAGGCCTCTTTCTTATATCTAAACTATTTATTCAGCTAATTTCTTCCTCTTCTGCTTACCAGTGTTAAAATAAAAAACTTCAGACAAATTACATTAAGCAGAGTTTAATTGAGCAAAGAACAATTCATGAACTGGGCAGCATTTTTCAGAATGAGGAAAGATTCCAAGAGCTCCACCTACCAACCTGGGCAGGCTGTCTTTACAGAAAGAAGAAGGAAATGACAACAGAAACAGTTTGATTGGTTACAGCTTGGCATTTGCCTTGTTGGACATAGATCAATTGGCATCCCATAAATGGCTGAAGCTCAGTTACTGTGATTGGCTGAGATTCAGCTATTTGTTAGAAGAATACATTCTTAGGTTAGCTTGCAATTTATTTACATACTAAGTTATATTGCAATTTGCTATGTATTAATTTAAAGTACAAGGGCAGCTTTAGGCCAAATATAATTTAATTTAATACTAACAAAATGTAATTTAAAAAATTCTCCAGACCTTTCTGATAGATCACTTTAAAAATAAGCTTTCAATACTGATTTATTAGAGTCATCCCAATATTAACATGCCTGTAATTGAACCCTTGATCCCAAATTTAAATAAAAAGAAAAAATGACATTTAAAACATTTCTCTTCTATCTCAGTAACTTATACCAACTGCAAAATGTATAGAGTTGCTAAAATACATTGCATCATTCCTAAAATATTTCACTGTTTCCTCTTGGTTTTAGAAAATAAATCCAAATTACTTGACATGACTGCAAGAACATGATTACCTAACCCTTACATCTGTATTTATTAACCTATTTTCCCACTCTCTTTTCTTATTGTCTTTAATCTGTTGTTATTTTCTTCAAATTTTTAAAATACTCTCAAATGTTTTTCCTTTTGACAAATCTCTTCCTTTCTCTTTATAAATTCTATTTACTATTCTGTTCTTAGCTTAAATGTCACTTTCACAAAAAGGCTTTCCATGACTACTCAGCTCTAACTAAAATCTCCCCATGTTATTATTTAAAATCCTGTTGTTTGGGCTGGGCATGATGGGATGGCTCACACCTGTAATCCCAGCACTTTGGGAAGGCGAGGTGGGTGGATCACATAAGGTCAGGAATTTGAGACCAGCCTGGGCAACATGGTGAAACCCTGTCTCTACTAAAACTACAAAAATTAGCCAGGTGTGGGTGGCATGCACCTGTAGTCCCAGCCACTCAGGAGTCTGAGTCTGGAGACTTGCTTGAACCCAGGAGGCAGAGGTTGCAGTGAGCCAAGATCATGCTACTGCACTCCAGCCTGGGTGAAAGAGCAAGACTACATCTCAAAAATAAATAAATAAAAATAAAATAAAATCTTGTTGTTTGTATATGTGCATATGTGTTTATTCTTAAATTAGATTATAAACTGTGTAAGAGCTCAAAGAGTGATTAGTATGTATTACTTTCTTACAAAATAGTTATGGAATAAATGACTTGATCTGAAATGGAATATTGTCGGTACTTAAAGCTATATTTGATTAATTTCTATTCTTTGTGGCAATACACACTCTTTTAAAAGACTTCCAGTAGTAAAAGGCTATATTTACAGGAACCAACCCTAGCAATTCTTAGTTTAATCCTGGGATTATTGGTGTGAATTATTGTTCAAGAATTTAAAGACTACAATTTTTTGCATATTAATTTTTTATATTACTAAGGGAGGCAAGCTTTCTTTTGTTTTGTTTTTGTTTTTGTTTTGTTTTGTTTTGTTTTGAGACTGAGTCTCACTCTGTCACCAGGCTGGAGTGCAGTGGCACGATCTCAGCTCACTGCAACCTCTGCCTCCCAGGTTCAAGTGATTCTCCTGCCTCAGCCACCTGTGTGGGAGGTAAGCTTTTAATAATTCATATACTCACACAATATTGAAAGCTTAAATTTATAGATCATATTATATCCTTCACATATTTTATGCACAATGTATTTACAATTCATATATAAAATTAGACCATAAAGTTAATAGGAAATATGTTGTGCCTAAGAGTATGAGTCTGGATTCTATTTTATGATAAATTCTGAGATACAGATTCATAATTTACTGACTGGAACTAGATATTACTTCATAGTAACTGTTGGCCTTGATGAACTTTTAATCGTCAAGGTTTTCCTGACCAGTATTTTCCACTTCTAGATAATTTTTAATTGATACAGAATATTCTCAGGCTACCTATCTAGTAATTTCTTTTGCATTTAAAATGGATTACTTCTGCAAAGCAAAGGACACCAATTATCTGCTTAACAGTGAAATGATTTCCATTTAAAGTAACTGTCAATAATATTTTTTTTAAAAAAACAGGATTATAAAATGTTTAAAATAACTAAAGTGTTAAAAGAATGTGCCTTCTAAAACCTTGATTTTACACAAAAATAATTTTTAGACTGAAAAATTGTAATATACTCAATCAGTTTTTAGAGCTTTTAAGTTTTAACATTTCTTTCTATATTTTGTATTATTTTTGGAAAGATACAAGAAGGGTAAATTTTAAAAACACCTTAAATAACAATCAAACTTGAATTATTGCTGTGCCCTCTGAATATTCACAAATACCTTATCAGATTAAATGAGAATGCCATATGTAAAAGCAATAAAAGGTATATTTATCCGCTAGAAATGCCTTAAGAAAAGTACCACAGATGAGGTGACTTAAACAACAGAATTTTTTTTTTTTCTAATAGTTCTGGAGGCTGAAAGCCCCAAGATCAAATTGCTTTCAGGGTTTGTTGATTTCTGATCAGGGCTCTCTTTCTGGTTTGCAGACAGCTCCCTTCTCACTATGTTTTCACATCACCTTTTCTCTGTCTCTGCATACTCCTGGTATTTCTTTTTCTCTCTCTTTCTCTTTAATCAAATAAGGACACCATTCCTATTGGATTAGCGTCCCTCCTATATGACCTCACTTAAGCTTAATTGTCTACTTAAAGGTCCTGTTTTCAAGTATCCTCACCTTGGGGATAAGGGCTTCAAATGCCATTTTGAAAGGACACATTTCAGTCCATAATAAAGGATATTTACAGTAATGACAAATTCATTTAAATTTTTTGTTGAAAATAAGAACTGACAGTTTGCAAACAATAGGCACACAGAAAACTGTTTGTGATTTTTCCAAATAAAAACTAAAACTGGGGAGAGGAGCAGAGCAAGATCACAGAGTAAAACTTTGGGGTGGAAAATTCTCTGCAGAAACCTTACAGGGCAGGACATAATTGGGTGATATATCCAAAATGCTG
The DNA here is from genome assembly GCF_000001405.40 of Homo sapiens. Classification (NCBI taxonomy): domain Eukaryota; kingdom Metazoa; phylum Chordata; class Mammalia; order Primates; family Hominidae; genus Homo; species Homo sapiens. Next base: position 106,432,271 of record NC_000005.10, on the reverse strand, counting down.
AAAGAAAGTAAAACCAACAACAACCTTTCAATCAAGAAGGCAGTACCCAGCAAAGCTATGTTTCAGAAAGAAGAATAAATAAAGACGTTCTCAGACAACAAAAGCTGAAGGAGTTTATTAACATCAGAACTGTCTTACAAGAAATAATAAAAGGAGTTCTTCAAGCTGAAAGAACACTGTACAAATGAGTAACATGAAAACATGAAAATATGAAACTAGAAAAGTAAGCATACAGTCAAACTCAGAATACTCTAATACTATAATAGTGATCTGTAAATCTATTATATTTTTAGTATGAAGGCTAAAATACAAAACAACTAAAACTAATAATAGCCACAGTAATTTTTTACAGACTAGGAAATTTATAAAAATGTATAAATGGTGACATCAAAAATTCAAAATGTTCTGTGGAGTAGAATAGAGCTGTACAGTTTTTTTTTCTTTTTGCAATTAAAGTTAAATTGTTTTCAGCTAAATATAGCCTTTTATAACTATAAGAACTTTTTGCCAGCCTCATAATAACAACCAAACAAAAGCAATAGAAAATACATAAAAAAGGCAAGAAATTAAAGCATACCACTATAGAAATTACTTAGCATCAAAAGACAGCAAAAGAAGAAGAAAAGAATGAAAAATCTACAAAACAACTAAATAACAATTAATAAAATGGCAGTAATAAGTTCTTACCAGATAGTAATTTCTTCAAATTAAATGAATTATATTCTGCAAATGAACGACCAAGTGGATAAATGTATTACCAAAAAGAACCAACTATATGCTGCCTAGAAGAGACTTACCTCACCTTTAAGGACACACAGAGAATAAAAGTGATAGAAAAAAAGGTATTCCATAAAAATGAAAATTAAATAAGTACAAGAATGGTTATATCCGGGGGAGGAGCCAACATGGCCGAATAGGAACAGCTCCGGTCTACAGCTCCCAGCGTGAGCGACACAGAAGATGGTGATTTCTGCATTTCCAACTGAGGTACCGGGTTCATCTCACTAGGGACTGCCAGACAGTGGGCGCAGGTCAGTGGGTGCGTGCGCCGAAGCAGGGCGAGGCATTGCCTCACTTGGGAAGCGCAGGGGTCAGGGAGTTCCCTTTCTGAGTCAAAGAAAGGGGTGACAGATGGCACCTGGAAAATCGGGTCACTCCCACCCGAATACTGCACTTTTCCAATGGGCTTAAAAAACGGTGCACCATGAGATTATATCCCGCACCTGGCTCGGAGGGTCCTACGCCAACGGAGTCTCGCTGATTGCTAGCACAGCAGTCTGAGATCAAACTGCAAGGCAGCAGCAAGGCTGGGGGAGCGGCGCCTACCATTGCCCAGGATTGATTAGGTAAACAAAGCAGCCTGGAAGCTACCACAGCTCAAGGAGGCCTGCCTGCCTCTGTAGGCTCCACCTCTGGGGGCAGGGCACAGACAAACAAAAAGACAGCAGTAACCTCTGCAGACTTAAATGTCCCTGTCTGACAGCTTTGAAGAGAGCAGTGGTTCTCCCAGCACGCAGCTGGAGATCTGAGAACAGACAGACTGCCTCCTCAAGTGGGTCCCTGACCCCTGACCCCCCAGCAGCCTAACTGGGAGGCACCCCCCAGCAGGGGCACACTGACACCTCACACGGCAGGGTATTCCAACAGACCTGCAGCTGAGGGTCCTCTCTGTTAGAAGGAAAACTAACAAATAGAAAGGACATCCACACCAAAAACCCATCTGTACATCACCATCATCAAAGACCAAAAGTAGATAAAACCACAAAGATGGGGAAAAAACAGAACAGAAAAACTGGAAACTCTAAAAAGCAGAGCGCCTCTCCTCCTCCAAAGGAACGCAGTTCCTCACCAGCAACGGAACAAAGCTGGATGGAGAATGACTTTGACGACCTGAGAGAAGAAGGCTTCAGACGATCAAATTACTCTGAGCTACGGGAGGACATTCAAAACAAAGGCAAAGAAGTTGAAAACTTTGAAAAAAATTTAGAAGAATGTATAACTAGAATAACGATTACAGAGAAGTGCTTAAAGGAGCTGATGGAGCTGAAAACCAAGGCTCGAGAACTACGTGAAGAATGCAGAAGCCTCAGGAGCCAATGCGATCAACTGGAAGAAAGGGTATCAGCGATGGAAGATGAAATGAATGGCATGAAGTGAGAAGGGAAGTTTAGAGAAAAAAGAATAAAAAGAAATGAGCAAAGCCTCCAAGAAATATGGGACTATGTGAAAAGACCAAATCTACATCTAATTGGTGTACCTGAAAGTGATGGGGAGAATGGAACCCAGTTGGAAAACACTCTGCAGGATATTATCCAGGAGAACTTCCCCAATCTAGCAAGGCAGGCCAATGTTCAGATTCAGGAAATACAGAGAAAGCCACAAAGATACTCCTCGAGAAGAGCAACTCCAAGACACATAATTATCCGATTCACCAAAGTTGAAATGAAGGAAAAATGTTAAGGGCAGCCAGAGAGAAAGGTCGAGTTACCCTCAAAGGGAAGCCCATCAGACTAACAGCAGATCTCTCGGCAGAAACCCTACAAGCCAGAAGAGAGTGGAGGCCAATATTCAACATTCTTAAAGACAAGAATTTTCAACCCAGAATTTCATATCCAGCAAAACTAAGCTTCATAAGTGAAGGAAAAATAAAATACCTTCCAGACAAGCAAATGCTGAGAGATTTTCTCACCACCAGGCCTGCCCTAAAAGAGCTCCTGAAGGAAGCAATAAACATGGAAAGGAACAACCGGTACCAGCCGCTGCAAAATCATGCCAAAATGTAAAGACCATCAAGACTAGGAAGAAACTGCATCAACTAACGAGCAAAATAACCAGCTAACATCATAATGACAGGATCAAATTCACACATAACAATATTAACTTTAAATGTAAATGGGCTAAATGCTCCAATTAAAAGATACAGACTGGCAAATTGGATAAAGAGTCAAGACCCATCAGTGTGCTGTATTCAGGAAACCCATCTCACGTGCAGAGACACACATAGGCTCAAAATAAAAGGATGGGGGAAGATCTACCAAGCAAATGGAAAACAAAAAAAGGCAGGGGTTGCAATCCTAGTCTCTGATAAAACAGACTTTAAACCAATGAAGATCAAAGGAGACAAAGAAGGCCATTACATAATGGAAAAGGGATCAATTCAACAAGAAGAGCTAACTATCCTAAATATATATGCACCCAATACAGGAGCACCTAGATTCATAAAGCAAGTCCTGAGTGACCTACAAAGAGACTTAGACTCCCACACAATAATAATGGGAGACTTTAACACCCCACTGTCAACATTAGACAGATCAACGAGACAGAAAGTCAACAAGGATACCCAGGAATTGAACTCAGCTCTGCACCAAGCAGACCTAATAGACATCTACAGAACTCTCCACCCCAAATCAACAGAATATACATTTTTTCAGCACCACACCACACCTATTCCAAAACTGACCACATACTTGGAAGTAAAGCTCTCCTCAGCAAATGTAAAAGAACAGAAATTACAACAAACTATCTCTCAGACCACAGTGCAATCAAACTAGAACTCAGGATTAAGAATCTCACTCAAATCCGCTCAACTACATGGAAACTGAACAACCTGCTCCTGAATGACTACTGGGTACATAACAAAATGAAGGCAGAAATAAAGATGTTCTTTGAAACCAACGAGAACAAAGACACAACATACCAGAATCTCTGGGACACATTCAAAGCAGTGTGTAGAGGGAAATTTATAGCACTAAATGCCCACAAGAGAAAGCAGGAAAGATCCAAAATTGACACCCTAACATCACAAGTAAAAGAACTAGAAAAGCAAGAGCAAACACATTCAAAAGCTAGCAGAAGCCAAGAAATAACTAAAATCAGAGCAGAACTGAAGGAAATAGAGACACAAAAAACCCTTCAAAAAATTAATGAAACCAGGAGCTGGTTTTTGGAAAGGATCAACAAAATTGATAGACCGCTAGCAAGACTAATAAAGAAAAAAAGAGAGAAGAATCGAATAGACGCAATAAAAAATGATAAAGGGGATATCACCACCGATCCCACAGAAATACAAACTACCATCAGAGAATACTACAAACCCCTCTACGCAAATAAACTAGAAAATCTAGAAGAAATGGATAAATTCCTTGACACATACACTCTCCCAAGACTAAACCAGGAAGAAGTTGAATCTCTGAATAGACCAATAACAGGAGCTGAAATTGTGGCAATAATCAATAGCTTACCAACCAAAAAGAGTCCAGGACCAGATGGATTCACAGCTGAATTCTACCAGAGGTACAAGGAGGAACTGGTACCATTCCTTCTGAAACTATTCCAATCAATAGAAAAAGAGGGAATCCTCCCTAACTCATTTTATGAGGCCAGCATCATTCTGATACCAAAGCCAGGCAGAGACACAACAAAAAAAGAGAATTTTCGACCAATATCCTTGATGAACATTGATGCAAAAATCCTCAGTAAAATACTGGCAAAACGAATCCAGCAGCACATCAAAAAGCTTATCCACCATGATCAAGTGGGCTTCATCCCTGGGATGCAAAGCTGGTTCAATATACACAAATCAATAAATGTAATCCAGCATATAAACAGAGCCAAAGACAAAAACCACATGATTATCTCAATAGATGCAGAAAAAGCCTTTGACAAAATTCAACAACACTTCATGCTAAAAACTCTCAATAAATTAGTTATTGATGGGATGTATTTCAAAATAATAAGAGCTATCTATGTCAAACCCACAGCCAATATCATACTGAATGGGCAGAAACTGGAAACATTCCATTTGAAAACTGGCACAAGACAGGGATGCCCTCTCTCAGCACTCCTATTCAACATAGTGTTGGAAGTTCTGGCCAGGGCAATTAGGCAGGAGAAGGAAATAAAGGGTATTCAATTAGGAAAAGAGGAAGTCAAATTGTCCCTGTTTGCAGACGACATGATTGTATATCTAGAAAACCCCGTTGTCTCAGCCCAAAATCTCCTTAAGCTGATAAGCAACTTCAGCAAAGTCTCAGGATACAAAATCAATGTACAAAAATCACAAGCATTCTTATACACCAATAACAGACAAACAGAGAGCCAAATCATGAGTGAACTCCCATTCACAATTGCTTCAAAGAGAATAAAATACCTAGGAATCCAACTTACAAGGGATGTGAAGGACCTCTTCAAGGAGAACTACAAACCACTGCTCAAGGAAATAAAAGAGGATACAAACAAATGGAAGAACATTCCATGCTCATGGGTAGGAAGAATCAATATCGTGAAAATGGCCATACTTCCCAAGGTAATTTACAGATTCAATGCGATCCCCATCAAGCTACCAACGCCTTTCTTCACAGAATTGGAAAAAACTACTTTAAAGTTCATATGGAACCAAAAAAGAGCCCGCATCACCAAGTCAATCCTAAGCCAAAAGAACAAAGCTGGAGGCATCACACTACCTGACTTCAAACTATACTACAAGGCTACAGTAACCAAAACAGCGTGGTACTGGAACCAAAACAGAGATATAGATCAATGGAACACAACAGAGCCCTCAGAAATAACGCCGCATATCTACAACTATCTGATCTTTGACAAACCTGAGAAAAACAAGCAATGGGGAAAGGATTCCCTATTTAATAAATGGTGCTGGGAAAACTGGCTAGCCATAGGTAGAAAGCTGAAACTGGATCCCTTCCTTACACCTTATACAAAAATCAATTCAAGATGGATTAAAGACTTAAACGTTAGACCTAAAACCATAAAAACCCTAGAAGAAAACCTAGGCATTACCATTCAGGACATAGGCATGGGCAAGGACTTCATGTCTAAAACACCAAAAGCAATGGCAACAAAAGACAAAATTGACAAATGGGGTCTAATTAAACTAAAGAGCTTCTGCACAGCAAAAGAAACTACCATCAGAGTGAACAGGCAACTTACAAAATGGGAGAAAATTTTCGCAACCTACTCATCTGACAAAGGGCTAATATCCAGAATCTACAATGAACTCAAACAAATTTACAAGAAAAAACAAACAACCCCATCAAAAAGTGGGTGAAGGACATGAACAGACACTTCTCAAAAGAAGACATTTATGCAGCCAAAAAACACATGAAACAATGCTCATCATCACTGGCCATCAGAGAAATGCAAATCAAAACCACAATGAGATACCATCTCACACCAGTTAGAATGGCAATCATTAAAAAGTCAGGAAACAACAGGTGCTGAAGAGGATGTGGAGAAATAGGAACACTTTTACACTGTTGATGTGACTGTAAACTAGTTCAACCATTGTGGAAGTCAGTGTGGCAATTCCTCAGGGATCTAGAACTGGAAATACCATTTGACCCAGCCATCCCATTACTGGGTATATACCCAAAGGACTATAAATCATGCTGCTATAAAGACACATGCACACGTATGTTTATTGCAGCATTATTCACGATAGCAAAGACTTGGAACCAACCCAAATGTCCAACAATGATAGACTGGATTAAGAAAATGTGGCACATATACACCATGGAATACTATGCAGCCATAAAAAAGGATGAGTTCATGTCCTTTGTAGGGACACGGATGAAATTGGAAAACATCATTCTCAGTAAACTGTCGCAAGAACAAAAAACCAAACACCGCATATTCTCACTCACAGGTGGGAATTGAACAATGAGATCACATGGACACAGGAAGGAGAATATCACACTCTGGGGACTGTTGTGGGGTGGGGGAATGGGGGAGGGATAGCATTGGGAGATATACCTAATGCTAGATGACAAGTTAGTGGGTGCAGTGCACTAGCATGGCACATGTATACATATGTAACTAACCTGCACAATGTGTACATGTACCCTAAAACTTAAAGTATAAAAAAAAAAAAGAATGGTTATATCCACAGCAACTAAACCAGACTTTCAAAAGTGTAAAAAGAGACAAAGAAGGGCATTATTTAATAATAAAGGGGTAAATTCATTTAGATGATACTATATTTATAAATATATACTGAATATTGGAGCACCTAAATATATAAAGCAAATGTAAATATTTCTGAAAGGAGAGCTAGACAACAATACAATACTAGTAGGGAATTTAAACACCAGAATTTTTCTGTCATCTAGACAGAAAATAAATCAACATCCTAGTTAATCTACATTCTAGATCAAATGAACCTAACAGACATATACAAAACATTCCATCCAACAGCTGAAGAATGTACATTCTTCTCAACTGCACATGAGACAATCTCTAGGACAGATCACACGTTAGGCCACAAAACAATTCTTGAATAATATAAGATTTTAAAATTTATATTGAGTATTGTTTCTGACCACAATGGTATAAAACAAGAAATCAATAATAGGAGAAGCTTCAGGAAATTCACAAATATGTAGAAATTAAACAACATGTTCTTCAACAACCAATAGGTCAATGAAGAAACTAAAAGAAAAATTTTAAATTTATTGAGACAAAAAAAAACAACACACATACCAAAACCTATGGGATACAGCAAAATCAGTTCAAAGACAGAAGTTTATAGTGACATATAGCTACACCAAAAAAGAAAAAAAAAGATCTCAAATAAAACACTTAATGTTGCATCTCAGGGAACCAGAAAAACAAGAATAAACTAAGCACAAACTTTGTAGAAGAAAGAAAATAATAAAAATTAGAGTAGAAATAAATGAAGTAGGGACTAGAAAAACAATATAAAAGATCAACAAGTTTATGAGTTGTTTATCTGAAAAGATAAATTGAGAAACCTTTAGCTAGACTAAGAAAAACAAAAAAGACAAATAGATAAAATCAGAAAGAAAAAGGAGACATTATAGCTGATACAAAGAAATACAAAGTATCATGAGACTATTATGAACAACTATATGTAACAAATTGGATAATATAGAAGAAATTGATACATTCTTTGATGCATACAACCTACCAGGAGTGAGTTATGAAGAAAATAGAAACTCGCAAGAGACCAGTAACAAGTAAGGATGTTGAATTAGTAATAAAATGCCTCAAATCAAAGAACAGCCAAAAACCTCATCACTTCACTGCTGAATTCTATCAGTCATTTAAATAACTAATACTAATTCTCCTCAAACTCTTTCAAAAAAAATAAAGAGGAAGAAATACTTACAAAATTATTTTATGAGGCCAGCTAAGCCTGATGCAAAACCAAATATATCACAAAAAAAGAAAACTGCAGGCTGAGACCCCTTGATGGGTATAGAAGCAAAAATCCTCAGCAAACTTCTGCCAAACTGAATTTAACAGGACAGAAAAAAGATCATTAACATGACCAAATGGTACTAAATCCAGGGCTGCAGGAATGGTTCAACATACTGTCACAGGATCCTTTGGGTGTCGCTTCACTAGACAGAAACCTCTGTGGTTGGTGGGGCCTCTGCCTGAGTTTTGATCATGCCTGCTGGGCTTGTTCCACCCACTCAGCCCAGCAGGCTGCATCTGGTTCACACTACTGACCTGGATCCCACACCTGCCAAGGGCAAGCCAGGCGCACAGCAGCAAACCATGTGTGAGTGACTGAACATGGGGTCCGGCCACTGTGCACAGTCATGCATGTCAGCTGCTGCAGTGGGGCAGGCAGCTTCAGGCACTGGCACAGGCGTTGGCTCTGTGTGAAGCTGTGGCTGGACCAGACATACCGCAAGCAACTTCCGCTGCAGGCACCAGCATCTGAATGAGGGAAATGTGGTGGTGCCTGAAAGCTCAGAGACGCCAGGAACTGCAGAGTCCCAAAGAGTGTGTTAGGGCATGTCACAGCCCTGGCTCAGGAAGCCCTGAGGTCTGAACTCCCAGAAGGGCTGCAGCTCTTTTCTCCTCCTTCTTTTTGTCATCTGCAGCACGGTAAGTAAGGGGGTAGGTTTGTTGCAGGCCCATTTGTGTTACAGCTATTTCAGTCTTACTGCCCTGCTCTGGCCAGTGGCTCCTGGGCTGGTCCAGCCTCACCACTGCTTGGTGTTGTGTGGGTCAGCCACCCAGCACCAGCAGAGGGTGAGAGGGCTATAGTGTTACAGCTCTGGTTCAGGGAGTCCTAAGGTCTGGGACCCCAGAAGGGTCATCACTTTTCACTCCCACGATCTGGGAGCATGTCATCACCCACAGCCTGGTAAGCCAGCCAGGAATGTGTTAAAGCCCCTTTCATGCCTGCTGTTTGGCAGTCCCGAGTTCTTGTCCCATGTCCAGGAAGAATGAGGTTACATGGACAATTAGAGGGTGAGCAAGGTGGAGAAGAGCTTTACTGGGTGACCAAAAGGCTGTCCGCAGAGAGGAGACACAAAGTGGGTATATCCTATCAGCAGTAAGGTGGTCCCAAGGAGTGTCTAATCTGGCTGGATAAAGCATCACTTGATTGACCAAAAGGCACCAAGAAAGTTCTCATTCCTGGTGGAGGACTTCACCTGGAACTGGAAGCCCAACCCCATAGGTTCAGGCCATCCCTGGCTTGAAGGTGCTGTTTCACTAGGGACCCACCCCTTCCTGCCTAGGAAACTGTCTGCCTCTCGCCACCAATGTCTAAATTAACAAATGTGAAACATCACTTTAATAGAATAAGGAACAAAATTCATACACTCATTATAATAGATGCAGAAAATGCATTGAATACAATTTAACTTTATTTTATTGTTAAAAACACTGAACAAATCAGGTATAGAATGTACCTAAACACAAGAAAGACTATATAAGACAAAGCAATAGCTAACATAATATTCAACAGTGAAAATTTGAAAGCTTTTTCTCACAGATCTGGAATAAGACAAGAATGCCCACTCTTGCTCCTTTTATTTAATATAGAACTTCAGGTTTTAACCAGGGCAATTAGGCAAGAGGAAGAAATAAAAGATATCCAAATCATAAATGAATAAGTTAAATTGTCTGTCTTTGCAAATATGATGTTATAATATAGAAAACCCTAAAGATGCCACCAAACAACTACTAGGATTAATAAAAGAATTCAGTCAAGTTGCAGAATAAAAAGTCACCATGCAAAAATCTGTTTGAAGCTGTGGCTGGACCAGACATACCACAAGCAACTTCCACTGCAGGCACCAGCATCTGAATGAGGGAAATGTGGTTTTATATACTAACAGCAAATTATCTGAAAAAGAAAATGTATAACTAACCCATTTATAATAGTTACAAAAAAAAATTAAGAAGGTGAAAAATCTCTCCATTAAAAACTATAAAACATTGATATTGAAGAAGACACAAATACATGGGAAGATTTCTTGTGTTCATAGATCTGAAGAATTAATATTGATAAAATGATCTTATTATCCAAAGCAATCTACAAATTCAACACAATCCCTATCAAAATGCCAATGACTTTCTTCACAGAAATAGGAAAAATACCTTAAAATTATTATGGAACCACAAAGATCCTAAATACCCAAAGCAATTTTGAGCAAAAAGAAGAAAGTTTGGAGACATCACACTACCTGAATCAAAATACCCTACAAAACTGTAGTAAATAAAATAGCATATTTCTGTAATAAAAACAGACACGTAGAACATTGGAATAGAATACAGAACCCAGAAGTAAATCCACATATTTACAGTCAACTGATATTCACCAAAGGCATCAAGAACATACAGTGATGCATGGACAGGCTCTCTAATAAATGCTATTGGGAAAACTAGATATGCACATGCAGAAGAAAAACATTAGACCCTATCTCACACCATATACCAAAATAAACTCAAAAATAATTAAAGACTTACATGTAAGACCCAAAACTATGAAACTACTAGAAAAAAATAGAGAAAAATCTCCATTACACTGTTCTGGGCAATAACTTTGAATATGGCCCCAAAAGCACAGGCAACGCTAGCAAAAATAGACAAATGGGATTACATCAAACTAAAAAGGTTCTTCACAACAAAGGAAACAATCAACAGAATAAAGAGACAACCTACTGAACAGGAAAAATATTAGCAAACTATGTATTTAATAAGGGGTTAATACACATAATATAGAAGGAACTCAAACAACTCAATAGCAAAAGAAGCAATAACTCAAAAACTGTACAATGGACTTGAATAGGCATTTTTCAAAAGACAACATTCAAATAGCAATCAGGTACATAAAAAACAATGTTCAACATCATTGATTATCAGGAAAATGCAAATCCAAACCACAGTGAGATATGACCAAGATATGACCAAGCACATGTTAGAACGGCTATGATCAAAGACAAGAGCTAAGTGTTAGCAAGGAAGTAAAGGAAAGGAAACATTTGCCCATTGTTGGTGGGAATGTGTATTAGTACAGCCATTATGGAAACAATATGGAGCTTTCTCAAAAAATTAAAAATAAGACCACCACATGATCCAGCATTCCCACTACTGGGTATACATCCAAAGGAAATGAAATCAGTCTGTTGAAGCAATATTTGCACTGCTATGTTTGTTTTAGTATTATTCACAATAACCAAGATATAACCTAAGTGTCTATCAACAGATTAATGAAAAAAGAAAATATTTATATGTACACACTGGAATACTATTCAGCTATCAAAAGAAGGACAGTCTGGATAAACCTAAAGGACATTATGCTAAGTGAAATAAGTCAGACACAGAAAGACAAATACTGCATTATCTAATTCATATGTGGAATCTAAAAAAAGTTAATCTCACAGAAGTAGAGAACAGGAGAGTGATACCAGGTACTGGGTTGGTAGGGGTAGGTGTTGGGGAAACATTGGTCAATGGATACAAAATTCCAATTAGAGAAGAGAAAAAAGTTCAGGACATCTATTGTATAATACAGTAACTATGGTTAGGTAACTATGTGAGGTAATACATATGTTAATTATATAGATTTAATCATTCCACAATGTATATTTATACTCCAAAATATCATGTTATCCACAGTGAACAGATATTATTTTGTCCATAAATTTAAAAAAATTAATGTTCACAATGTAAAATTGATTACGTAATAGCATTATAATCAGTTGAGAACAGCAACATATAATTATTTCATATACACACACACATTCCATGTACACATTCAGGGAAAATTAAATTTGAAATTCAGATTCAATTTTCCTTATATCATGGTTGCATCTAGAACCTCTGTATAGATAAAGTTTAGCGAAAGACTTTTGTCCGGGAGTATTTGCGTGGTGGGAATGGATAGGGGTGTGTGGGTGTGTTTGTGTGTTTCTGCTTTTTGCAAAAGCAGAGTAGGCAGCTCACTTTAAAGCTGGGTTTTTCTAGGAAGTACACTGATTTTGATTAAATTTTATGTTTATTGAGGGGTGGCTGAGTTTGACAATCTCTCAAAACACCTTCATGCTTTTTCTAGTGTAAACAATATTAGCACAAAAGCACTTTTCTTAATCTTAGCAAAACTTAATCTTAGCAAGAACTTTGAAGGTTAAAAACTATACAATGTACTGAACTTGTCAGAAGTAATGGGGGAAAAAAGGAAAAACCAACTATGTTAAAGAAAAACTGAGGTGTTATATAAATATGTCTCTTTCTATAGCTAGTGTGTGTGTGTCTATATGCTTTCTTTTTACATAGCATAATGCATATGGTCATTCTGTACCATCATTTTTTCAGTAGATTATTGTTTTCAAACTATTAGCTTTTAATACCACAGCTGTCCTCAGCATCTGATAATCAAAGCTTCTAAGATTCTCATCTTACTTTCTCAGCAAAATTTTACTTTGTTAGCAATAGTACCAGGATGATCTATACCATATATGTCATGATATATGCCTAATTAGAATTATGTAAAATGCTACAATGCCTATGTAGAGAATAATTTTCTGCCAAATATGATAACATAGATATAAAATATAAGTGAAGACAGAAAATGTATGCATACATTTTTGGGAAAGATGTGGATAAGTACAATCATGCCCAGTCACTAAAACAACATTGGACTTCAGTTGCTAAAACTAGAAAAGAAAACAAATCCAAACTAAATTTTGTGTATGTGCTTTTTATATTGTACTTACATTTTCAAAAGAATCTGAATTTCTCCCTGCCCACCGTGTCCAACATAAGCATCATTTTTTTTTCTTGGAAAAGCTACTCCTTTTCCCACTGTTTAACACCTTCATATTTAATATCTTTAAAAATTGTTTTTAATTAATTCTGTCAGGAAATGTATACTGCATATTAATCCATCTCTCTCAAATATTTTTAGTAACCATGAAACTTAACCTTCTTTTCTACTAACTTATAGGTTCCCTTCCTCTTTTGAAGTTCTGTAAGCATAAGTGTTTACAATGCATCAAGCATTTAAAGATTTTGAATGGTTAATTATTAAAAATTCCCTTTTGAATTGGATGGCACTCTTAGAGGCCATGTGGAAGAATCCAAAATTTTTTCATCACTAAAATGAAAATGATAAGTACATTAATCACTGTTTTTGGTGAGATTTGCTTATGTAAATCACAGTGTATGGCAACACATTCAAAACATGTTTAAAATATTGCTTTGAAAGCATTTCAAAACATTTTTTAAAATTTACAACTTTACATAAAAATTATTTGATGATTTTCAATGCTATCTCAGTCTCACAAAGTGAGGAAGACACACATACTCTTTGTTTTGAATTAAAAATAATACCTGAATAGTCTAAATTTTCTTGCATCAGATTAAAATGTAACTTGTCAACTTTCTTGCTAAATTAGTAGGACCTTGTTTTGTGGGGGTGGGCGAAGAGAGGCAAAAAAATAGTAAAAATATAATTTCCATTTTTAATAATACAGTGATGTATTGCAATTGCAGTAACATAACTATATAATTTTTTTTTTCTGAAAGTGACCCAAATAGTTCCATTACCACTGTGAATAAGTCATTCAACCATTGTGGTTAGAGAAGTTTACTTTAACAATTTCCATGCTTAAGGCCTCTCACTAAACGATAATTCTGTGGTGGTGACTTTTTGGTGTGTCTAATTGTCCACAAAACCATACTTAAAACTGGTATTTCATGTAATTTAGAACCAAGTATTTAAAATAGAATAAGAAATATTTACAAAGCTGATTATTTCATAAAAATAGGGATCTCTCAAATGTCAAAGACAAAAACATATATGATATTAAATACAGGTTTATACGTAGTATAATAAAAGACTGTGGTAAAAATACAAAAAGTAGAATACAATTCCCATAAAACATATTTGGAAATAAAATTTAATGTCACAGATTAATTTTTTAACAATCGTTATCAATTTATTGTTTAAGCATTTCCTAATGAAGGCAAACAGCACTAGCAAAACTTTCTAAATTTTCCTAATATTCTAAAATATTTATATATTAATTACCATAGCGATAAAGTAATTATCCTGTGTATCTAGGTTTTAGATGTGTGACATTAACGAAGAACTCTGGTTTTAAACCTATATATTTTTTCTGAGGTAGACAAAAAAAGGGATCCTCATTGCAAGCCTTTCTCAAAATTAGTGTAACCCTCAGAACAGCCTGAGTTTTAGCTGGCCTCAGAGAATGTTTACAAAAACTGACGAAATTTCATCATTACGGCACTCAATGATTGAAGCCAACATATCCAATAAACTTCTATTGAACTTTGTGCTGAGGTTGTGAGCATGATGCAGAGATAATTTGGAGTGGGATGGTAGTTTGTTTTGTCCATAATGAGTTTTTGGTTAAAAAAAAAATTATACGCATATAAAAAAAATTATACGCATATAAAATAGAGACTGATTTTTCTTTTCTTTTCTTTTCTTTTCTTTTCTTTTTCTAGTCTCAGGAAGCTTATAAAACTGCTTATAGGAGAGGGCGAGAAGGGGCCGCCGCCGGCCTCCCCCGCCGGGCAGTCGGAGGCTGCCTTGCCGTGGCCGCCCCCTTCTTCCTGCTGTACCCAGGCGATCGAGGAGCCGGCTTCGGAGTGCGCCCACAGCTGAGCAGCAGCGCTCCTGGAGGACCCCGCTGTCGCCTGCTGCCCGCTACCCTTCCTGCTGCTGAGCTACCTGAGCAGCAGCGCTGCAGCGGCAGCGGCAAGCACCATCCTAATTATCTCATGGCTAAGGAACACATGAACCTCATGAACACGGCCAAGCTGACTATCAAGGGCTTGACTGAATCAGCTCTGAACCTGGAGAGGACTCTTGACTCTGACTATGCACCTCTTCAGCAATTCTTTGTGGTGATGGAGCACTGTCTGAAATATGGCTTGAAAGCTCTAAAAAAAAAAAAAAAAAAACTTGGACAAAATAAATCCTTCTGGGGGGCTCTAGAACTGGTAGAAAAGCCTGTTCCAGGAGCCGCAGAGATAACAGCAAGTTTTAAAGATCTTCCAGGACTTAAGACGCCAGTAGGTAGAGGAAGAGCCTGCCTTCGCTTGGCATTAATGCAAAAGAAACTTTCAAATATATGAAAGCTTTGATCAATAAGAAAGAACTTCTCAGTGAATTCTACGAACCCAGTGCCCTTATGATGGAAGAAGAAGGAGCCATAATTGCTGGCCTGTTGGTGGGTCTGAATGTAACTGATGCCAATTTCTGTGTGAAAGGAGAAGACTTGGACTCTCAGGCTGGAGTTACAGATTTTTCAATGTATCTCAAGGACGGGAACAGCAGTAAAGTTAGTGAAGGAGACAGTCAGATTACTGCGATTCTGGACCAGAAGAACTTTGTAGAAGAACCCAACAGACATTTGAATGCTACTGTAAACAACCTTCAGGCAAAAGTAGATGCATTAGAAAAATCCAACACTAAACTGACAGAGGAGCTTGCGGTTGCAAACAACAGGATTATTACCTTACAAGAAGAAATGTAACGAGTTAGAGAGGAAAGTTCCTACATACTGGAATCCAGTTGAAAGGGTCCCAAGCAAGACAGAACTGCAACAGGGCAAGCACTAAATGAAGCAAGAAAGCATTTAAAAGAAGAGACACAATTACCACTGGATGTTGAAAAAGAACTGGAGATGCAGATCAGCATGAGGCAGGAGATATGAAGATGCTGGAGAAGGATGTCTGTGAGAAGCAGGATGCCCTGGTATGTCTTCAGCAGCAGGTGGATGATCTCAGGCCCCTCAAGCATGAACTTGCCTTTAAGCTGCAGAGTTCAGACTTAGGAGTAAAACAGAAAAGTGAACTAAATAGTAGCTTGGAAGAGAAGACTAATCAGATGGCTGTTATCATTAAACAACTTGAACAAAGATTGCACCAGGCTGAGCAGAGCTGTCGGTCTGCTGAGTTGGACAACCGGCTCTTCAAACAGGACTTTGAAGACAAGATCAACTGTCTGCAGCTAAAAGTCGAGGAGCTCACCAGGCAGCAGAACCAGCTTGAGTTGGAACTAAAACAGGAAAAAGAAAGAAAATTACAAAACAACAGGAGTATCCCAGGAAAGGGTTCCCAGAAGCCAGAATCCAAGATGGATGGGAAGCATAAAATGCAAGAGGAAAATGTTAAACTAAAAATGCCTCTGGAAGAAAGCCACAGACTGCAACCCCATCCTATGGATGAACAGGATCAGCTGCTGCTCTCTGAGAAACCACAGGTATGTCAGCTACGCCGGGAAGATGTCAGCCTAACAAAGAATGTGTGTAAAAACTGCAGAGGAACCTTCTGTGATGCCTGTTCAACAAATGAACTGCCTCTTCCTTCAACTATGAAGCCTGAGCGAGTTTGCAGCCCCTGTCACAAGCATCTGATGAAGCAATATTCCACCAGCCCATCATAAGACTGGAGGCCAAGACCTGGACCGAAAAGTTTATGCAAGCTAATCTGTACCTGTATTTTAGGTGTCAGGATCTCCTAGAGCCAGTCCCTAGAGTGAACTAAAGAGTTGATAGGAATTAACTAGATCCAGGGAGAAAAGGCAGTGTTTGGGGTTACTGGAAATTTTGCTTGTTTTCCCTAATAATTGTATGAATAAAAGCAAACTCACTTGAGCCCTTCTCTTCTAAATCTAAACAACCTGACATTGAAGGTTTGCTTTATAGCATATCTTTGGAAAGGCAATTCATTTTTATGATTAGTGATAATAATGTTGGGGTGGATGTAATGGGAGAGAGAGTCCAAGCAAATAAGAATAAAAAGGAAAACAATCATCTCCTTCTATAACATTTGCAGATTCAAGGGAGAGAGATAGATGCTGAGATCAAAATGACAGATGTTACACATTTGCCCAGGTGCTGTTAGACATAAACATTGTTTCCTCTTCACCCCTACTAACTATCTCTTTAAAGTATCTCTACCAAACTTTGAATCCAATCTCAGGGAAAAGAAATTCAAGAGTAATATAAATTCTGAATGTATTGAAAACAATATTATAATATAATTTCAGGACCAGAATCTTTTGGTCTTTATCTACAAGAGTTGTCATTATCAAACAAAGAACATTTGTTTTTCTACTTAATGACTTCAAACTAAATAACTGCCCTTTTCAGAATCTCCTTCCACAAAACAAACCAACTCTTCCCCATTCCCTCCATCCTCTCCAAGTCGTAATGGAAATTGTAAGGAGTTTTAAAAATAGGGTTTGGTTTTTGCAAATAGAAGATTTTGATTAAAGCAAAGTCAAATATAGAGTCAAACAAGTTTAATTTGTTTTCTTGAGACAGGGTCTTGCTTTATTTCCCAAGCTGGAGTGCAGTGGTGCAATCACAGCTCACTGAACCCCTGACCTCCCGGGCCTCAAGCAATCCTCCTACCTCAGCTTTCCAAGTAGCTGGGAATGGCTTCTTTTTATTTATTTATTTATTTATTTATTTATTTATTTATTTATTTATTTATTTATTTTGCGATGGGGTCTCATTGGTTGCTCAGGCTGGTCTCAACCTCCTGGGCTCAAGCAGCCCTCCTGCCTTGGCTTCCAAAGTGCTGGGATTACAGGCATGAGCCACCACATATGGCCATGTTTAATTTGTTGATGGCTGAGAACAGTTAGCTCAGAATACTTATTATATTGTTTTATGAATAAGGAATTCCTTATTCTGTGTCATGAATCAGAGCTGATAGATGCTTTCTTGGAAAGGGCAATACAGTCATCCCTTGGTATCCTTGGGGGATTGGTTTCCAGGAACCCCACTGGATATCAAAATCCTTGGGTGCTCAAGTCCCATTATATAAAATGGGTTATATGGTATTTGCATATAACCTACATACATCTTCCTGTGTACTTTAAATCATCTGAAGATTACTTATACCTAATAAAATACACACACATCACTTCATTTGCATGGATTCAATATAGTGCTTGGTGTTCAGCAAATTTAAGTTTTGCTTTTTTGGAACTTTGTGGAATGTTTTTTCTGAATTTTTTTATTGGCAGTTCTACATGGATGTAGAACTTATGGATATGGAGGGCTGACTGTACTCATACAACTTTGAGTAACAAACTCTTTGGGGGAAAAGAGGGAAGTGTATTGAGCAAGAGAAGGAAAGAAACATTATATACTATTTTTATTCTGTTACATGTGTCTGTAGATTGTTTGATTGTAATCAAGACCTTAGAAGAAATGATTCTGTGACTGGTTTAGAATTCTGGGGTGGAAACATCCCGGAACCATGTTATTTAATAAATTCTGTCTTCTGGAAAGGGTTACAACCTGGGAAAGAGTTTTTATTCCAAAAGTCAGCCTGTTACTTGGTGAAGCTGAAGTTTAAGAGTTCTAGGGAAAAATAAAATCAAATAATTCTAAAAAAAAATATACCAGCTCTTTATACCACACATTTAATTAATATTATAGAATTCCTTATGGGAAAGAATATCTAATCATTTTCTTTTTAAATGAGAGGGCAACTCAGTCTAGTTATATGTCCCTATGATCATTGAAATATGACAGAATATATGATTTTATTTTCAGCTAAATGCTTCTGCACAAATGGATTTTTAAAATCAACAACTGTATTACATTTAATCAATTCTTTTATTTTAAAAATAATGAGGTTTATTATTAGTCTTCTCAGAGGAAACAAATGAGTAGCTTTCAAGCAAATAAATGAATTATCTATAAAATTGTCATTGACAAGGGATCTATATTTTATGCATGTAAATAATAAAGAAATAAAAATTGAAATTGAAAAAGCCCTCCTACAGGATTATTTTAAATGTCTGCCTGGTCATTGTCTACTCTAAGACCTTTATGATACAATCATAAACACTTAAGTTCTTTGGTATTAAATTCATATTTTCTCATTGGTTTGATGGGGTTAAACTAGCTCTATGTATTCTACTAAACAGTGAGAATTTTCCGGAAAACAGATATAAGACACTCAAATCTTTAACTCAAAACCTAAAGTCTTCTATATTTTCTGAATGAAAGATGTATATAAATGATGTTGGCATACATAACATTTGTTAAAGAAAATTATTTCCATGTCCAAATTTCTAAATCAAATCCATGTTTCTCACTCCAGGTTTTAGACATATTTCATACTGATTATCCTGACATTCATCTTTTCTTGACTTCCTGACACAGGTATCACTCTCAGCAATCTAGCTGATGAGTCTTGCTTAAAATTTCAATTACACATTGTCTCCTGCCCTATCAAGATTTATACTCTTTTAAGGCAAATTTCTCCTTTATAACTGATAAACTATGCATTCAGTGTTCAAACAAGGTTATCAGCCCCTGACTGGAGAAGCAGATTGATGAACAAAAACAATTACTTTGACAACAGAAAGCATAGAAGACAACTCTTTGAAGCGCATCATTCTCAATGGCATAGGAGATTCCCAAAGACCACATTTAAAAAGCAAAAAAAAAGAGTCAACAGAAATGAGCTAATGTTCTCTGTGTACTTGGAAATATAAATAGAGAGAAAAGGACAAAATACTTTTTAGGATTCTGGAATTTGAGCTGGAAGGTAATAGGATATAAATAGGAAATAAAGCCCTTGATTATTAGAAAAAGAAAAACTGAAAGAAAAAATTCACAGCAGTCTTATAGTAGAATAAAATAAGGTTTGGTTCACATATAATGGTGTGACATAAAGGTAACACATTCTATCCTGGACAGAGCTCTACAACATAACAAAGATAATAAAGAACTAATATCTATTGAGCTTACTTAAGACATGATTATAAGGGCTTTAGTTGCCTTAATCTACTTAATAGTCACAATAGACCTATGAGATAAGAGCTAAAATTTCCCATTTTTACAGATGGAAAAACTGAGGCTGATAACATGTCCTAGGTCAACAAATTATAAATGTCACATCCAGGGTTTGAACTTAGCGATTTGAAGTCAGAGTGACAATCACTTTGCTTCCATATTCCTCTTTAGTTAAGTGATAAAGACAAATGTGCAACCAGAAAATATCAGGAATGTAAGTTAAAGCTATAATTGAAGGATGCAGAGTGGTCTATGGTGACTCAGAAGAATGCAGAGTACTGTTAAGACTTTGTTTCTGGATCTGTGTGCTGTTTACACAACTCTGTTCAATTCCTGGAAGTCATTAAGATGTGCGCTTATAAATTGTTAACTTTTATGTATATGATATTTAAGTGTTTTATTTCAATAAATATTTCCATATAATCAAATTACATAGATGGAACATATAGTGGAACATTTTCCCCAAGTGTGGCAAAACATAAAAGATTTAAAAGGATATTGCATATTTTAGTACTACTGTCAATAGGAGACAGTCAATTAACTGTACCAGATATAACTATCTATATATAGAGAGATATAGATTGCATAAATATATATCTACATATCTATAGATAGATATAGATAGACTGGTATATTCCCAGTCCCTCAGCCCTTTATTTATACTATATGATTTAAGAACAGGTACATTAGCATTATGATTATAGATTGAAAAGAAAAATGAACTTTATATTCTAGCATTGTTATTGATGCTAAAACTTTTTGAAACTATGGAGCTGTATTTTTTTAATGCTTCTTTTAAAAATTCATATTCATCTAACTGGTTGTGAGTGAAGAAAACACAATTTTAGCCTTAAATGTTCAAAGCAAATAGCACACTGTCCCTTCAACTGCTGGTGCTAAAATTAAAGAAATTTTCAGTCTCATCTTCATGGCAATGAGTCTCATTTAAAAAGTCATTTTTTCTCTAATAACATTTGCATACTTTATTTTTAGAATAAAACTTCAGATTTCTTCCTATTGGAAAAATGCAATTTAATTTGTAATTTTAAAATTTGGTCCTTGAGTATTAATGTTAAGCATGATAAAATAGTTGCTATATATATGTGTGTGTCTGTACATTATATATATGTAGAGAAAGAGACAGGAGTTTGTTTTTTATCTACAAAAACTTACTTCTATATAATTTGCTACATAGAAGTAAGTTTTTGTAGATAAAAAACAAATAAATAAGACATAAAAGAACAAACTAGACCAAGCATAATTTCCAAATAGTTTACACGTATTTAGTGTTTCTTACTTTAATACTATTTTAAAAATCACTAGGATTTTGTTTTCCAAGGATCTTCACTCTCACCAACAGTTCTATGACAGTTCTTGGGAACTAAACTGTGTGAATTTGAGAAGCCCCATTCGGTTGACTGGGAATTAAAAGATACAACAATATACAGGTTACAGAAAGAGATGGCACCATGGTCTTAAAAACTCTGATTTTTGTTTTCTCTTCCTGCTCCCTGTAAGCTGTGATAGCCGAAAGAAGAGTATAGAACATTTTCTTGACAGTATTTCTGTCTAGAACTGTGAAATAAATAGATGATAAATTAATATTCCATTATTATTATTACCTTTTAGTTTAAAAAATAGTAATTAGGATTACAGTCAGAGGTGAAGAAATTCTTCCAAGGATAGGGGAAACATATGGATAACCAGGGCTGTGGTAGGTAGAATATAGTCCCCAAAGATGTTCATGTCCTGCCCCACGAAACTTATGAGTATGTTACACTACATGGCAAAGGGAAATTAAGTTTTTGGATGAAACTAAAGTTGTCAATCACCAGAAAAAGTGATTATTCTGGATTGTCTAGGCAGATCCAATCACAAGCATCCTTATCCTATTAAGGTTATTTTATCTACAAAAACTTATCCTATTAAGGTTGCTTGTCATGGGATCTGCCCAGATAATCCAGAATAATCACTTTTTCTGGTGACTGACAACTATCGTTTCATCCAAAAACTTAATTTCCCTTTGCCATGTGGTGTAACATCCAATCACAAGCATTCTTAAAGGTGCAAATAGGGGCCAGGCGCGGTGGCTCACGCCTGTAATCCCAGCACGGTGGGAGGCTGAGGCAGGTGGATCACCTGAGGTCAGAAGTGCGAGACCAGCCTGACCAACATAGTGAAACCCCGTCTCTACTAAAAAATGCAAAAAATAGCCGGGCATGGTGGAGGGCGCCTGTAACCCCAGCTACTTGGGAAGCTGAGGCAAGAGAATCACTTGAACCCAAGAGGTGGAGGTTGCAGTGAGCCGAGATCATGCCATTTCACTCCAGCCTGGGCAACAGAGCAAGGCTCGGTCTCAAAAAAAAGTGCAAATAGGAGGTCGAAGAAGATCAGAGAAAGAGTTCTGAGAACAAAAGACAAAAGGAATGTTAGAGTGATGTGATGTGAGAAGGACTAGCCCAGAAGTTGTTGGCTTTGAAGATGGAGAAAGAGGGCGAAGAGGCAAGGAAAATGGGTGGCCTGCTGAAGCTAGAAAAGTCAAGGAAAGGGATTCTTCTCTAGAGCATTCAGAAGAGAATGCGGACCTGCCGACACCTTGATTTTAGCCGGGTGAGATATGTGCTGGATTGCTAACAGAACTATTATAAAATAATAACTTCGTTTTGTTTTAAGCACCTTAATTTGTAGCGATTTGTTACATCAGCAATAGAAAACTAATACAACCACTATGAGCTATATTTTCCAAGAAGCAAAACAGATATGCTGTTACAGTTAACTCCTCAAACTGCATGGGCATAGACTGGGCACCAGAACAAATGTTCAGCAATTTTCTACAAAGCTGGGTAAGGAATCTCAAACTTATTCCAATTTATAAAATATAAAACATGCATCCACCAGCACATTCGTGTTGGAAAGCAAAAGAATACACTTCACTGTGCACTGTAGGGGAACTGGCAGAACGAAGATTGGTTCCAACCAGAGCTCTTAATGCTGTCACTGAGGCCTGAAAAGCACCTGCTTACACATCATCTGCTTTAGTACCTCTGTCTCTGGTTATTGGGCAATGATTCAAATAGTACATTTTCTGCCAACCCAAAGCAGTTCTATTCCCATTCCCTGCAGTTCCAGCTCTCGGAGCAGAAGGTCATTGTGCACTAGCAATAACTTTGTAGTATTTTAACAAGGGATCCAAGGAAAAAGATTGAGCTATGAAATATGGCTTGAGATGCAATTAATTCTTGCTGTTGCAAAGGTAAACGGGGACTCAAGTAAAGGAGAAATTTAAATTCCCCTTTTGCTGTTACCTATAATTGTGTTCTCTCAGGATGCAAATCAACAGAGGAGAAGAGTTGATCCGAGTCAAATATGTTGGAAAACTGCTTCAGTTCAGTGCTGCCAAAGTTGGCATCAGATTGAGCTGTCTCTGGTACTCAATTGCCAACAGCAGAAATGTAAGCCACAGAAAGAGGAACTTCACAGGGAGATCCTGAACTCTGTAAAAATTGTTCATTCATGAGTTGGCAAGAAGTAGATGAAAGAGACACAGCATACAGAATGAAAGTCTAAGGTGGGAGTAAATATTGTAAAACTATTATTTTAATGAAGAAATTTATATATTTGTTCCCAAGGTGTGTGTGTGTGTGTGTGTGTGTGTGTGTGTGTATTATACAATATAATATATATATATATTAAAAGAAGAAAAAGATTAGGCTTATTCACATGCAATGTAGGAATCATTTCAAACAAGAAGTATTAATTTTGCTCCTAGAAGCCAGAGCATGACATAGTCATTGGATTGATTGGATCCTTACAAAACAGATCAGATTGTGTAGTCTGCCTTAGCTATTTTTTTTCTGCTCTTTTGCAATCAAACTAGTCATGCAGGGTAGTCTGACTGTTTTTGATAAAATGTCTGAGTAGAGTCTCTGTGAATCTGAATTTTTCCAGGTTCAAAACACCAGGGAAGCAAAAGTGACATTTATGTATTTTATAACTTATTTTCATTGTCTGTGATTATTTCGGATTGAATGGAGTTATGGAAATATGGGAACTTCTGACATCTCCTGATTGATGAACTATAGCTCTGATTTTTATGATGACTGATTTTATTTTTCAATTGTTTTGATTTCTGAAAATTTAAACACCCACTTAGCATGAGATTGATAATGGTTATTTTTCATGTAGAAAATCTGACTTAGATTTATGGAATTGCTTGACATACTTCAGAACTACTTGTACATGTGAACTTCTATTATTTTGTTCATATATGAATTTGAAATGAAACAGGAATATCTGCTATTATATTAGCATGAGAAGGGCAAGTTCTTATTATTGGCACCACCATTTCTCATGACAGAAAAATGCTGTAGTTTATTACATTATTCCTAGAAGAATGGAGATATATATATAGATATAGATATATATACATAAAATATATAATATGCCATTCCAGCAATATCACATTAGTGCAGAAATTACTGCTTTGAAGGGATAAAGTATTTTCATATCCTCAAATAAGTTTTCAAACAGTCACCATACATAATAAAAAGAAAGAACAGTTCATTTTTGGCCCCAGCTGGCCAACAGGCATTTATTATCAGTTACACTTATACATGTCAGTGTGAGTTCATCAAATCTAAAAGATTTTTCACCTCCACTTGATATAATCATAGAAATTTTGAGTTGGATATGACCTAAGACATAAACTTGCCTAACCACTCACCTAAAGTAGAAATTATCAATGTCAATATCTCTGATAAGTGGTCATCAATCATATGTTTCAAATACTAGAAGTGACTAGAAACTCGATGCTGTTTGAGTCAGGTCATTTATCTGCTGAACAGATCAATTTTCTAAGATATTCTGTTATGGTAAAGAATCTTCATCTCTTTAATATCTTCATATTGGTTCTGTATCTAGCCTCTGTAGCTCTAAGACTATCATAGCTGCTACTATCTTTCTGTATTCTTTATCTCAACATTCTGTTTACCTTTAATCCTATCTTTGCACCTTGAACATATTCTCCAGCAACCTTCAAGTAGATTGCTCACCATGTTTTGGATGCATGCTGATTGTTTAAAACACTCCTAAAACCTGACCTGAGAGCTTAATTGGGTTTTTCCAATGTAGACTTTAGGGCAAGTTATTTGCTTTCAGTCTTTTTGAACACTATTATTTCATTGAAAACCATGATTTTTAATTATTAGTAGTCTTTTAATTAATAGTCTTGCTTGATTAGACCTCAAAACACTTTAGTTTATTTCATTTTATTCTTTCAAAAATATTATTCAACCAGAATTGCCCCTTCCCACTCCCCAACCCCTAACACACACATATTATTTGCAATTTTTTTAAAAATACAAATGCAACACTTCACATTTTCCCTGTTGATTATTGCTGGAACATATTATTGTACTTTTTAAATGTCTTATGCAATGCAGTGGTAAGCACAGTACAGTGTGAACCTAATCTTTTAAAGCTTGGCTTCTAGAGGTTCATTCAAGTCATCCATTTAAAGAAATAATAAAATTTGGCAAGAATGAGGTGAAAGACAGGTCTTTATGATATATTATGAAAAGCCTCCTTCTCTTAATTATCATTCTTACTATAACATATCTCTGAAATGATATGAAATTCCTTCTGATACTTGAGATAAAAATTTCCTGAAACAACACATCATTAAAATGTGTAGGTATTTCCTCATTATGTATGTTCTTTCTAAAACTTCAATTATTTTAACATACATTCGTTTCACCCACTTTAGTTTGAAGGGCATTTTATACTCTGTTAAACATCAGTATTATGCTAGCTACTCTTACGATTTAGGGACAATCTGCTGCATTACCTCCTAGCATTTTGGATAAGCATTGACTCGTTTTCAACTCTAGGTTTCCTGCAACCATTATTTTTGGTTGGCAACATTATTTTTTATTCATCCTTCGTGATGGATACTTTTTAATATTTTACGTGTAGTGTTTTCAAGTATTATCTTTTTGGAGACATACTGTTTTTCACTCTAAAGGTCTCTTCAGAATAAAAACTTATACATCTTTAGAAATAGGAAAGTTAAAATAAGTGAATTAATGACTCTCTTAAGCAATGCATTTTTTTAGATTCATTCTTCTTTCTTGAGATATAATTATCTCACAATTTCTCATAAAAGATTTTATTTTTTGATGACATTGAGAAGTATATTTCTAACTTTTCAGGTACAAATATTGGTCTTCAAGTTATCTCTTTCAACCATTGTCATCTAATTCTAAGTTGTCTACTTCTTGTAAGACTCCTAATTCCTTCTTTTCTGTGGACTTGAAGTAAATCCACAGTAGCAGCTTCCATTGCTTCTTATGGCTTCCACGAAATAAAATTTCAATAAATAAGAATTCATCAGATACCCCATTTGAAGACTTGCTTTTCCACAAATGCTTCCATAATAACCCACTAGTTATTCCATCATTGCCAACTCTGCAGCCTATTTCAGAAGTTCATAAACACTACTTACCATTTCATTTAACTAGTTAATATCTACATAGTTTATACTGATGTTACTTACCATGTTTTGTTAATTTGCAGACACTCTCCTGGGTTTATACACTAAGTTTTCTGGATATATATTTAGTTGTAACTATTTCTCTTGTCCAATCATTCTATTAAGTCTGTTTGTGATTAATAATACACACACTTTCTTGGAAATAATATGATCAAGAGACCAATTTTACTATGTACAAGGAACAATAATGTCCATTAATAGTCTAAATGAATAGGCAGGATGACAAGGCACACAAGATAGATCAATAGCTTCACAGTGGGTTTAGCATTTTCAAGTGATGGAGAGTCTTCATGTTCTAGATACATTTTTCTTTCAGGATCATATCTTCTCTTTCTTAAAAGTAAAATTAGACAGAAAAAAAGATAGTACACACTTAATATCTGACCATGGCTAAACTTTGGAAAATACTGAGATGCAAATATTACCACCTCCTTTCATAAGTCCTCAAGTATACCTACGTACACATACAAACAAGAAAGCAAGGCAGTATAACTGTAGTAGAATCTGTGTGTTATAATCACAGTGTTATTAGAGTTCTGAGGAAGGAATATCATATTTGGGTGTTACAAGCAAGGGCTGTCTTTGTGCAGGTGTTATGGGCCAAAAAATTGTATCCCCCCAAAAAATTCACACATTGAAGCCCTAACCACCTTGGAGATAGGGCCTTTAAGAAGGTAATTACAGTTAAATAAAGTTACAGCATGCGGCCCTAATCCCATAGGGCTTGGGTTCTTATAGGGGGAGAAAAAAACCTTCCTTATAATGATAATACTGTGACAAGATTTTTCTTTTCCTTAGTTATATTGTACATATAATGATGAATGTAATGGAATAATGTATTTGTTAATGAAAGATCTATAGATGATAAGTAAGGAATTTTCCAGTGGCTGTACCTGTTACTGTTAAAAATGCAATGTGGCAATATGCATGGCAACAACTCAAGGATTTTTTGAGCCCATGGAGATCTTCCATCACCAGGTATTACAGGAGATAGAACTGATGTGCAGCACAGACCCCCTCCCTGCATCTCCTGCTACTGCTGACTCAATGTACTGCATGTGAACATGACACGCTTTGTGACAGCATACCTGCCTACCACACCAGCCAAATGGAGCCCTAGTCTTCATTCAAATGAAGCTAATCATTAAACACGTTTATTTAGAAACTATTTATGGTTTTCATATTTATAATGTAGCATACATGTAAAACTCATGTGTTCACTGTAATATATATAAGTCAGAACTGAACTGGTAATAAAATGGCATGGAAGAACGGAGTGTTGCACAAGCATGCCCAGACTCTGAAAAATACTTTTTATATGCTATCATGTTTTAATCCATATAATAATTCTATGAGGCAGAAACTAGACTTGTCTCTAGTTTATAAACAAAGATACCAAGGCAAAGAATGATTCAGTGACTTGTTCAAAGTCTCAGAGGCAAGTCTTGTATTTAGGTCAATCTTAAGTCCATGGGCTCAATCATCATGCTAGAATGATTTGGATAGGGGACATGTGTTAAGATGACAAATGTACAAAATGTATTTAAAGATACTCAAGTTTTCTGTGGAAATTTTCTGGCTTCTGCTGTCTGACAAACCTCAGCTTCTAGTAGTTTAGGTTAATGAGTAGGCTGTGTATTAGTGCTTTCTTTCAGTTAAGATAGAGAATGAAGACTAAAGGAATGCGCAATAATCATGATGAAACATAATAAGGACTTTGGGGAAAAGTGACCTGAGTTACTTGGTTCAACTCAACCAGTTGAACCAATATGTGACCTATGCTCAGGTTTACGGGATAACTTTGTTTTCTCTGTGCCATGTAAAGATGCCATAGACCAAATACACCCTTTAAAGATAGATCTTACCAAGAACTCAAAAACAAAGCACGTACTATAAACAAAACAAAATAAAACAAAACAAAACCCTGGACTAAAGAAAACAAGTTACTCAGGAAATTATTATTTTTATTTATGTTGGATACCTTCTTCTGTTGTGGTTTTAGAATAAAGCATTGAATATAAAAAGCGAAAATGGGATTTAACCTCTACTTATATCCTTCTGAAGAATTACAAAATTGATAAAATGAATTTTTTTTTTTTTTTTTTTTTTGGAGATGGAGTGTCATTCTGTCGCCAGGCTAGAGTGCAGTGGCACGATCTCAACTCACAGCAACCTCTGCCTCCTGGGTTCAAGCCATTCTCCTGCCTCAGCCTCCCGAGTAGCTGAGATTACAGGCACGTGCCACCATACCCAGCTAATTTTTGTATTTTTAGTAGAGACGGGGTTTCACCATGTTGGCCAGGATGGTCTCGACTCCTGACATTGTGATCTACCCGTCTTGGCCTCCCAAAGTGCTGGGATTACAGGCATGAGCCACCATACCCGGTCAAAATGAACATTCTTAAGAGAATTGAAGGAACTGGATAGTAGAAATTCATTAAAATAAAACAACATTATACAGCAGTCTTACATTGGCTAAGATAGATAGAAAAACATCTTTGTAATAAAGCAAAAGAAGAATAGAAACCTAAATCAAGATAATAGATGAAGTAACAAATCATTACAAAGGTCATATTTCAGTTTTGGTTTTATGAGGTGTAAAATGCCTGAATCACAGGAAAGTAGATGATTCTCCAAAATCTCAGACTTTTTGAGAAAATACTGTTTAAAAGAAGAAACAAAAGCTATTGATATTAGAATGCTCAGCAACATGAAAGGATGTTTGTTCCTTTTTATATCAATGACAACAGCCCTCTTGACAAGAGACAGTAACAAATTATGAAGCCTGGAAATTGTACTCCTTACATAAAAGCTTGAGTTACTCTACACATTTCTACTCTACTCTGCCTCAAGCTATTATTCATCTCCTAGCTCTCCTTTGGTCTTTCTTTCTTCCTCCTTCATTTAATCCCTTTCTGTCCTTTACCTCATCAATATATATTTTAAGCTTCTACTATAGGCACTTCCAGGTCTTGAAAAAAATGCAGATAAAGTGAACTCCCTAAAAAGTCTCATGAGGTGGTAATAACAGAAAAGTTAAAAAAAATAGTGATCGCTCATTTATGGAGAACCTAATGTGCATGTCTCATTTTCTTTCATAATCACAATATGAGATTGGTACTGTATAAAATATGAAGAAACTGGGACTCCTAATTTTTAGAAAGTTGTCAAAAGATTGAGAGATATGTAAGCAAATGTCTTTGATGCCCCCCAAAATTAAGCCAACAAGCTTAATAGCATGCAGGTATTATTACTGAGGTATAGAAGAAAAAAACCCAGTGAATTTTAGGTATGTTTGTTGGGTATAAGGGAGGATTGAGAAGCCATAAAATGCTTGGTAGCGAAGATGATGTGAACTTGGTTTGAAGAATAGTGTATTAAATTGATGGATAATATGGAGGGATTTGGGCACACAAGCAGTATTTGAAAAGACACAATAATATGGGAAAACATAGGATATTTGGTGGATCACAGTTTATGAAGTATAACTGCATTACAAGATACATGGTAAGAAAGACAGTAACAGAATTTGAGTGGAAATCATGAACAAAATGAAGAAAGGTCCGTTAAAACACGATACTAAATTTAAGCTTTATCCTAAAGTAAGTGATAATCCACATATAGATTTTTAGCAGAATAATTGCACAATTAGGTTGCATTTCTAAAATTTCCTCCCAAATAATGAGGAAGGAAGCAGAATAGTTTAGGAGAGAAATGATAAGAACTCAAGTAGTTATGGTGTAGACAATAGCAGCACTTTGAGAGATATTTTTTGCAGCAACTAAGTTTGTGTCTAGCACATCCTCTTTTACAATACTGGACAGACATATGCAACTTATAAAACCTTGGTGCTTGGTGATTCATCTTTACATTGTGTTGTGTTTTTTTGTTTTGTTTGTTTGTTTAATGACAAATACAACTTATAAAACCTTGGTGTTGGTGATTCGTCTCTACATTGTGTTGTTTTTAGTTGTTTTTTTCTGTTTGTTTTTGGTTTTTGTTTTTTTAATGAGTAAAAGGGAATAGTGACTGTAGTATATTCGAAAGCAATCCATTGCTTTTAGAATAGCATGCATTTTCAAGTTTGTATGCCATTCTATAATGCAAAAATTAACTACTTCACCTGACTGTATCAATGATTGCATATATGCCGCACTTCCACTTATATTCAACATACATCTGCATGAATCATAATCTTCATACTGCACAGACAAAAACATTCCACCAAATAGATTTTAATGACATTAATTATATATTCTATACACAATAACCCTGTTTACAAATCAGTTTTTTCAATATTAATCTCATATTAATTAATGCAAACATGAAGCGAAAAATAGTTATAATTCACTTACTATGCTCTTGCTGTTAGGAAAATTTGATGAAATTTAATTGGTTTAACATGTTTGAAATACATCTCACAATCTGGCCAGGACTGGTGGCTCATGCCTGTAATCCCAGCACTTTGGGAGGCTGAGGTGTGTGGATCACCTGACGTCAGGAGTTCCAGGCCAGCTGGCCAACATGGTGAAACCCCATCTCTACTAAAAATACAAAAAATTAGCAGGGTGTGGTGGTGGTTGCCTGTGATCCCACCTACTTGAGAGGCTGAGGCAGAAGAATCGTTTGAACCCGGGAGGTGGAGTTTGCAATGAGCCGAGGTCGCACCATTGCACTCCAGCATGGGCAACAAGAGCGAGACTGAGTCTCAAAGAAAAAAAAAATGATATAAATCTCACAAACACTACTCCTAATTTCTATTTTGGTTGTATGAAGGTCTTCAGTTATTAAAATAGTTATGTTCATGAATACCAAGTTATCAGCGTTCCATGAAGTGTTTTAACCCCTGAAAAGGGTCTTGGTGAAAGTCTCGTAGTGATTATATCATTTTATCAATATGCTTGCCTGCATTGCAAAGTGAAGTAGAGACTTGTAGTTGCTTCTGTTTAAGAAGATATTTTATACTACTCAGTTGTTTTCGTTTTCTCATTAGTATTAGAGTTTTCTAAATCCAAAACATCATTTTTTGTATGTTCTTCTATTTTTGAATGTTGTTTCGACTAATTTCCCCCATATTCTTTTTTTATTATGTTTCATGTATGATCCTTCAAGCAAGGGCATATGCTCATCTAAGCATTTTATTCTTTGACCTGCCATATAAAACTTATTTTCTCATATTTTTCCCTATGCTGTTAATATACTCAAAATGATATATTGGTTCTTTGAACACATGAATTATTGTATTTTTGTTTGACATCCACTTTTAATTTTAAGTCATTGTATTTTATTTCAATATCATTGCATTACTTGCCTTTTACCATTTTGGAATACAGTACAAAAATTCCTGGCTATTTCAATTTTATCTATACTTCAGGCCAAGAGTTTTCATAATATAGTACATTTCTCTTCCTTTAAAATAAACAGCCAAACCTATAAAATAGGCCTTATTCTTGTTCTCCAATACTAGGGTTATTGCAGTTTTATATTCTAAGTTTTTGAAAAAAACTAAGAAATAGTGAGCCTAGATATAAAGGTCATGTAGCACCGTGTACACAGATACTCAATAACTTTGTGTTTCTTGAGTTACACAGTTACACAGGCAAAGGGAGAGAGCAATTGTGACTGAACTCTCAAAAGCATGAGCAGTAGGATGGACAAACGTGCAGCTTTTCCTCCTTTCCTCTTCTGCCTATGAATAAACTTAGGGAGACAGAAAAATAACCATGCACTTCATCATGCTAATCAATACGAATTTTTGTTGAAAGTTTATTATGTGCAGAGCACTGTTCCAGATCCTTGGGGATGTAAAGAGCTACAAAACACAGATCCTGCTTTTAAGTGTCTTTAATTTAGACGAAGAGTTAAAACTTATATGATACATAAAACATATGTTTTGGATTCAGAAAAGAATGAGGAAGAATATTTAACTTACTATAAAAATGGATTGATTAGAAGTTAAACTTTCTGAGGAGTTCACATGATGTTTCCACTTTGCTTTGCTTTGTCCTGTTTCCTACTCTTCTTTAGGAAAATATTTCAAGCTTAGTCATGCTCAGAGTGTGCTGTAAGATTGTAATGTAGGGTAGGGGAATTCCCTTAAATACTCACACCCAAGTATAGCATGACATTTTAAAATAAACTTACACCAACTCATTCCCTCTGATCAGCAGGAGTATTTTAATGGAGATAAATAAATTATACACAATTTTATATAATTACATTAAGCCAGTTGTGTTTCTATGAACATGCAGCATGAACTAAGATTGTCTATCTCCATATAAATATAGTAGAATAAATGCAAATGAGCCATAAGCCAAACTAAAATTCAAGTTACATCTTGATAAATAGTTATAAAATGTTTTAAAGAGGGCTTAATGAAAATATGACATTTAAAAATGAACTAAAATATTGGTAAATATTTAGTTATTCCTAGTATGAAGAATTTATAACCATGAAGGCAGTGTAAAAACTTATAAAGGAGACTATTAAAAGTATTGTTTATATAAGAATTGGAAAATATAATATCAAAAGCTAACTTGGAAAGTATATGTGTTCTTCACATATCAAATATTTACAATCGGTAAAGGAAGTGAATATGTTTTAGTATTAAGTGAAAGGATGAGGACATTCATCCTTACTACAGATAGTAAGATCTAATTTTTATGCTTATTTTTCTTTCTCTAGTTATCTAATTACTTATAACCGTCATTTAGCTATCTATCCATCCATATATCTACATGTAAGATATGGTTTTATAGTAAATCCTACAGAGTTAGAACTTTGTGTAGTTCTTAGTTTTTCTTTATTTTTTTCTGTGTTTTCTAAACTTTCTGCAAACTCTAGATATTGGTATTTTTATAATGATCAGAAAAGAAGTGTCAGGTTAGGTAATAAATTTCTACAGCATTTCTAGAAAGCTATTGGTGCTGAAATATTTTAAAACACTTAAAATCATTCAGTGTTCTTTGAGCTCTTTATTTACTTTCATAAATCTGTCCTCAGGAACAAGTCAGAGACATAATGAAAGGTTATTTGCACAAGTAAATTAATATCAGCAGTGCTTATAAACCTTTGGAAAAAATCTAATTGAAAATGATTGGAACATGTTTAAATTTTGTTTGAACTAATCATGAGATGGAATATTATGCAACCAGGTAAATCATATTGAGACTTAATATTTAATGACTTGGGTGCATGTTCATAATATTAAGAATAAATGAACACAATATGCAATATAAATATGAACACTCTATTTAGTATAGATCAATAGTCGCTCATTTGCAGACACACATTTCAGTTCACATAGGTTTTATATGTTCATGAAACCATATCACAGGAAAATATATTAGTATAGGAGTGCTCCAGTAGGATTTTGATTTTTCTTTGTTCTATTTCATATTTTTAAAATGTTACAGTGAAATTTTATTATTATACTCAAAAAGATAAATGTGAAAGAAATTTAGGCTGGGTATCAATCTCCATATTAGGTTTTATAGTAATACGTTTAAGAAAAATGGTAGGGTATTTTCTTATTGAGCCTAACATGTAATTATATAAGAAAGACAGAAGAAAATGGAAAATAAAAAAATGTAGTTAGCTCCCTGTGGGTGTGTGAATTTCTTAACGACCAGAATACACACACTAAACAGTCTTCTGTGGTTGAAAGATAGATTCATAATTTAGGAATGAGGATATTGGAAGCTACTCAGAGGTCATTTGACTCCCAGCAGGGCTGAATGAGCACTGATATTGTATTGTCTTGTGGCTGAAAGACTAGCCTGAAGGAAGTTACCCTGAGTCATTTCCATGTGCTGGGTCTATGTTGGGGCCTACTGGAGAGTTTTTCTGTAAGTACCCTCATGAGTCTTGATTGCCAGCAGGCTCCCTGGGCTCATGCAAGTTCCTAGATGCCAGATTCACAGATTAGACACACAGGATACATATCGACTTTTGATGAGCATCTCACTAACTGTGCTATTTCAACCTTATGTAACTACCAAGGGGTTTGGGAGAAAAAGAAAAGTAAGTTCTTCTGTTTCCCTAAACTCCTGAAACAACTTAGGCTGCTGTATTCTTAAATAATTTCCAAGGTTTTATAGCGTAATTTTGAAATTTAAGAAAAGTCAATGGACAGGAAAAGACAGAAAGCAGGGATGACTGTATTTTCCACTTGTTTCAAGTAACAAAACAGATTCAATCTGGCTATAATAGCATTGTATGTTTGAGTAAGAAATGACTATGTATTTGAAATAGTTTTTTACTTAAATCCTAAAAAAAAGACAAAATCCAGTTTTTAAAATTTCCTAGCTTTATGACGTTTTTAAGTTATTTAACCCCTCAATTTCTGTTTCCTTTTCTGTAAAATAAGCCTAATAAAATCTAATTTATAGTTTGGGGTGGGCTTTAAGTAAGATCATTATTTTAGAATTGCAACACAAAGCATCAAATAAATATAACACGATTAGTTGTTCACCGCTTTTTTTTTTCTTTTTACTTAAGGCCTCTGGTCAGTGGAGAGTATGGAACTTAGTGTCAACAGTACATGTGTTCTGTCCCTAGATCAGCCACTTATTAACTGGAAATTTTTAAGCCTGGGCTTAAATTTTGTTTTCTATGAGATGGAATAATGTTATCTATATAAACCACAGAATGCTTAAAGATAATGAAAAGAATATGGGGGGTGTATTGTATTTTATCATTTAATTTGCATACAATCATCACTGCCATCTCTAAAAATTATGGGTTATCAAAGATGATACATAAACTTCATAAGGTCCCACAAGTGGTGAGAGGTAAAAGGCAGTATTCAACTCTAAGTTTTTTCTGAATTAAAAGTCTCTTTCCATTCTTTCATACTAACACCTTATGGTTGAGGTACCTAGAAGCTCCCACCACCCCTTAGATTGTGGTTCCAGATAGCTTCACTGCTTTGGGTCAGGGTCTTTATCAGTAAAAGAATAAGCTGTTTTAAAGCAGTTCTTTATAATCTGGATTAGTTTGAGGTTCCTCAACTCTTCTCAGGAGGAACTTTGAGGGAAATTGAGGCAAACTGGAAGGTTCTACCTTTTTTGTTACTTCAAAAAGAACAGCTTTTCTCTTATTTATTTTCTTATTTATATGCATAAGATTTCATTTGTACAGAAGAATCCATCATTAAAAAACAAGCTTGAGAACTACTAGACTAGATGTTCTCAAAAGACCTCTTCATTCTCAAATAAATATATTAAAGAATCACGAATTAGTCAGAAGGTCAGGAAAAAAAACAGATCAGTAAGCAAGTGAATTTTGAAACCATGGAAATGTTTAACTGACACATGTGCTCAACAGGAGTGGATGGAAGACTCAAATTTTGTGACAATTGTTTATACTGCTATGTAAGTGCTCAGATTGAAAATGCCAAAATGCAGAAGATTAATTAGCTATGTGAGTAGGCCTAGGAGAGTAGTAGGCAGCTTATTAAGTAAGTGTATTAGTAAATATGTTAACAGCAAGGAGGAAGGTTGGAATCAACAAATTAAAAAGCAGATGTCCCAGGAGCACCTACAAACCAAGAGAAGTAGGAAGAAGCATTAAGAAGGGTAATCAAACACTCAACAAAATCACTGATAAAACCAGTCTTTATGCTTCGTGTACAGATGACTGATACAGCCAGAAGGAGCAGGAATGCATCTCTGAGGTTTAGAGCTAGAATTTTGAAGGCTGCAAGCAAATGTTTTTATCACATCTTCTGGTTTATTCACCCATTCACTCAGTAATTCACTCTATATATATTGATTAAAGATGGCATAGGAAATAAATAACAGATAAAAGAGATAGTATTAAGTAGTCAAATTGACTGGGACTATTATTTATACTGTCAAAATAATCAGTTCTCAGTAAATGACAGAATTCATCTAAAATATATGAAAGATAATGTTTGGGAAAGATCCATTAATGTGGTAAAAAAAATTTTAAAAGACATGAGTGTGTATGCATGTGTGTGTGTGTGACAGAGAGAGAGAGAGAATGAGAGTGAGAGAGCTTGAGGGAGAATGCTTAGTAAAACAATAAAACCAGATGCCCTGAAAAAGAACCTGCATTATTCTCGGATGCTGTCCATCTTCATTACAGCCACCATAGGCACATTCTCCACCCTGGATTGCTAGAAATGCCCTTCTAACAGGTCTCTATGATTCCACTTAACCCCTGAATGCTCATTTTTTCGCATAGCAAGCAGAATGCTCTTTAAAAAGAAAACATGCAAAAAAAATTCACTGATTGTAATTAATGCCACTAAATTGTAAACTTATAAATAGTTAAAATCGTAGGGCACAGTGGTTCACACCCGTAATCCCACCACTTTGGGAGGCCAAGACAGGCAGATCACTTGAGGTCAGGAGTTCAAGAACAGCCTGGCCAACATGGTGAAAACTCATCTCTTCTAAATATACAAAAATTAGCTAGGTGTGATTGCTCATGCCTGTAATCTCAGCTACTCGAGAGGCTGAGGCAGGAGAATTGCTTGAACTTGGGAGTCAGAGGTTTCAGTGAGCCGAGATCGTGCACTCCAGCCTCCCAGACTGGGCGACAGAGCAAGACTCCATCTCTAAATAAATAAATGGTTAGAATGTCCCAAATGCCCATCAACAAATTATAGATTAAAAAATATATGTACAAACACTTAAATATTATGCAGGGTTAAAAGGAAGACATTCTGACACATAGTAATGCAGATGAATCTTGAGGACATTATGTGAAATAAGTCAGTCACAAAAAGACAAATACCATGTGATTCCACTTACATGAGGTTTCTGGAGTAGTCAAATTCATATAGACAGAACGTAGAATGTGGTTAGCAGGGGCTGATGGGAGGAGAAAAAGAGAGTTGTTTATTGGGTAGAAATGAATACAGAGTTTCCGTTGTGCAAGATGGAAAAAGTTCTGGAGATGGATGGTGGTGATGACTGCAGAACAATGTGAATATACTCAACACTATTCAACTTTCACTAAAAAATGGTTAAAATGGTATATTTTATATTATGCTATTTTACCATAATTTTAATAAAAATTTTAGTGATTAAAACAAAGCAAAATGGATTATATACTGTAAGCCTCCAATTATATACTAGCCACTACTGTGTTACAAATCTCCTCCTTGTACAAGTCCTGCTCTCTCTCCAACATAATCTCATGCCACTTTCCTCCCAAAACTCCAAGACTGGCCTATGGGCTTTTGTCCATTACTCAGACATCTCAAGTCAATCCAGCCTTAAGGAGGGAGTTTGTACTAGCTATTCCAGTTGAGACAAATATTCCTTCCCACAATCTTTCTATGGGTAGCCCATTCTTATCCTTTACTAAGTTTACATATAATTCTTTACTAACCACACAATGTGAACTAGCTACTCAGACATTTCCTATTCATTACTCTATTAACGTTCTGCTATATATGTGAGTATAGAAAGTTTGTATCTCTCATTCATTCACGGTATTTTCCATGACTAGATGTTACCTGGTACATAGTAAGTGTTCTCTCTATATTTATTGTATGAAATGTGTAAATATGTGTATATATATTACAAAAGCCAATTGTCAAGATTATTTACAGTGCAAATCAATACAGAAACAATACCTGTGGATTAGGATTACTATTATAGGTGCTTGGAATATGTGAAATAAGCCATGCTTATCTAAAATTATCATCTAAATGAACATAATTTGTTCTCACAATTGTCTTCAAGCCTTGGTGAGATAGGGCTTTTTTCTTAGAACCATTAATGAAAGGATATTTCACACTAGAAAGAGAACTAATACAGAGGGAAGAAAGAGGAATAAAATGTAACACATACATTATGTACTTTTTTATTTAATCATCAAAACAACTCTAGAGTATTTTAAAACATTTTATACCTGTTTATCACCGACTGGAACTGAGACTCCAAGAAAATAAGGGGCAAGCCTAATGGCATTAGAACTCATGATGGAGATGCGCATCTAATTCAAAATGCTCTTCAAACAAACCAGATTGGAAACATCTTTGAAAATTTATTTAAAAAGCAACAAGCCTCTTTTTAAAACCAAGATCTTATATAAAAGCCCAATATGTAAAAGAGGAAGAAAGTGAAGCTTTTTTTATTCTGTGGCTTTCATGGTCAGCTGAATTTCACCTTCTAAACAATGTTTCCTTTGTATTTTTCTATATGTTTATGCAGCTTTAGGCAAGTCTTAAAGGCTTACAGATCAGTGTGTCTCCTTAAAATCACTCTGCCTATGTTGGCTCTGTGTGTTTCTTTGTTGATTTCATTGCTTCTCCCAAATTTATCTAAAGGAAGAACATAGAGACAAGAATATTGTTAAGAAGAGGAGATTTGTTTTAAAGCTATATTTGCTGTTTTACTTGGATTACATGTTCATTTAAAATACATTTAAGTGGGCTAACGGAGGTGGTACTACATAATTATTGATTGATTTTTACAGTTAATTTCTAGTAGACATTAAAAGTTCAAAGTTATTATAAGCTCCAAATACTGATCAGTTAGAAACATACATACATACATACATACAAGTATGACTACATACATACATTGTTGTTCATTCTCTTTTTCCCGACTTATGTTCCCTAGTCATTCCCATAATAGTCATTGTTTTGGAAATTCCTGGTTACTGACTCAAATACAATGTTGAAGAATGACGAACGTTCACCTCCTGTAACAACCAAGAGAAATACTGGCGGCAAAGTAGCACCAATGTGATGCTCAAATGTGATGCATAGAATTACAGTATAGTTGTCCCATTTTTTGCAGTGACTGGGGAAATGAAGACATGACACCCCAGAAGTGAGCTGCAAGGTTGCACTGGTGATGAAATGCCAGCTCACGTGGGGGCCAGGTGCCAGGCTGAGTTGACTGTTCCTGTTGCTATTATGGCCCTAAGTTGCTACCTTTTCACAGTCATCCTCCTCCCTGTTCACAGGCCTCCCACGTCTCATGACTCCTGGCATTTGCTAGCTGTGGAACATCATTTTAGGGCTGGCACAGGTATCTACCATGTCACAGGCAGAAATCTCAATTACGTTCATTTTCTTTGCCTTACCCAGGCTTTATGATTTCTGCACTTAAACCTTTCAAATCCTCCCAAACTATCTAATTGCAACCCTTTCCCAAAGGGCTACCTGTCCAAATTTCTAATCACAGCACAAACATCCAGACAACCCATACGTTTCTTTTCAAGTCTTAAACAGAACTTACGTGAACTGTGATCCAGGGAAATTTCTGATTTCTCTACTATTGGAATATTGGAAAAACATATTTTCTAAAAAGGGATCACATTACCCTCTTTCTCTTATCAATTTTATGTAGTACTTATAAATTAATTCTACTCTAAATCCCACCCCACCCCTAAATTCCTTCTGCAGGAGCTGGACAGGGACACCATCTTTCATGCAGAGTTTTGCAGTTCTGTTCCAAGGATGGGTAACCAGTGTGTTCATCCTGCACCCAGAATAGTGTTTCATTATGTCAGGGCCATTTTCTCCCTGCACTCCAGAAAGCATGGAAGTGAGATCCGTACCTGGCAGTTTTTTTTTTCTGCTCTGCTCTTGATAGGACTATAAATTTGTGCAGTTAATCCTTACACTTGGACATTTTTACAGTCCTTACAATTATAAATTATAAGCAATGATCACCCTTGCATTCTTTATTTTTTCTTTCACTATATTATACTACATTATTTACTTGCAATATGTTTAATATCTTATACCAGTGGTATATTTTATTATACTATACTATTTTACATCTACTTTTTTGTCCATTTTCTATCTCATGCATCGTATTGGAAGGTCATTGAGAATGAGAACTGTTTTTACATTGAACATTATGCGTTGATATATCTCCAACACCTTGAAGTACTTACTCCTGGCTCACAGTATTTCCTCAGAGATTTAAAACATTTAATGAGTTTTCATGAATTGGAACAATGTATACTGATATTTGTGCAACAGTAGCTGACTAGATAGAAACTTGTTCTTAAGTTTGGCTGCATACGGAGCCTATTCTATGTATGTCATTTTTCTCACTCAGTACAGAGCAGTGATCATTTGGCCACTGAAATTCCAAACAAATATTAGGAACTCAAGACTGTTGTAATAGCTGATAGTGATATAGGTGTGCCAAAAGTAATATTTGCTTACAGCACTGACTCTGCTTCTCAGAAAAGAGGATATACTTTTCAGTTTTCCAATTGTTCTGTTTAGTAGGTTCTTTTTTATGTGTCCTTAAGATTTGGCTAATGCACAATCATCCAGAGGAAAACCATGCTTGGCTGAAGCTTGGAAAGACGTAATAAGGTATTTTATAGAGAGGGGAGATATTAGCTGCTATTTATTAAATAGTTCTCCTGTGCAGCATTAGGGAATTTCAGCTATATGCTGAACACATTTCCTACTGCTGATACAGGGTGAGAGGAGTTAAGTGCCATACCCAAAATAGTACGACTAAGACAAGGTGAGCTCTCAATAGATAAAACAATTAAAAACTACACTTCAAATTCATTTCTAAATAAATTTAAATGTTATCTCTTTTTATTAATTGTAGGCACTTCATTTAATATATGATATATAAATAAATTTTGTAAACTGTGTAATACCAAATGTTGAATACTATGTATTACCCCACAGTTAATTTTTTTCCAACCAAGAGTTCCTTGGCTAATTCTTCAATAGTTTAGTGTTTAAATATTCTTTAATAGAGTGGATGAAATCCTACATAATCTTAATCAAATTATGTACTTGCAGTATGTTTAATATACCAGTGGTATATTTTATTATACTATACTATTTTATGTCTACTTTTTTGTCCATTTTCTATCTCATGTATTGTATTGGAAGTTCACTGAGAATGAGAACTGTTTTTACATTGAACATTATGCATTGATATATCTCCAACACCTTAAAGTACTCCTAGCTCATAGTATTTCCTCAGAGATTTAAAACATTTAATGAGTTTTCATGAATTGGAACAATGTATACTAATATTTGTGTAACAGTAGCTGACTAGATAGAAACTTGTTCTTAAGTTTGGCTGCATACAGAGCCTATTCTAGTGTATAGAAAGGTATCAGACTGATACCTTTATAATAAGTAGAGAGTGATAGTTGAAAAATTACAAGCCAATCATACTTTCATCTAAAGAAGTAGTTAACCCCACATTTGGAAAATACCGTGCTGGTACCAGGTAATGAATAACTATTATTAAATCATAGAGTATGCAAAGATTATAATCAACAATATAAAAAGCATTCAAAAAGGCAATTGGCCAGAAAGGATTTCATTTTAATATTGAGTATTGCCTCACTGTTTTTTAGTAGAGTCCCCTTTCCAAACTATTGCAGGATGCAAACTAAAGTGTCTGTTAAAAAAAACTCATATGTCTTATTTTTCTTGTTGGAATCTAAGACTGTTGTAATTGGGCATAATAACTATTCCACAATTTTAACAAGAGAATACTGGAAGGAAGTACAAGTACAAAGAGTAAAATTGTATGAAAAGAGGCTTATTCTCAGAATATACTAAACTGTTTTCAAGGAACCTTTCAGCCTGTGATACGCTATTTATTTCTAGTCAGGATTATTGAACCATTTAGTCAATGAATCTAGCATGTAGGCAAACAAATATAGATCAGTGTTTCCCAAACGTCTTTGACCATGAAACAGTTTTAATATTCTAGCAGTGTGAGATCGTACTAGAAGTTTTTCAGATGTAACACATACTAGAATTAGAAAGGTGGGACTGTATGGCTCTGTACACAAAATAACTGTTAAAATTATAAAAATATGGCTTACATGATGTAAGAAAAAGACAGAGAATTATATCTCATTTATTAAATACCATAGGTTATAATTTTATTATAAAATATAACAAATGTATATTGAAATTACATAACGAGATAGATGACATTGGTCAGTGATCATTAAGTAGATCAAGGGTCAGAAATATTTTTCTGTAAAGAGCCAGATAGTAAATATAATAAGCTTTGTGAGCCATATAAGTATTGAACTATTCAACTCTCTCATTAGTGCAAAAATGGCCATAATCAATATGTAAACAAATTGGTGTACCTAAGTTCCAATGAAATTGCAATTCTAAAAATAGGCAACAGGTCATATTTTGCCTGGGATCATAGTTTGTCAACCCATGAAACTTGATTATTAACTAGATTGTAGACAATGCAATGGTTAGTTAGTATATGTTAACCACACATCAATGCATAGGAAATGACCAGAGCATTTGTTCTACATGGAACTAATGATGCATTCTTTGATATAGTGTGTGTTTATATATATATAAAATATATTTATAAACATACATATATACATATATGCAATATTATACATCATATATACACAATATGCACATATATTATATGTATTTGTATATACACACTATATGATATAGTGTGTGTGTTTATATATAAATATATAATATATATTTATATTATATATTTATATATTATATATTTATATAATATTATATATAGTATGTATACTATAATATATATTATACACATTATATATAATAATATAATATTATATATAATATGCATAATATATAATATATAATATATATAATACGTATAATATATAATATATATAATACGTATAATATATATTATATATAATATATACATATATGTATATGTACACATATATGTATATATACACATATACGTATACGTATATATACACACATATACGTATACGTA
This sequence comes from Homo sapiens, assembly GCF_000001405.40. NCBI lineage: Eukaryota > Metazoa > Chordata > Mammalia > Primates > Hominidae > Homo > Homo sapiens. Next base: position 106,388,907 of record NC_000005.10, on the reverse strand, counting down.
TATACACACATATACGTATACGTATACATACACACATATACGTATACGTATACATACACACATATACGTATACGTATACATACACACATATACGTATACGTATACATACACACATATACGTATACGTATACATACACACATATACGTATACGTATACATACACACATATACGTATACGTATACATACACATATACGTATACGTATACATACACATATACGTATACGTATACATACACATATACGTATACGTATACATACACATATACGTATACGTATACATACACATATATACATATATACGTATATATGTATACATATATCTATATATACATATATGTATATATACATATATACATATACGTATATATACGTATATACATACACGTATATATACATATATACTTATATGTATATATACGTATATACATATATACTTATATGTATATATACGTATATACATATATACGTATATTATATATACATATATAATATACATATATATTATATATATTATATACTTACAGCACTGCTTAAGGACTATACATTATATATAATATGCACTATATATTTTATATATAATATATACTATATATTATATATAATATAGTATATATACTATATAATACAGCACTACATATTATATATAATATATATAATATACATATATACATACATATATATTATATATACATATATAATATATACATATATAATATAATATACATATATAATATATATTATACATATATATGTATAAGATATATAATATGTATAATATATAGTATATATAATATGTATAATATATATTACATATCATATGTGTAATATATTATATATAATATGCGTGATATATAATATATAATATGCGTGATATATAATATATAATATGCGTGATAAAATATATATAATATGCGTGATACATAATATATATAATATGCATGATATATGTTATATATAATATGCGTGATATATATTATATATAATATGCGTGATATATATAATATGCGTGATATATATTATATATAATATGCGTGGTATATATTATATATAATATGCGTGGTATATATTATATATAATATGCGTGGTATATATTATATATAATATGCGTGGTATATATTATATATAATATGCGTGGTATATATTATATATAATATGCGTGGTATATATTATATATAATATGCGTGGTATATATTATATATAATATGCGTGGTATATATTATATATAATATGCATAATATAGAATATTATATATAATATGCATAATATAGAATATATACACATTACATATTATATGTTATATATATTACATATTATATATTATATAATTATGATTATATAATATATAATATGTATTACATAACTATATATAATATATATAAACACACACATATATACACATATAATTTCTAAACGTTTCAAGAATTTTGTGGGTAAATTTTCTAAGTGTAAGTGATATTTTACCCATGATTTAAAAATTATATTTCAGCTAAGAAATATGGTAATAATATAAGAAATTATATAGAAGCTTTCTTCTTTCCTTCCCCTTTCTTTGCATTTCTTCTTTATTTTTTGGTATTTTTAAAATATACCTTTTATTAAATTTTGCAAAATGTCATTTTTTTCCCAAAAATTGTTTAAGAAATTCTTTCTAACATGATTCAAGACAAAAATACCTTGTTTATTTATTTATTATTTATTTATTTATTTTGAGACAAAACCTCGCTCTGTTGCCCAGGCTGGAGTGCAGTAGCAGCATCTTGGCTTACTGCAACCTCTGCCTCCTGGGTTCAAGCGATTCTCCTGCCTCAGCCTCCCAAGTAGCTGTGACTACAGGTGTGTGACACCATGCCCAGCTAAATTTTGTATTTTTAGTAGAGAGAGGGTTTCACCATGTTGGCAGGATGGTCTGGATCTCTTGACCTCGTGTTCTGCCTGCCTCAGCCTCCCAGAGTGCTGGGAGCCACTGCGCCCAGCCCTTAAGTCATTTCTTAAGTCTTATTAGTCAATTTAGCATGCTAGTTGAAATAACTCAGTCAATACAGAGAGGTCAAATTCTTCATCAAAAGTAGGATATTTAAGAAATCAAAACATTCAGTCAGTAAAAAGAGCAATCTTTGACAATCATTACATAACTGCTTTCCTTCATCATTGTCCATCCTACATGTTGAAAGCATTCTGGAAAATTGTTTTCACTCTGTTCTGCCATATATTGGAGTGTTGTCTTCAACAATCCCAAACTAAGATTCAATATGTTTGAGATTTGTTGTTATCTGAAGTCCTTTCATCACATAGGATTTGCCAGTAATAGAAGAACAGCGAGGAAAATACTTCTTTAGGTGAGTCCCTACATTTACTATTCAGTATTTAGTTTAAGGTGCTGAGAAATTGTCAGAATGCAGGAAATCTTCAAAGACAGGAAGACAAGGAAAAAGGAAACAAAGCAAAACAATGCCATAAGAGTATTTTAGTCACCCAGGAAACCAGGCTTTGTTCATAATGAAATACCATAGCATTAGATTAGCCTTTTTTCTCCTATATGTCATGTCGTATTCGGCTTATAAAATAGTTAATCAATAAATTAAGAGTCATCTATTCAGATGTGACACTTTGACAAAGCTGGGAGACAAGTAGAGAACATACACGATACTTAACAGCAAACTAAGAAATATAACCTTCTCCAACGTTTTAGTTCACAATAAAGCTTGAAACCATCTAGAGCAAAATTATTCTTTGTTGGAAAGACAACAAAACCCTAAGGGCTTCTGAATCAAGAGGGTTTATTAATAATTTTAGTAAACAAGTGAACAAAATAAATGATTGAGCTAGGTCCCAATTTGGGCCTAGATTTTATTTCAACATCTTATTTTCTTTTACATTTATCAGATTATTACTATATTGTATATATACATACATATACATTAAAAAATACATATATCCATTTTTTAGAAAATAAAACTGGTGGGCTTTTGGGCTTACTTCCCAGGTTGTCATTGTTACTATTATTATTATTATTATTATTATTATTATTATTATTATTACTTTTGTCCAGAATGTGTTCTTCCTCTTCTGAAACATGGATACTTTTAATTCCAATGGCCATTCAGGCTAGAACACTTCAAGTCAGCTCCTTTTCGGGTTCTGTCTCTCCTACCCAACCAGTGATTTAGGATGCTTTCTCAATGTTAGCACTTTATGTATCATTCCAAACCTTTTTTTCTTATGCATCCTAACTGCAGCTGAGCCAATCAGGCCCACATTATTCCTGTTCTGAACAACAGCAATAAGCTCTTAATTCTGTCTCACACATAACTCTGGTTTACTCTCACTCCACTCCAAACCTTACACATAGCCCCAAAGTCATGTTGTTACAATATAGATCTCAACAGGATAAGCCTTGTTTTAATACTTTAATGGGCACTCCACTCCTTTAGGAAAAAGTCCAAGCTGTAGTAACTGTTACATACAAAATATATTATTTTATATTGTCATGGCTTTTGAAGGCTATTTTCTGGGTCTATACTGCCAGGTCCCAAATTGTCTCTCTTTTCTTCAATTTCTCAATATCTCTTCCAGGGAAATAGCTGTCTCTTCCAGGGAAATAATAGCTTCATCATTAGTGAAGCTGGATTAAAATTACCTTTTGTGCTGAAGTAAAGAAAGGAATCATAGGTGGAGTATGCATATGTATTTATGTGAACATACACACACATACATGCAAATAAAACAGTATAATACAGTGTCTTCTCAAGGAGGTTACTGTATTAGCTCATCAAGGAAAAGGATAATAGTTTATTTATGTCTCAGTACCCAAGACAGTTTACTGACTGCATTAATAAAGGACTTAGAGAATGGGTGTGCTTGGAGAAAATGCACCATCTAGCAGAAACCACTGCAAATTTATCTTCTGTCCCAGTCCCGCAGAAAAATCTCAGGGCCTGAAGAGTAACATAGTGTATACCAACTTTGAGGTGAGGCAGTCCCAGATTCTATGTTTAGATCTATATAGTTTTGCTATCTTGATCAGGCTATTAGACTATCTATGTCTCATTTCCTCATCTGTAAAATGAGAATAATAGTACCTACATAGTATCGCTTCAGATATTTGTGAGTGCTCAATTAATGATAGCAAATAGTATTATTTTTAACTAAATTTTAAAAATGATTCATTTATAGTTGTTTAGATATTTTATATGAACCCATTTACTGTAATAGCTTCTGAAGTTTACCCTAGGAGAAATTCACCAGTAACTTAAAAATAATTTTTGTGCATCCATTGTGTTAAGAGCTTCATTCTATATTCAGAAGTTTGTAAATGCCAGCTTGATTTAGAACTGGGATCTAAATTTCTCTCCTCTTTGAATTGCTTGGAACTGAAAATAAAGATTTCTTATAGAGTGTATAAACGTTTAAGATTCTCATATAGAAAAATTCTGTAAATCTTTTCAACTTTGTATTTAGGTCATATAAAATTTTTAACATTAATTTGAGCTATTTCTTAACTTTTTGTTGGCTGCGAATATTTTTTATAATATCCCTAATTATTTTTGTTTAAACATTTCTACTTGATGGCATTTCATTTTAAGCATAGTTTCATGATTATTCTTAATTATAATTGTGACCATGAATAATTATTTTCAAATTTGTAAGTTTTTTGTTACATTCAATTATTATAGAGATTATTTAGTATAATAATTATAAAGTAGTGTAGTGTGTCTTTTGATATAATTGTTTGAAAAGAGGTCATAGAATGTTGCACAGAAAACCATTACAATTAATAAAAGAATATTTCACAAGAAATGTACATTTGATTAGTGTTTGATATATTCAGTTTCTCAATCAGAAGGCATATTTAAATATAAATTTGAAGAACTCTTTTAAATAGAATCTGAATATAATAAGTAAAATCCATAATTTAAAAACATTATTTGTAGATGATTTGTGCCAAATGGAAACAAAAACCATGCATTGGTTTCATACAATAAAAAGTCCCTTCATGGAATATAAAATCTCAATTAATTATTAAGTATCTTTTTCACAAAACAAAACAAGACAAAAAGACAGGGCTTTTCTTTGGCTTTTGCTTTTTTTCTAAAATGTTTATTGTGATTTTATATGGAAACAGCCCATGGCTAGCAAAAGTATAATACATTTGCATAAATAAAATTAATTGTTCTCTTCAGTTTACAAAAAAATACATGAAATAGAGAAATGATAATATCTCTAGTTAGTTAGAAAAATATCATCTTAATAAGAAGCTAAATTGTTATGCCAACTCTCCATCAAAGCCACTTCTTCTAAAAGTAACATGAATACTTATTTAATAAAAAGTATACCTTTAGGGTACATTGGTTTTTAATTTACATTATTTGAAAGCTCTACATGGTTCTCAAGGATAACTAGTCAGTGGGTAAATCTAAATGTTTACTTAAACAGAATATGTAGAGTGACTCAAGTATTGTACTAGTTTGTCAACATTTTCTTTTCAGGCTGTGATGGGATCTGAGTGTTTATCACTAGTAATCTAATTTTTCTTCAAAATTTAAATCTGTATAAGTTTTAGGGAAAAAAATCCCCTTCTATACTGCTTTATTAGAGACTAGTCGTATTGTTGGTAGGCTGGTTCAGGTTCTTGACTTTGCTGCACAAAAGTACTTGAGAACAAGTCCAAAGTTATAGTAGGCAAAGAAGTTTATTGTGAAGCAAAAGTACTCTCAGTGGCAGAGCGGGCCACTCAAAGGAAGAGACAGCCCCTAGTACCTCAAGGAGAATTCCCTTTATGGGAGCTGGACATACATCTTCATAAAATATTGGTGAGGTCAAATATGCAAAGGCTGACCTGTGGTTGCCACATGCGTTCATCATCTACCTGCTCTAACACACATCACATGTATCATTAGCATATAAATCTCCCTCTAGGTGTGTGTATGTTACTACTAAAGTAAGGAAAAGGTTACTGTAACCTAAATCTGGAGCCTAGCTGCACATGGAGGACCCCAGAGAAGTCCCTATGTCCTCCAAGGCAGGAATTTGTACTTAATAGTTTCTTGGGCTTTTGGTGCTGATTGTTTGGAGATTAGGAAACATGCATCAGGAATAACAGGCTTTTATTGGGTATCAGAAACTTGTAACCATTTGGCGGTCAGCTGGTATCCTGCAGGACCGCTTATCTCACAAAAGAGTTAGGTGCTGATGCTCGAGGGTCCAAGGGATATGAAAGGAACCAGCAAGGCTTCACAAAAGAGGGCAGGTCGGTATGGCCTCCTAACTTTACTTACCCTGCCTCATTAAAAGTAAAAGAGATGCTGAAAAGAATGTTAATAGCTTTAAGCTCTGACTGAAGCTAAAATTGTTTGCTTGTTGCTTCAACCTTTTGCAGTATAATTGTCTAATGGAATTACACAATCTCGTTTCAACCAAATTTTGTCTTTGCATTAGTCTTATGAAATCTGTAGTTATTTACTTGAATTGCATCCTTATATATTAATGTTCTATCGGTGAAATGCTTACCTAACTTAAAAAAAAATAACAGTAGGTCAATGAGTTGAAATTATTCTGTAGCATTCTAGGTGGGTCATATCATTGACATATTTAAAGTGATGATAACTTTAGCCTTACAGTTCATTTTTAAGAAATTATTTTTTCACATCTTCACAATCTTCTTTTAAGGAAAAATTGTTGAACATGCTAACAAACATAAAAGATGTTTTCTAAAAAGGGGTTTTATGTCTACAGTCTATTAAAAATTAAATGATCTTTACTTCAATATAGTTTAATTGCATTACCCCTAGACCAAATGATATTTTCTCTCAAGGACAAGAGATTAGTTAGGGAGTCCAAGGTTCATTTTGTTAGCTAACTGAAAATAAATTTGTGGCAACTTAGAGTTAGCATCTAAGAACTCACAGTGAAATGCTGTATCTTAAATAACCAGGTTTAAAAAGAGATACTTCTCTCAAAAATAAAAACCTGACACCATTTCTGACCATCGTATCTGCAAATTATTAGACACACACATTTATACACACACACACATCTGATGTTCAGCTAGCATGCTCCACTGCAGTGTATCTCTTCTGATCAGTCTTGCATTCATTCTGTTTGCTTTGTGCTTACACCTTTCCAGTCATTAAATTATTTTGACTATCATTCCTATTTATGCATGTGTGTGTGCCTGAGAAAGAGCAATCACATACTGTGAAACACCTCTGTGGGAATTTAATTAATAATAAATGAGAATTGAGACTCAGACACCACCTTAAGAGATGCCTATTAGAATGCAATTCTATTTAAAAGAAAGTAATATAAATGCAGTAAACTTGCTCTTAATCATGCTGAGTTGACTAGAAATGTTTAGTTTCTCCTGTTTTTACTTTCCCAGTAAAGCGAAATAAACAAATAGAGGCTGAGAGGAACAGGGGCAAGATGACAACAAGATGGAGATAGCAACAGTTTTTGAAAAATAAAAATTAGCTGGAGGAGTGGTAACTAACACGGCAGAGTGAAGGAAGTGGTGCTTTAAGCGCCTTCAGGGAGTCACTGATGGTAATAAAATAAACTGATCCATCAGGAACCAAAAAATACTCAGCAGAACATGGCTGCCACCTCAGAAGGCATAGTTGAGGGAAGAAACTTAAAACTCATGAATTGCTTGAAAGACCGCATACTCAATGGTTACTGCCTCCTAGAAATCCTATCCTGCTTGACACCAATACCTTTGAATTCCCTTCCTCCACCTCACCTTGCCTAATAAAGAGCTGCTGTCTAATCTGAGGAAACTGAAAGAGAGAGAACTGAGCTTGGTGCTCAGACAGAAGTCAGGAAGAGGAGTGGAAAAGAAAATAAGATCGTCAGTTGGAGGACATCATACTGAATGAGTGAGGGCCTCAGTCTTCTCTGCATGGTTTGAAAAACACCAGCAGCCAGAGGTACTAGAAAATGAGTCATATGGAAACTTTTCCTATTCAACATAACCATCTGCAGTGATGCTGACTATTTGGCAAAACATATCCCTATACACAAAGCCTCCAATCAACATTTTAGTGACTCACTCTTAAATATGAAAACCAATCATCATCCAATATTTAAGGGAAGCCTCCAAAGCAAAAGACAGAAAACACAACAAACAAAAGAGGGAACTCAATTGGAACACAGAAAATGCAACCAGATAGAATATTTTAAAATATATATTTAATACCCTAAAAGAAACAAAGAGACATATCACATCTAAGAAAGAAAATTAAAATATTCTGAGAACATGAAGAATCAGAGAAGCACATTTGGAAATTTAAAACAAAATTTAAATATTAAAAATTCAATGGAAAGTTTAGTACTTTATAATGTCTCCCTGTAGGTGGAATAAAGGAGATAGAACAGTAGAAAACTTTCCAAGCTCCAACATTATATTAAAAAAACTACAAAGAACACAAGAATATAAGAATGAATCCCAGAAATGAAGGATATTCTTCTTCAATTTGAAGATTCAGTATAATAATAATCATATAATAATAATAGCCCATATTACCTTCAATGTTTTTCTTTTTCCAGTGATCTTGAAAGAGCAACAAAGTCATAAAATAGAATCTAAGTTCACGAATCATGTCTTGAAGCAAAGCGGCCTCTTTATCAGGAATACCTATAGATTCTCTCTTGACATTCTTTGTCTTTTTATTCATTTTGCTCATATTCCATGTCATTTTCTTTAATATATATAAATAATTATTTTAAAGTCTGTGTCTGCCAGTTTCAATATTGTGTGACTATTGAAGATTCACTTCTTACTCATTGTGGGTTTTTTTCCTGCTTCTTTGCATATCTTATAATTTATTATATTTAAAATAACTCGGGATAATAAAGTTGACAGGTTTTTTTTTTCTCCAGAAAGAGAAGTTTTTTTTTTTTTTTTCTTTTTTCTGTGTAGCAGATAGGGTGAAGGTCTGATTGCTTTGACTCAATCATGAATTAAACTGGTTTGGGACTGGGTTGTAAATTTGGTTATTTTCAATTCCTCTCTTGTTTCAAATGTATTGACTGATCACAGGTTACTACATCCAGCAGGACCTTGGAATTTAAGCACCACAAGATTACGGAAACCTCACTCTGCCTTCTAGTGCAGCCACTGGCCTCAAGCACCAACCCATTACTGAAAAACACTACCTTAGAGGAGAAATGTCATCCAAAAAGTGTTCACTATATATATGAGGCTCCTCCAGATTTTAATCTTTTACACTAGCCCATATGAGAAGTAAATGCTTTAGTTGTGTCTCTTCCCTCTAGCAGAGTCTCTTTACCTATTACAAGCTTGATCCTTCACTAAAGCTCAGACTTGGCTTTTATTCAGGAAGAAAAGTGACTGCATAATTCCTCTTGGCCTGGCATGGTGGCTCACGCCTGTAATCTCAACACTTTGGGAGGCCAAGGAGGGCAGATCCCTTGAGGTCAAGAGTCCAAGACCAGCCTGGCCAACATGGCGAAATTTCGTCTCCACTAAAATACAAAAATTAACTTGGCTTGGTGGTGGATGCCTGTAGTCCCAGCTTCATGGGAGGCTGAGGCACAAAAATCTCTTGAACCCAGGAGGCAGAAGTTGCAGTGAGCCAAAATCATGCCACTGTACTCTAGCCTAGGTGACAGAGCGAGACTCTGTCTCCAAAAGTTAAATAAAATAAAATAAATAAAATAAAATAACTCCTCTTACTTAAGAAGGACTTTCCCCTATCATTCATTCTTCAATTCATACAGAGTTTTCCATTGTCTTTTACAAAATAAAATTTGGATAGTTTATGCCTTCTCCCCTCTAATTGTTATGGTGAGACCAGTGGGTCACTGTCATGTTCTACACCCTGACCAGAAATATTGCCCATGTGATTTTGTGTTAATCCATTTTGCATTGCTATAAAAGAATGCTGAGGCTGGGTAATTTATAAAGAAAAGAGGTTTATTTGGCTCATGATTTTGCAAGGTGTACAAGTCTGACACCCACATCTGTTTACCTTCTGGTGAGGCCTCAGAAAGCTGAAAATCATGGTGGAAGAAGAGTAGCCACCACATCGTATGGTGAGAGAAGGAGCAAGAGAGGGAAAAGGAGGAGGTGCCAGGCTCCTTTAAACAATCAGCTCGCAGGTGAACCAAGAGAGAGAACTCACTCATTATCATGGCAAAGGTGCCAACCCATTCATGAGGATCCTCCCCCATGATCCAAACACCTCCCACCAGACTCCATGTCCAACATTGGAGATCACTTTTCAATATGAGATTTGGAGGGGACAACTATCTGAACTATATACCTGTATTATGTGACTTTAATATAATGTGGGGGTTTATTAGTTACACTGACTACCATTAATTTAATTAATAGAATAAATTTTTGTTAAGAGCTGCTGAAATAATAAAAACAATAATAGTAGTGCCGGAAACATACCCTTCAAAATTCATAACATAGAAAAATGATAATGTCTAAAATGCATGACTTAAGAAAATATGGTGTTATCAAATTATTTAAATATACAAATAGCTAAAAGACTTAAACATTACTTCATCTGGGCAACAGAATTAGTGGTTAGATGAGAACCATATTAAGAACTGTTTTATTACAAGATTTTCTTTCATCTTATTTGACTTTTTTAAGCTCTGAGTAAGCATTATCTTCATAAAAATGAAAAATATAGAGAGGCTAGATGAAGAAAATTAATCAGATGGCTAGAAAGATAATACTATTAAGAACATGGTAAATTAAAAGAACGGATTCCAAAAAACTTCTGGGGGAGTTCAGAGGAAGGAAAATTACCTTCATTTGACAGCATTAGGAAATGTTTCATCGATATATAGGCATTTAAGCTGCAAGGGGATCGCCTAAAGCCGCAACTTAAGTAGTTGACACCTCAGGCTGAAAGAATATCTTGGGTAAAGACAGGATGTATGTGGAGATGAGGACAAGTCTAGAGAATATAGTATAGATGGAAGACTTATGGAATCAAGCACATGTGGTGAATGTAAAGAGAAATATTTGGAAGTAATATTAGAGATCTCTGAATGCTAACTAAAAAAGTACATGCTCTGAGAGGCAATGAGAATCACTGAAGATGACTGAGCAGGGAATAGTCTGATCATACTTGTGATTCAGGATGATTTACATCATTCACACACACAAAAGTTTAAATGAAACTTAGAGGTAAGAGACAACATCGTTATTGTTCAGCCTCAGTGCTCAGGAAGAAAAAATACCAATCAATTAAACTCAAATTTGCTCTACAGTCCCACAGATATGAGTTGGAAAATTATGTTTAATTCGTGAACTCAAATATTATTCTCTTTTCTGACAACATGAGTTCCCAAATTTCCTTTTAGACATATACATGAAGAAGGCTGAAGGAAAAGGGACTCTATAAAGATCTACTTACTTAATAGAATTTAACTTACTCATCTATGAATTTTTACCTTACTCTCTGTTAGAAGAGCTGGATAGATAGAAGCAGTTATTTGATTCAAAGCTAGAATATTGGAATCAATAATTGGAGTAAGGTGCTGTATTTACTGCTGTGTCTCAAACTTAAATAATTATGGGTATAGGTATAAAAAGAAAGTCCAAAGGATAGAACAGAGTTGGCACATCGAAGTTCTAAAATGGGTCAAAAGTTTTTGGAGTTAGGCTTAATAAATCGAATGCAAGAAGAAAGAGAGAGGAAGGAGGGAGGGAGGGAAGGAAGGAAGGAGGAAAGGAAGGGAGTGAGAAAGGGAAGGAGGAAGGGAGGAAGGGAGGGAGGAAGAAGGAAAGAAAAAGTTGTCAACTGCTTAAACAAAGAGAATGAAAGAAAGGAGCCAGAATCAAGTAAAGAATAACTAATATTTTTTCAGTACCAGCATCCATATCAATGAAACCCAATGTATTTTGACGTAACCTGAACAAAATAATTAGTGCTTTGAGCTCTCATATTGTCTAATCCCACAGGTAAAAATAAAATGCTGTTGTTTGGTATGAATGAAATAGATCAAGTAAAAAATAAATGCTACCATATATGCTAAGAGATCACACATTGCTCTTAACAAAGAAAATAAGTGATATAAACATAAGCTCTCTTGTGAAGAGAAAGAAAAGTCAAATGAAGGGAAATGTTGCTAATTATCTTTATCTGGCAATTTCATCAAAGTCTTGGGCATTTTGGGGTTTGTGGTTAACATGATTCATTGCTTCTGTCCATGTGTTGCTTAGATTTTTTTCAGTTTCCCTCTAATTATCATGTGAGTAATGATGGTCAGCTATTTTAATGGTTTTGAACTCCAGGAAGAGGAAAAATTCTTTTTTAAAAGCCGTTATTTAATCATATATTTTGATCACATAAAAAACAACATGGCAAGAAAGTTTTGAGCACAAAAAGTATCTAACTCCAATCATGGCACCACTGACTTTTTCTGTGTGCTCTAGTTGTCTGTACCTAACTGGTACTGATTGTAATCTAGAAAAGGTAGCTCCTCATGGCATGTTATTCTTTGAATATTTATTTATCTCCCATCATTCTAAGAGTTACTAAAATTTCATTTTCAGTCTGTCTTAGCTTCTTTCAAACAGCCAAATAGAATGTCTCATTGAGTATTCCATAGAACCCCTTATGTATATGAAATAATTATAATGCATCATTACAGTAATGCTGTTATGAGCTATGCTTCAGATCTTTTCCAAAAAACACATTCAACGCATTCTTTTCCATTTTTAGAAGACCTCATATTTTAAAAAAATTATTATTAAGGGGATTTATAATTTTTTAAAGTTACCTCTGAGAATTGTTTGAAAGAGTAACTGTGGAAGGGTTGAAGAAACTATGCAAATATCCAGTGACAAAATTGACTTATGACAAAGGATCAAACAAATCAACTGAGATGAAAAAAGAAAACCTAATTTTTTCATGCTTGGAACAGTACCTGAGTGTGAAGGAGAAGATTAGTTACTCCTATACACTACCTTCCATAAAGACTAAGAAATACAAGGAGTAACGTCATAATTTCATAATCCTGTGATTTCTAATCTAAGGAACCAATAAATAAGTCCTATGTATGAATTTGGAGAGTATCTGAGCCACAGGAGAAAATAAAAACACTTTTCATTTGAAGAAACTTCAATAAAAATGAATAAAAATAAAAGATAACATTCCTCGTATGGAATTTTAAAATGGTGTTGTGGAGGTTGCAAAAGCAGCTAAAGGCTCAGAGAATTCCCTTCCTTTCTAGCCATAAATCAGCTATATACCTATATGCTCCATTCCATTAACGTAAGTGGTATTTAAATCTAATGCACATTAGAAACTCCTACATTTTAAAATCCTCAAGGCCATGCCTCACCCATGGGGAGTCTGATATAATTGTTTGGGGCTCAGAGATTGGTACGTTTCAAATTGCACCCCAGGTGATTCTGATGTGTGGAAAGGGTTAGGAGTCACTGCATTAGACCATGGGAATGGTGATACTATTAGTTTACTTCATGCTGGGTATTGTGGTAAGCTCTTCATTTGCATTGTCTCATTTAATCCTCCCAGCAACCCTATATTGCAGAAATTACTTGCCTCATTTTGCTAATGGGACAAGCAGAAAAATTAATAAGTAACTTGCCCAAAGCCATGCCCCTTAGAATTGTTGAAGCAAGGACTCAAACTAAAGCTATGTTAATTTAAAGCCTGAACTCCTAAGCATCTTTGCTACCTAATTTCCACATCTTGGTTGCAGTAATAGAACCATCCTTGTTTCTTCCTCTCCATCCTGGCCTAAAAGAGCCACAAGCCATGACTCAGGGGGAGTGTCACCAGCTCTTCAGAATTAGGCAAAACATGAAATACCTAGAGGAGAATGTAAAAACTTTTTGCCTTTAGAATTTAATGAATTGATGTGTTTTGAATAACAGAGAATATTTAAATTTTTATCATCAGTAATTATCATAAATACTGGAAATTTTGTATTTAATTTAATACAAAATTAAAATTTTGTATTAAACCTATATTACAGGTTTCTCTTTAAAAGCTAGAACGATGTAAAATCCTGGACCTAAACAATTGAAGTTTTTAGCTATAAATGGGTTGTGCTTTCTCCTATTTACCATAGCCTTTGTGTGTACAGATTGTCTTATATGCCAGTGATTCTCAAAGATTAACATTTACATGATTAACCCAAATGTCTTATGAAAATGCAGATTTTCAATTTAGTAGGACTGGAATGGGGGCAGACATTGAGCATTTCCAGCAATTTACCGGTTATTCTGATACTCCTGGTCCTCAGGCCACAAATTGATTATCAAGGCTATATACCACCTATGATACTTATGTACATGACTTACCTTTAATTACATCAATTAATGTTGTGTCCCCTACTATAGATCCTTATGAAATCTCACATAAACTAATTCATTCCCATTTTCTGGGAGAAACATACAAGTATATATTTTCTTTTATTTTTGCTTCCTTTTTCTAAAAAAAAAGTGATTTTCTTTCTGTTGAGTGGCACAAAAGGAATGAAAGTCCATTGCTGCAGCATCCAGTGTAGTGCTAAATAATGAATGCGAGTAAAACATTGGCAAATAAGACATTAGCAATAAGTGACAAGAGTAAGGAAGAAGATAATTATGTCTATGTGAAACATATTGGATACATTGAAGTAATCTACCATAAAAAGGCAGTATGACCCAATTTGAAGATTGCTACAGCAAAAACATTTATCCTACATCTTACTAATCTCCCTTTCAACTTGATTTACTGTACCTATTAAAATATTACAAAAATATTTTGTTTGTCACGACTCTTCCAAAATGTATAACACTTTTCTTCATCGCACCAAGTCTATGTCACACTAGTTGATCCCACTACCATACTGTTTATATAGCCCAGTATTTCAGAGCTGAAATGGAAGCGCTCTCTGCAGATGGAGGATGGAAAGAAATGAATTGACTTTAAGTTGAGAGAGCTGAATGGTCCATTATTCCATTCATAATACATTGCTACCATCAGTCAGTGTTAACATTCCTGTTTGTTTATTGTATTTTCTTTTATTGTGTCAATTCACTATTTCCATTTCCATGATACACTGGTCAATTACTCCAATGTAGTTGATGTATTTCCTTAATAACACATTTATGCCTAGTGTTCCATTATTGGAACACTAAGCATATGGGAGTTATTTATATCCTACTGCTCAAGGCCATCACCAATGTCTGATTGCAAAAATTCAAAAAACTGCAACCTCAGGCATAAATGGGTTATTATGTGTAAAGTGTTTGTATGTTTTAAAATTTTAAATAAATGGAAGTTTATTACTTTTAATTTTTTTCAATTAGCACTTTTCCTGTCCTTTATTCACATTGCTCCTTATGTATTTCAGTTGTTACTTCTTATTTGTGCTTTACATTCTTCCTTGTGCAACTGAATATTTCTCTTCTATTCTCTGATTAAAAAATAAATAAATAAATAAAACAAAAAATCCCCAGGCTGCTTGCAACAATTGTTATTCCAAAAACATCACAATTAATGTTTTCTTGTGCTTTTTTTTTTTTTACAGACTTCTGCAAAAATACTCAGAAGTGGAATAAGTAAATCATATGGTATAGACATATTTAGTCCAATATGTCACAAAGCGTTCTAGCATGGCTGCATGCTGTTGAGTTTCTGGGATTTATTGCGATTTACTTTTGGTCCTAGTGTATTATCAATATTCTAAATTTTCCATGTGTTCTTGAAGTAAAATATATTCTCTGCATGTTGTATAAAATATTGTAAACATTTCTATCAATACAAGGTGTTAATTCTATTATCAAAATCAATTTTATCTTTGTTCTTTTTCAGTTCGATTTATTATTTTCCATAAAACTTATGCTTAAACACTCGTATATATGTTTTGTTATCTATTTGTCTCGGTAATTTTTACACATCTTATTTTAAACATTTTGAGGCCTCATTATTATGTATATATAATGCTGAATATTATATGTTTTTCTACATAATTATAACTCATCAATTGACTGTTTTTTCCATT
The DNA here is from genome assembly GCF_000001405.40 of Homo sapiens. NCBI lineage: Eukaryota > Metazoa > Chordata > Mammalia > Primates > Hominidae > Homo > Homo sapiens. The sequence continues at coordinate 106,372,904 of NC_000005.10, read as the reverse complement.
AGTAACTATACTTTTAATCTTAACCATTTTTTGTGTATGGTTTAGTGGTATTAAATACATTCATAATGTCATGCAAACATCATAAACATACCTCTTTACAACTTTTCATCTTGTAAAAGCGAAACTCTATACCCATTAAACAATATATTCTTACCCCTTTCCCTAGTCCCTGTTACTGCCTTTCTATTATATGTCTCTATAATTTTGACTACTCCAAATATCTCATGTAAGTGAAATCCTACGGCATTTGTCTTTTTGTGACTGGTTCATTTCACATAGCATAATGTCCTCAAGTTTTATTCATGTTGTGAATATTTTGTTACATGGGGATTTTATAGATCTAAATTTTACATTTAGATCTCAGATCCATTTTGAATTAATGTTTGTATATTCTGTTAGGGAATGGTTCAACTTCATTCTCTTGCATGTGGATATCCAGTTTTCCCAACACCACTTCTTGAAAAGAGTGTCCTTTTGCCACTGAATGATCTTGGCAACTTGTCAAAAATAATATGATTATGTATGTGAGGCTTTAGTACTGGGCCCTGTATTATATTATATTGGTCTATGTGTCTGTCTTTAGGCTAGTACCATGCTTTTTGGATTCCTGTAGCTTTGTAGTAAGTTTTAAAATCAGAAAGTGTGAGTCATCCAGATTTTTTTTTCAAGATTGTCTATTCAGGGTCTCATGAAATTCCATATGAATTTTAGAGTGGGTGTTTCTATTTCTACAAAAAATGTAATTGAGATTTTGATAGAAATTGCATTGACTCTAGAACTTTGTGTAATATTGACATCTTAACAATGTGAAATCTCCAATCCATAAACATGAGAGGTGTTCTCATTTATTTTTATCTTCCTTATTTCAGCAACATTTTGCATTTTTGTTGTATAAGATTTACTTCATTTTAGTTAATTTCTAAATATTTTATTCTTTTAAATGGTAATGTAAATGTAATTGCTATTGTAATTTCATTTTCAAGTTGTTTATTACTGATATATAGAAATGCAACTTTTTTTTAATTTGATGACATGTGTGTACTTCTTATTTTACATTTTTATTTTTTTATGTAGAAGATTAGGTGAAATTTTGAGGCAGACTAACCTAAAACCACTTTTGGCTCACTTTTTGGTATTATTATTTTACAATTTATAGTTTTATTTTCCACATATGTATGTAATATTAGCTCTATCACAAACTAAATTTCCATATGCATATTCTTTATATTGGTTAAGTTTTTAAATGTTTAATTTTTGTGTGTACACACTAGTGTATATATTTATGGGGTCCATGATCTATTTTGATATAGGTATGCAGTGTGTAAGAATCACATCATGAAGTGGGATATCCATTCCCTCAAGCATTTATCCTTTGTGTTACAAAAGAGTATAATGCAATTATATTTAGTTGATTGATCCCACTACCAGAGTGTTTATAGTGCCTAGTATTCCATATTAAAATAATACTTATTTTAAAATGTACAGTTAAATTATTTTGACTATAGTCATTCTGTTATGCTATCAAATACTGGATCTTATTCATTCTTTCTATTTTTTTTATATGCCCATTAACCATCCTCACCTCTCTGCTACCCTCACCTCCCACTACACTTCCCAGTCTCTGCAGGCCATTTTTCTACTCTCTATTTCTATGAGTTCAATTATTTTGGTTTTTAGATCCCACAAATAAGTGGGAACATGCAATGTTTGTCCTTCTGTGCCTGGCTTATTTCACTTTGCATAATAACCTCCAGTTCTATTCATGTTGTTGCAAATGGCAGGATCTCATTCATTTTTTATGGCTGAATAGTACTCCATTGTGTGTAAGTACCACATCGTGAAAATTTATTCATCTGTCAATGGACATTTAGGTTGCTTCCAAATCTTGGCTATTGTGAACAGTGCTGCAATAAACATTGGAGTGCATATATCTCTTTAATATACTAATTTCCTTTCTTTTGGGTATATATCCAGCAGTGGGATTACTGGATCATATGATAGATCTATTTTTAGCTTCTTGAGGAACCTCCAAACTGGTCTCCATAGTGGTTGTGCTAATTTACATTCTGAACAACAATGAATGAGGATTGTCTTTTCCTCATATCTTTGCCAGCATTTGTTATTGCCTGTCTTTTGGATAAAAGTCATTTTAACTGGGGTGAAATGATACCTCATTGTAGTTTTGATTTGCAATTCTCTGATGATCAATAATTTTGAGCACCTTGTAATATGCCTGCTTGCCATTTATATGTCTTCTTTTGAGAAATGTGTGTTCAAATCTTTTGCCCATTTTTAAAATCAAATTATTTTTCCTAAAGATTTGTTTGAGCACCTCATATGTTATGGTAATTAATCTCTTCTCAGATTGTAGTTTGCAAATATTTTCTCCCATCTTGTGGGTTGTCCCTTCACTTAATTGTTTCCTTTACTGTGCAGAAGCTTTCTAACTTGGTATGCTCCCATTTGTTCATTTTCATTTTGTGTGCCTGTGCTTGGGGGTGTCACTCAAGAAATTTTTGCCCAGACCAATGTTCTGGAGAGTTCCCCCAATATCTTCCTATAGTGGTTTCATAGTTTGAAGTCTTACATTTAAGTCTTTAATCCACTTTTACTTTATTTTTGTATGTGGTGAGATATAGAGGTCTCATTTCATTTTTTGCATATGGATATCCAGTTTTACAAGCATCATTTATTGAAGAGACTGTCTTTTGCCCAGCGTATATTCTTGGCATCTTTATTTAAAATTAGTTGACTGTTTGTGTATGAATTTGTTTCTGGGTTCTGTCTTCTGTTCGATTGGTATATGTGTCTGTTTTGATGCCACAGTACCATGCTGTTTTGGTTACTATAGCTCTGTAGTATAATTTGAAATCAGGTGATGTGATTCATCCAGTTTTGTTCCTTTTGCTCAGGATAGTTTTGGCTATTCTAGGTCCTTTGTGGTTCCACATACATTTTAGAATTGCTTTTTCTATTTCTGTGAAGATCGTCATTGGTATTTTGACAAGATTGTAATGAATCTGTAGATGGCTTTGGGTACTCTGGACATTTTAACAATATTGATTCTTCTAATCCATGAACAAGGAATATCTTTCCATTTTTTTTGGTGTCCTTCAATTTCTTTCATCAGTTTTATAGTTTTCATTGCAGAGATCTTTCACTTATTTGGTTAAGTTAACTCTTGGGTAATTTTATTTGTCACTATTGTAAATGGGATTACTGTTTGACTTCTTTTTCAAGTTGTTTACTGTTGGCATATAGAAATGCTATTGTTTTTTGTATGCTGTTTTTGCATCCTTCAATTTTTCTGAATTTCTCGGATCTAATATTTTGTGTGGAGTCTTTAGGTTTTTCAAAATAGAAGATAATATCATCAACAAACAAGAATAATTTAACTTTTCTTAAAAATTTTGATGTCTTTGTATCCTTCTCTCATCTAGTTGCTGTAGATAGGACTTCCAGTACTATGTTGAATAGCAGTGATGAACATGGGCAGCCTTGTCATATTCCAGAGCCAAGAGGAAAGGCTTTTGGCTTTTCCCCGTTCAGTATGTTACTAGCTATTGGTCTGTCATATGTGGCTTTTATTATGTTGAGGTATGTTCCTTCTATCCCCAGTTTTTTTTTTTTGAGGGTTTTTATCATGAAGGAATGTTGAACTTTATCAAATGCTTTTTTAGCATCAACTGAAATGGTCATATGGTTTTTGTCCTTCATTCTGTTGATATGATGTATTACGTTGGTTGATTTGTGTTGTTAAAATATCCTTGCATCCCTGGGATAAATCCCACTTGGTCATGATGAATGATCTTTTAAATTTATTGTTGAATTTGGTTTGCAAGTATTTTATTGAGGATTTTTACTCAATATCCATCAGAGGTATTGGCCTGTAGTTTTCTTTTTCTTAATGTGTCTTTCTGGTTTTGCTATCAGGGTAATACTGGCTTTATAGAATGAGTTCAGAAACAGTATCTTCTATATTTTTTGAACAGTGTGAGTAGAATTGGTATTAGTTCCTTAAATATTTGGTAGAATTCATCAGTGAAGCCATCAGGTCCTGGTATTTTCTTTACTGGGAGACTTTTTATTACAGCTTCTATCTCATTACTTGTTATTGGTTTGTTCAAGTTTCTTCATGGTTCAATCTTGGTAGGGCCTATGTGTCTAGTTATTACACTTAAGATAATGGCTTCTAGTTCCTTCCATATTGTTGCAAAAGACATGATTTTATTATTTTTTATGGCCAAATAGTATTCCACTGTAAGCATGTATATACACACACACCCATACACCCACACACACCACATTTTTATTATCCAAACATCTGTTGATAGACAATTGGGTTGGTTCTATATTTGCTATTGTAAATAGTGTTATGATTAATGTATGAGTTCAGGTATCTTTTTGGTAAATGATTTATTTTCTTTTGGGTAGATACACAGTAGTGGTATTGCTGGATCAAATGGTAGTTCTGCTTCAGCTAATTGAGAAGTTGGCCTGCTATATCACACTGATGAGGACGGGCTATGCATCAACAGCAGTGTGTCAAAGAGACAAGGCCTTTGGCAGTGGATTCTCACCCTCCTACATCTCAGGCTGTCCTCTCCCTCTTCAGGGAGTACTCATGGTCTTTATGTTGATTCATTGTATCCATCCAAAACTGTGTTTCTTCTGTGGCATCTCTAGGGTTGGAACAGGGCAAACAGCCAGCAGCCTAACCTAGTACAGTATACTATCTTGACAGCAACAGTATCTGTTTTGCTTTTATCTTTTTAGAGCTGTTTATTTTCCTGTTCATTTTGGCTCAGAACTAATAAACTCATCTTCACTGGATGATATTAAATGTCACCCTTTTTACTTACTATGTAATTGGATTTAAAGCTGATCATGTTAGGCATTCAACAATAAACATTTTTTGCTTCTTGCTTTTCATTGATTTTGCTTATTGTCAATTTTTTTCTCACCCAAAACCTAGTTATTATATTCTTTCTATCCATTTTACTCTGCTATAAAATACAAATTCTCCATTAAAGAAAACAGTAAAATGCAATCTGGATTGAATTTCATGATAAAATGTATTTTTAAAGCAGAGTTTTTTAATAGTCAAGAATTTTTCATCAATAATATAAGCTGCTTATATTAAATTGCAGTACTGTTGCAGATGTGCATGATGAATTGGCCCTGAATGTGTACTTTCCCACAGATTTGAAGCATACGACTAAGTTAAATATCATATTTACTATGGAGTCACACAGCCCTTGCAGAAAAGCTTGGCAAAACATAGAATGTGTTCTGTTTGCTAGGAAGTGCTATCTCACCATATATCAAGGCAATCACTTATGGAAAGAAGGGAAATAGCTAGTCTTCACATGACTAAATTGTGAATTCGCCATCCTCCTGATTGGCTCTACTAGGTTCTAACTTGCACCTCCAAATGTACCCTCCATGACTCATAACCAGTCCATCCTGACTTTGCCTGCCAGTTTTCCATACTTGAACTATTTCTGATCTTATCTTTTTAATAAAACTTTATTCATTCCAGGAGCAAATTTTAGCTATTTTTCCACAGTCTTAATACCAGTTTAATTATTTCTCTTTATAGGAAATTATTTGGGAGGATGTTGTTTAAATCAATGTTTCTGAAAGTGTAGCTCCACTGAAATAGAATTTTCAGGTAAGGTCCAGGGATAGATTTTTAAAATCAAATCTCCTAGGTGATTGTGAAATGCACAAATATTTGAGAAACATTGCCCTAAACTAAAGGATTAAATAACACTAAAGTTATAGGCATCCGTAAAAAGGTACAGAAGAAATACATTTAGGCAAGTATGAGGAGTCTACTTTCCTTCAAAACATATCATAAAGTTGATCAAGTACTGTACCCAGACATAAAGCTTGCCAGCAATGAGTTAAAAATTATTTAAATGTTTACTATTCCCACTCTGCACTTACTATATAATTGCTATATATAATTTTTATATCTTGAAAGCATATGTCGCATGACACTTGTTTTTGGTGTAAAACCACAAGTGTATCCATCTAATTGTCCTATATAGTATAAAAGTGAGGGACGTGGTTTTTAGACCAATACTGGGTTCAAACACCAACACTATCAATTGCTGGTTTTCAAGAACATGCCCTGTTCTCTTATTTCCTAATGGTTCTCTCTTTCCTGTTTCCTATACCTTTTCTTCATCTCAAATTGGATATCCTTCCTTCTAGCATACCTCTTCCATTATTAATTATCTTCACTGCATAAATTACTCTCAAGTATTTTTCATGCCTCCTGGCTTTAAGTGAAATCAGGCCCTTCTCAGAGAAAAAAAAAAGTTTCTTTTAACCTCTGAAGCCAATCATTATCCTGTCATGCCCTATAATAGATGTTTAAGGGAACAACCCACTCCACTATTCCACCTCAGTCCCTCTTCACTCTGATCATTTTGGGGATCTGATCACCATTACTGCTCTTTCTCTGAAATCATGGAATACAGGCTTTAAAACTGGTCATACAGTTTAGGCCCTTGTCAGATACTTACTATCATGCTGTACAGAACATTTATTTTTTTACTGAAATATATAAAAAAGCAAGATCTTTGTTTTATATAATTCCTTTGGTCAGAGAGGAGTGTATGAGCTGTATGTATGGGGATCTCCTCTCTTTCCACCTGTCAATTTTTTTTTTTTTTAGACCTGGACAAGCAAGAATCTTGTAATGAGCTCCATGTTTTGGAAGGTATACATATCACAAGCAAAGCAACAGTACTTAGTATATTATAAAAATTTATTTAAGAACACATGAGTGCCTTTTCACTCAGTTCCAGAGATCAAGGGAGGCATAGCACACCTCAGTTGCTTTAGTGACTAAAATCTGTAAGGTCTCCAGGGAAACAACTCTACATGTCTTGCTTTTTGTCTTCAAAAAAATAAAAAAAGGTATATGTTATGCCAGCATCTATGTCATTTAGAGTAGACATTGTTTTGGAGTGAGAGAAAAATTTGAATGACAGAATGCTTATGGAAGAGAAAATACATCAACTTGTTAATTTATTTCTTTTATATAGCATAAATGCCAATACATTATTGCATAAAAACTATTATTTTCAACATTCTCAGTAATGTCAGGGCATCTATTTTCTATGTGCAAATTCATTTTTCTTATGTACTAATTTATTTTCCAGAGTTAGTCATCAATTAGCACATTTTTTAAAACAGTTTTTCTTGGCTGAGGGTAATTTTGCCATATTTAATAATTCATATTGCCCTATAATTGTAGGTCCAGTTGTAAAGACATGAAACATGAAAGAATTGAGTACATTAGCAGCTGCATGGGTGGTGAATGCTGAGATTAAAATTTTAACATTTTTGTAGAAGGAAAGTTACAATATTAAAAAATAATAAAAATATCAAAACAAGGAAAAATGTCAATTGTTTAAGGAATTCTGAGCTAAAATTCAGTATTAATTAAATATAATTTGTATTTGCTTTTAATTTGAATAGACAAATTTAAATTTTGAGAAGAATGTGTTTTGAAAACACATATGAAAATATCTTTTACATTTACATCAACACTAATTTTTAAGTAAGATCACATTTAAATTTTGTATGATTGAATATAATTATAATTGTTGAATCCTTTAGGTTATCACTGCCAATAGAATGCCAATTATAAAAATTGTTGATTATAACAACATAGTCAACTTTTCATGAAATAACTATATATTAATTTATGAATTACATTTATATATTTATTTCCATCCAAACATCACCAGCCTAATACCTAACACCTAATACCTAAATAAACCTAATACCTAAATTTGTGAAATAACCAATTTGGTCTTTAGTACTTTGTTTCCTTTCTGACATAAAAGACTTAACTTTACACGTATTTTTCTATTTTCTCATAAATAAATTATATTATTCAAGAAACATATTTTATTTAACATTAACCTTGACTTACAACTTTTAAATATATTGGTTTATAGTGTAGGCTGAGAATCCGTAATCTGATAATGTGAAATCGAAAAGGCTCCAAAATCGTAGTGTTTGAGCACCAACCTGATTCTACAAGTGAAAATTTCACAACTGAACTCATGTGATGGATTTTATTCAAAATGGTGGTACTCAATACAGAATTTATTCAGCATCCCCAAGGGCAAAAAGACTCTCACAACCCCCTTTAACTGTGAATTCTCTTTTCTGCACATGCCAGACTCCCCCATACAAGCACACACGAAAAGGATCCACATGCACCTTTGGCAGGTGCACAGGCCAGACACACCATGACAAATGTCCCACAATGCCTCACACAGGGCCAACACACACACACACAAATTTTATATATATATATATATATATATATACACACACATACACACACATATATATACATATATATATATATACACACACACACATTGTGTGTTTTTGTTTCTTTTCCACCCTGTGGTATAAGGATATTGTTGAAAATAATAAAAAGGCCTGTAGATATGCCTATGAGTAACAGTGATAAGAAAAAGAGGAAGCATTTCTGTTTATCTATAGCATAGAAAGTCAAGGTGTTGGGGAAACTGGATGGTGTGGTGAGAAACATCTTACAGAAGAGTACGGTCTTGGAATCACCACCATATATGACCTGAAGAAACAGAAGGACACGTTGTGGAAGTTCTATGCTGAAAGTGATGAACAGAAGTTAATAAAAAATAGAAAAATACTACATAAAGGAACAAATGAAGATATCTGTCATGTACTGAAAGAGTAGATCCATCAGCATCACACATAGGACACTTAATGGTACACTGATCATGAAATAGGATAAGATCCATCATGATGAGCTGAAAATAGAAGGGAGCTGTGAATATTCAACAGGCTGGTTGCAGGGAAATTTAACAAAAGACATGCCATTAAATTTTTAAAGATCGATGGTGATAAAGTATCTGCTGATCATGAAACAATGGATACATTCATTGAAGAGTTTGCTAGGGTTATTGCTGATGAAAATCTGATGTCATAAGTTTATAATGCTGATGAAACATAACTAATTTGTCATTATTGCTTCAGAAAGATACTCACTACAGCTGATGACACACCTTTTTCAGGAATTAAAGCCAAGGACAGATTAATTGTTCTGGGATGTGCTAACACAATAGGCATGCCTAGGGGTTAAACTTGCTGTGGTGCACAATAGCACGCATCCTCACTGTTTGTGAGAAGTGAATTTCTTACCAGTTCATTATTATTTTAACAAAAAGGCAGTATCACCAGAAATATCTTTTCTGATTAGTTTCATAAACATTTTGTATCTGTGGCTCATGCTTACTGTAGCAAAGCAAAACTGGATGACAACTGCAAAATTTTGTTATTACTTTACAACTATTCTGCCCATATCCCTGCTAAAAATCTGGAAACTATAAAAAATGTTTATGTCATGTACATTCCCCCAAATGTGGCCTTATTAATTCACCCATGTGACCAAAGTATTCTGAGGTTAGTGAAGGGTAAATATAAAAATAATTTCTTAAACAGCACGCTTGGAGCAGTGAACAGAGGTGTGGGCATGGAAGGTTTTCAATGGAGTTTAGCATGAAGGATGTTCATATGTATTGCTGCAGATGAATACGGACACAGTTGTGCATGCCTGGCACAAACTCTGGCCTGTAACTATGTTCAGTTTTTACCATAATTAAAGCGGTGACTTTGAAAGATTCTGTATGTCAAGTGAGGGAAAAAAATGATGCCTAATGTCCCTATATATGCAAAAAATATACCTTCAGGGTCCATCTGTAAGCTGGAAGAAGTGGATATTGAAGAAGTTTTTAACATTAATGATGAGGCTGCAGTTGTTTATTCATTGACTGATGGTGAAATAGCAGAAATGGTACCAAAACAAGGTGCTCATGTTAATAGTGACAAGAAAGATGATTGTGTTAACAGTGTAGAAAGAGTGTCTATAGAGGACACTGAGAAAATGTGTGACGGGCTTATTGGAGGACTAGAACAGCATGCATTTATATCAGAACAAGAAATCATGTCAGTTTGTAAAAGCAAAGGGAAACTTCTAAGACAAAAATCATTCTTAATGAGGGTGGTGATTCTCAAGGAAACATTTAAAAATTGGCAGGTGGGACCTAATTAAACCAACGAGCTTCTGAAGGTCAAAAGAAATTACCAAGAGAGTAAACAGCCTACAGAATGGGAGAAAATATTCTCAAACTATGCATCTGACAAAGGCCTAATATCCAGAATCTGTAAGGAACATAAACAAATCAACAAAAAACAAAAACTCCAATTAAAAAATGGGCAAAGGACATGAACAGACACTTCTCAAAACAATATGTACAAGTGGCCAACAAACATATGAAAAACTACTCCACATCGCTAATGATCAGAAAAATGCAAATCAAAACCATAATAAAATACCATCTTATATGAGTCAGAATGTGATTATTAAAAAGTCAGAAAAAAAAAACAGGTGTTGGCAAGGCTGCAGAGAAAAAGAAAGGCTTATACACTTCTGAAGGGAATGCAAATTAGCTCAGCCACTGTGGAAAGCAGTCCAGAGATTTTTCAAATAACTTAAAATAAAACTATTACATAACCCAGAAATCCCACTACTAAGTATATACCCAAATGAAAATAATTCAGTCTACCAAAAAAACACTGCACCTGTATGTTCACTGCAGCACTATTCCCAATAGCAAAGACAGGGAATAAACCTAGGTGCCACAGTGAACTGAATAAAGAAACGTGGTAGAAATACACTGTGGAATACTATGCAGCCATTAAAAAGAACAAAATCATGTACTTTGCAGCAACATGAATGGAGCTGTAGACCATTATTCTGAGAGACCTAATGCAAGAACAGAAAGCCAAATATCACATTTTCTCACTTGTAATTGAGAGCTAAATATTGAATATACATGAACCTAAAGATAAGAATAATAGACACTGGGGACCAGTAGATGGAAGAGAAAGGGAGGAGGGACATGGGCTGAAGAGCCACCCATTGGGTACTATGCTCACTGCCTCAGGGATGGGATTGTTGGAGCCCAAGCCTAAGAGTCATGCAATTTACTCATGTAACAAATCTGCATGTGTACCCTTTAATCTATTATAAAAGTTGAAATTGGCCGGGCGCAGTGCCTCACGCCTGTAATCCCAGCACTTTTGGAGGCCCAGGCAGGTGGATCACCTGAGGTCAGGAGTTCGAGACCAGCCTGGACAATATGATGTAACCCCGTTTCTACAAAAATACAATAAAATAAAATAAAATAAAATAATTAGCTGGGCATGTTGGCCCATGCCTGTAATCCCAGCTATCGGGAGGCTTATGAGGGAGAATTGCTTGAACCCAGGAAGTGGAGGTTGCAGTGAGCCGAGACCGCTGGGGCAACAAGAGCAAAACTCCATCTCAAAAAAAAAAAAGTTGAAATTAAAAAAAAAAAAAATCCAGCCAGCAGAATGCCTCCTCATCCCTAGAGGACCCACTTCCTGATCTCTCAACGTCTCCTAATTTTTTTTCTCACCTAAAAAAAATAAAATACAGTGCATAAAATACAGTGTGCAGTAATCTTTTCTTTTTTTTTTTTTTTTTTGAGACGGAGTACCGCTCTGTCGCCAGGCTGGAGTGCAACGGCGCGATCTCGGCTCACTGCAACCTCCACCTCCCGAGTTCACGCCATTCTTCTGCCTCAGGCTCCCAAGTAGCTGGGACCACAGGCATCCGCCACCACGCCCAGCTAATTTTTTGTACTTTTAGTAGGGATGGGGTTTCACCGTGTTAGCCAGTATGATCTCGATCTCCTGGCCTCGTGATCTGCCTGCCTCGGCCTCCCAAAGTGCTGGGATTACAGGCGTGAGCCATGGCGCCCGGCCAGTAATCTTTTAATAAAAAGGCAGCATTGTAGGTAGAGATGGAAAGCCTGTGGTTGTTTGTTGTTGCTGCTGTTTAACAGTGGATACAAGTATTCTGGTAAAGCTAATGTGCTACTTTGTTACCTTGAACACATCGTTTTACACTATATTAACAGTGTGTCTTTTTTTTTTAATACGTACTTGACATAAGAAAATGGCTGGTTATTTGTAACATATAAATTCAAAGCCAGGAGTGATGGTGGTGCCAAACAACTTGTCTACATGGGTGGTTGACATAGTGACACCTTTGCTTTCTAATAGTTCAGTGTACACAAACTTTGTTTCATGCAAAAAAAATTATTAAAAATATGGTATAAAATCACCTTCAGACTGTATGTACAAGGTGTATATAAAACATACATTTTGTGTTTAGAATTGGGTCTCATTCTCAATATATCTCTTCATGTATATGCAAATATTTTAAATCTGAAAACATCTGAAATTCAAAACACTTCTGTTCCCAAGCATTTTAGATAAGGGATAATCAACTTGTATATAGTACCTCCCTTATACTTTTGCCTTGGGTGCTGTATGTGTTTGGGGCAGGCCTATTATTCTTCCAAGTATGCCAAGCTGAAAGTATAGAAGTGGGAGTGAAGTTTTTCATTAATCTTAACTCTATTGCTCTGTGTGTGTGTGTGTGTGTTTATCAAGCATAGTGGGATCTGTCAGAGATGACAGTAATGGGAAGAAATGAGAGATTCTAAATGACACATTAAATAGCCTAGTTAGAAAAACAAAAACCATATAAAACACATTTTAAGAAATCACATTGGCCAGACTATTTAATAAATTGGATATATAAGGGCAGAATTAACATTGTATTGATTGCTCCTCATTTTTAGGATAGTTATGTTTTCAGATATAACTTTGTGTTATTTCAAATATGCCAAAAAAATAATTATAATGCCAGAGCAATTTGATCTTGAGAGAAAGAGGACTATTTAGACATAAATTTTAATGTTTGTGAAGCCAGATTTCCTTTCTTGCCCTAAATATTACACTTTTTTAATCAAATAGAATAGATTACACCTATAAGCCATTTCAGAAATTTCTGTGCATTTGAAACATTAGAAAAATGGGAGAGATGTTCAGTGTAATTTATTCAGTCAGAATATTTTATGCCACCAAGGAATAACAGTATTTACAAAACAAAACAAAACAACAAACAAAGAAAGGGTAAATGC